>NC_000004.12:138315320-138618350 GCF_000001405.40 Homo sapiens | reverse complement strand
TAATATTAAAACTGGAAGAACTATACAGATATTATCTACTGCCACTGTAATTGTGTTGGAGGAATCTCTATTTTATGTAATGTCATGAAGCAAATTCCTGGTATATTAGGACTAGAATACACATAACTACAAGTCTGTTAAAATTTCCTATTTGCTTGTTTCTGTATTTTTTCTTCTGTTTAAAGTGGAGACATAGTTGAAAACATGTGAAAAGATTTTTTGTTATTCCACATCACAACCCACTTTATGTACTTGAAACATATTTCTTCTTTTAAAAGAGCTATGTGATGTCATTTGACAGTTGGATCTAGCTAACTAGTGCATGGGTTCATGTCACGCAATCAGTGTTGAAACAAAACCATTTTATCTTAGATATTAATATTGGCATGATATTTGCTAATCCATCAACTTAACAATAGTTATTAAAATTAGAGGTAACAGTTTCTTATAGCTTTTGGAACTTACCAGAATAATTTATCCAAATGGATACATCATGTGTCTAGCATTCCATCCATCTTTCTGCACCTCCTATCCCCAACAAAATACAACAGCTCATCAAGTTGTCACAAAGTACATTTACCCGCTTATCATTCTTTAGCATTCAGGTCAATAGTTTCTTAATGAAATGCATTTTCTTTTCTATTTAGAAAAAAATCTTGCATTGTATGTAGTACAGTTTTACGGAATAGTATCTTTCTTAGATAAAAACAGCCACAAATTATTTGCAGTTCCTCCTGTGAAGAGGTAGAGTTTATTTCCCCACTGTTGGCTGGCTTTGTAGCTTCCTTTGATCAACATAATACAGTGGAAGTGACACTATGTGAGATCTGAGCTGAGGTCTTAAGAGACTTTGAAGGTTTTGTTTTAGTCCTCTTGGAGCCCTGTCTATGGGGGAATGAGAGACCATGTGGAGAGAGACCCAGACAGCTCAGTCATCTCAATCATTCACATTGTTCCAGCTGAGGCCTCAGACAGATGAGTGAGCCCCATTGACACCACATAGAGCATAGATTGAAACTGTTCCAGATGAATGCAGCCCAAAATACTGACCCACAGAAGCATAAGCAAATTGTTACTTTAAGCCACTAAATATTGTGTTAGTTTCTTACAAACAATAAGCAACTGGCCACAGTCTGGATTAATAGTCCCTCATCTATCCTTGCCTCTGGACAAAGTCTTTTTAAAAACTCTCAGTTTATTTAATTCTCCTAGAACTTTTTAAATGGATGGCAATGATATTCCATTTTAAGATGGTGAAGCAATGCTTTGCATTATTGTAATATCTTTCTTTAGAGAGGCTCACTTTTCTTTGTAGACATGATCTCACCATTCCTCTAATTGTGCAATCAGATAGATAAAATACGATGAGCAAACTTAATATCTTCATGGAATTTCTGGCTCTGCTTAGACTTTGCTAGTGGTCTTCTGTTTTGCTGAATTATTACATATGATATAATAGGCAGTCCATGTAGAATTAGTCACTAACGCATAACAGAATGCTTTACACAGTACTAAGGTATCAACAAAATTAGAGATTTTGGGGTTTATTTCAGGAATATAAGAAATCAACTACAAAAACTCATCCTGTTTCTATCCCATTCTTAACATTTTCCTTCCTAAATTCTTGTACTTTTGGATTTAAAATGATCGGCTCTGGCTACTTCCATGAATTACAGGAAATAATTAGCTGCTAAACTTTATTTTACATCAGAAAGTTTGGAAGTGGCATGTTTGTTAACAAGTGTCTTTTATGTTTCTTAGAACTGGAAGACCTGCCTCATGTTTCATGAAGCTTCCATGATACTACGTTTAGTTGTAGTCACACTGTGTGACAGAACATATTGCCTTCATATTCCTAAACTCAAATAAGAATTTGCCTTTAAATTTGTGACTTATGAACACATTAGGATAGAAATCTCTAGTCTGAGGTCTGTGAACCTATTGAAATGGTGTAAAATTTGTGTGAATGTGCCTTATTTTTTTCTTGGAAAGGGGCACATAGCTTTTATCAGCTCTTCAATGAACTTCTTGTCTCCCCAGTTTTGTGGCACTTTTCTTTTCCTGCTTCAGTTTTGTCAAGAATTATGACTTCACAGCATCATTTAGATAATCTGAATATGTAATTTCCTCAAAAGAGCAATCCATTGAAAGGAACATAGGAATCAACAGTCAATTTTAGGAAATTACCAATGAAATTAAAACGGGAGAGTTCCCTGACCCCGTTGTGGGACTTGCAACAGGGATGTGGCTTGTTTGCTGGGCCACTGCATGCTCAAACCCCTTATGGGAGTAGGAGCATGCAGATGGGCAGGTGCAGGAGCTGGGGTGAGCACTCTTGGGCTCCAACTCCACTTTAGCATCTAGGGATATATTACACTTAATGCTCTTTTAGCAGTTGCTGTCCATGGATGGCTATTCCAGCTCAGTGGAGAGTCAGGGTGACAGCCTTTTACACCCTGCCCTCTTGGTACCCAGGTCCTTGTCCAGGATCCAGAGAGAATCAGGTCACACGAACTTGAAGGATGGTGAATGTGGGGATTTTATTGAGTGATGGGGGTGGCTCTCAGTGGGATGGATGGGGACCTGGAAAGGGGATGGAGTGGGAAGATGATCTTCCCCTGGAGTTCAGTCATCCTGCAGCTGATCTCTCTCCGACCGTCCCCAGCCAAAATCTTCCTGATGTTCAGACACTCCTTCTATTCTCTGCTTCTCTGTCATGCCATTCTGCCACTTTGCCACTGGAGCTTGGAGTTTATATGGACACAGGATAGGGGCATGGCAGGCCAGAATGGTCTTGGAAAAGGCAACATTTGGGTGCAAAAACAGAAATGCCTGTTCCCATTTAGGGCCATGGGTTTCCAGGGTTCAGGTGGGGCCTTTGCTGGGGAACTGCCCCCTTCTACCCAGTATTTCCCTGCCTCCTATTCATATCAAAATGAAGTCAGGGAGGAAATTCTTACATATAGTATTGTCACATTATATTTCATTAGAATTAATGTGAATATTTTCATGAGAACTAACATGAATAATTAGAATTAGAGTGTAGTGTTTCTAAAACCATAGCTTAAGTAAATCAGAATTATCTGTACCTTATACCAGAAAAAGTAAATAGGAATTTTGAGGGACAGTGCCAAGGAATCTGCATTTAGTTAAATTTCTTTGGCAATTGTGGCATACACTGGAGTTTGAGAACCACCAATAGACAGTATATTGGAAAACTACAATATTTTTTCCTTTAATGATAAATAAAATGAAACACACTTCTGGAAAATACAGCAAGAGTTATAACCAGTCAGCCAACGTGATCAACTAAATGTAATTAATTTTATGATGGATTCGGTAATGGTCATTTTTTTTCCTGAAAAGTGATTTTGTGCATGCACATAAAGTAAAAGCTGACATCCTTTTGTTGAAATTGTTTATGAGATGCTATCTTTTGAGAGAACATTTAGATGGCACTGTGTCTGGTGGGAAAGGGTTTTCAGCTCTTGTCTGTTGATCTTGAGGTTTTGTTGCACTAGGGAATAAAACACTGTGTGTTTATATCCACAGAAGCAGAAAGTGCTTTCTTTCCCCCAGTCCCTTCTTCCTAAGATGTCATATCCTGAAGAAAAACAAAACAGAAAAGGAACAAATTTATTCTCAGAGAGCTTGGAGGACCATGAATTATTTATTCTTAGAAATCCTGTACTATCTTTGCATGAAAGAGAGCCCTATTATTAAAAGTGAATGTTTCTTTTTCTGCATGTCAATAACTGGGAGATCAGAATGGACTGGCTGTTACGTAGCTTCCTCCTTGGAGACTGAGCTCCCTAAGGCAGCCTCTGCAGCAAAGTTATTTTTAAGACAAAATCATTGGAACTGATATATTAACACCCACAATTGATGTGACAGGGGTCTGCCACTTAGGCAGTCTAAGAGGAAGAAAAGGCCATTAAAGTGATCCCAATTACCTTTTAATTATGAATTAAGACATTTGCATAAATTACAGCACAGAGAATTTCTGGATGCATGTGCATGTATGTGCTTAAATTGCCTGGGTTTATTAGGCTCCTTATTTTTTTCCAGCTAGGTTGTGCAGTAAATTCTCAACTACCTTCCTCCTGGAGCAGAGAAAGTCTTCTTGCCTGGGGAAAAATTTAAATTTTCCCTTGGTGCCAGTAATCTCATTTTCTTTCCAAGCAGTTGTGCAAATGAGAATAATCGTTTTTTGTCTTTTCCAGTTCAGAGGGGGCTTCTCTAGACCTGAAAGAACATGGTGCTTCCTTGATAAAATAAATTTTGGTTAGGAAGAAGCAGCGAGGCATTTCAATCCTAGAGGGATGGAAAATAAGGGAGAATTGCAAATTGGGCTTGTCATTCTGCTGGGCAGTGGCTTTGGGAGTCACAGCCTCCTGTGGCCCACTGAGTAAGTGGTTCTCTTTGCTTTAGGGTAAGTGGTAAGCAGGAAACTAGTTGTTAGCATTTCATTCCTGGAAATAAAATACTAGCTGTTTGGAATCAGCTCTTCTTGTTTTTATCACAGTTGAGGAAGACCGCTATTTGAATCATTGTTATATGAATTCCTGTATGTCCAATGTATGCAAACTCTCCGGCCTCCTTGGAGAAAAGGCAGTGTGTGTTGACTTCCTTTTGTTAAAGTAGGTAACCTTAAAAAAAGTCAAATTTCAAGGCTGGTGGAGGGCAAAATTTAAAGGAAAAATAGTTGGTCTTTGGTGTCACAGCTACATACCCTAATCTTGGGCATTCCCTACCCCCACAAGTGCTCAGGCCTTTGTGCCACTGACAACCCATTCTCACTCCCAATTTCTATCTCTCTTTCTCCTCTCCCTTCCTGTCTTTTTCTTATTATTATCTAGGAGCTCAATATATTTCTGTGGAGCAAAAGATTAGAAACAACCCAAATGCCCATCAATAGACAGGGCTGGTTAAATAAAGTGTGGCACATCCACTTAATGAAATACAATGGAGCTGTAATAAAGAATGGAGGAGCTCCATGTACTGATAAGAAGAGATCTCCAAGATTCATTGTTAAGTGAAAAATAAAAGGCACAGAAGAGGGTGTATGTTGTATCTTTCACGCTATCTTTTGTGCAAAAAAGTGCTGAGGGAATAAGAACCTGTATTCTTATTTCCTTGTCTATCCTTTATAAAAAAGTCTGGAATGATAAATAAAAATACCTAATAACAGTGGCTAATGTTGAGGTGGGAAGTCATTAGCTGGGGGAGATATTTCTCTAGATACCTTTTGATGTTTTGTTTATTTATATATTTATTTTAAGATGAGTTTTTCATTGAAGTACAACATGTATTCAGAAAATTGCAAAGAACCTCAGTCTACAGCTGAAAAGTGTTCATCTGTGTAATCGGCACCCATATCTAGGAATGGAGCATTACCTGCACCTCAGCAGTCTGCTCCGGTGTGCTCTGGTCACTACTTGCTCCCCAGTGACTGATAACCCCATGCATGACTGCCCACTTCTGTTAAAAATTAATCACTAAAAAAGGCAAAATCAAAATTCCCATACACATATAAAATGCACACATGTCAAAGATTTTATTTAACTCATCAATTAATGAGGACACTGGTGAGATATTGTAATGGTTAAATTTCATATGTCAATTTCACTGGCCCAGATTAAAGATCATTTCTGGGTATGTCTGTGAGGATGTTTCTGGATGAGATTAGCATTTGAATCAGTAGATTGAGAAAGCAGATTGCCATCCCCAACTGCCTGGGCATCTTCCAATCTGTTGAGGGCCTGCGTAGAAGAAAAAGCAGAGGAAGAAGGAGTTTGTTCCTTTTTTCCTACCTAAACTGCTTGAGCTGGGACATCTCATCTCATCTCATCTCATCTCATCTCATCTCATCTCATCTCATCTCATCTCATCTCATCTCATCTCATCTCATCTCACCTTCTCTGGCCCTGTAATTGGGATTTGCATCATTGGCTCACTTGGTTCTCAGGCCTTCAGAATGAATACTGAATTATGCTGCCAGCTTTTCTGGCTTTGCAGCTTGCAGACATCAGATTATGGGACTTTTTGACATCCATGATACATATATATATGTGTGTGTGTGTATATATACATATATATACATATATATATCTCCTATTGGTTCTGATTCTCTGGAGAACCATAACTAATACAAATATATATTTAAGAAACCACTTCAAACAGAATCCAAGAACAGACACATATATAGGCAATTAGGAATGCTGAAATAAATTAGCTAATAGATGCAAAATTAACCAATATCCACAGGGCAATAATCAATTATATCTTCAGCTGACAAAATTCATTTATGTATCTACAGGCAAGAGTAATTTGCATTACTATTCATTGTCTACAACTTTTAAAGCTGTAAAGTAGCACAAAGATAATGAAAGGCACAGGCGGCTAGTAGGATCAGATAACAGGGCTGTGTTGCAGGAAAGCAGTTACAGTACATATGTAATGAAAGGATTTGGCAGTATTCCAAACCTTATTTACAAAAACAAATAGGCTGGATTTGACCCACAGACGTAATTTGCTGACCTCTGCCCTAAACCTTCTACAAATTTACTGTTTATTTTAATGTAAATATTTCAGGAAACTTTTGACCAGGTAGATATAAGTTACAGACAACTTTATTGTTAAGATTCTTACAAAAATCCCATTTAAACAAATATCAGGCTGTTCCACTTTTAAATAGCACCAAAGGATGGTGTACTTTCTAAGAATCTTAGGAAGCTTCACCTCAAAATACTTGCCTCCTTATGTCCATCAATCCTAAACTTTTATATCTTTATATTATTAAACCCTAATCACACATTCTACATTGAGCTCGGACGTCTCATTTCCTCTCATCTCTGGTCCTCAGGTTGAGATTTACATCATTGGCTCACCTCCTTCTTAGGCCTTTAGAATGAATACTGAATTATACCACGAAGCACCCTACAATTTACAAACAATAAATTTGTAGAAGGTTTGGGTCAGAGGTCAACAAGCCAAACCCGAATCTTCATAATTTTCCTCCCCCACCCTGAGATGCTACTAAAACTCTGAAAGATAATGCTCTCCTTTACTTTGCTAAGCAGTAAACTCAGCTTTATCTTCTGAACAGATAATTTGGTGATATATTCCAGAAGCCAGCATTTGGCAGAGCTATTATGAAAATAGTACTGTGATGGACAATCTCATACATGTCTTTTGGTAATGTAGGTATACATTCCTGTGTATCTATAAGGAATTTCTGGGTCACAGGATATGTAGATGTTCTGTTTAGTTTTCTAAAACAGTTACTTTTGGACTTTTTGATGTTTGAATGTATCATCTATTAATTAAAAATGCAAAAAGTAAAAATAACAAAGCAAAGTCAATATAGCCAAAATATGCAACTATCTAACAATCAATAAAGAAAAAACTGTATTTCATGGACAAAAATATCCTGTTTTTTACAAAGATATGTGTTGTGCTAAAGCACATCTAATTTTTCAAGGTCCGTTGCAGTTAGGACCAAATATACCTCAAGACTGTTCAATTCTTTCTGCTCTAATTCCTTGTTTGTTAAGCACATCTCTTATTATAAATTGAGTTTCCGGAGATACATTGTGTACCAGATACCCCTTTTACTTTATCTTACGTACTCTTGGACTTCTGATTTGAGCTGTAGATGGAGGAACTAGCTGTACATCCTCTTGGACTTCTGATTTGAGCTATAGATAGAGGAACTAGCTGGATTTGGGCAGTCTTTGACTTGCATTGTACTGACAGTAACATGCCTCAAGCATGCATTGTGTGACTTTTGCTTTTGGCTCTAGGGCTTTCCAATGACACAATATGGGACACAGAGGGAGCCCGAAGTGAGGGTTTTGGGGTGGTAATGTTCCCTGAGGCAATGTGTAACCAATGGCAAATGATGGATAAATGCATCTCCAAAGTTATGGACCAGCTCCTGAATTAATTCCAGCCTTTGAACCAATTCCAGGAGGCTTTGTCTTAAATAACATAAAAGTTGGATTCTTTTAATCATTTAACCATAGCACAAATGTTATGAGTGTGATTCACACTGAGTTGAATACAGTCACATTCTGTTACAATGTTGTAAATTCTTTGTGAAGTTTGGAGCCAGGGGGCTGGTCTAAGGAGGAGAATTGGCTCCATTGTCATCTGGTGATTTCATCTGTGAATAGTGACTGCAAGTCCTTTCTAGAATTTGGAGGGTCCTATGTGAAGTGCTCCAGTTCCAAGCCCACATATTATCTCTGTACACTAGCCCCGGCCAGTAGTCATGAACAATGCCCAAACTGTGCACTAGCACCATGACTCAGATGTTCCACTTTCTATTTTCAGCTTACCCAGGCTATTGACCTCCATGAGACTACATCTTTTTTTGTTTTCTTTTTGCTGAGACAGGGTCTCGCTCTGTAGCCCAGGATGGAGTGCAGTGGCATGATCTGTGCTCATTGCATTCTCCGCCTCCCAGGCTCAAGCCGTCCTCCCACCTCAGCCTCCCAAGTATCTGGGATGACAGGTGTGCACACCATGCCTGGCTTTTTTTTTTTTTTTTTTTGTATATTTGGTAGAGATGGGGTTTTGTCGTGTTGCCCAGGCTGGTTTTGAACTCCTGAGCTCAAGCAATCTGCCCAAAGTGCTGGGATTACAGGTTTGAGCCACTGCACCTGGCCAAGACTAAATCTTATACCAGCTATTTCTTAAACCTTCACACAAAATGAGTCCCTCACACAATCACACACAGCTTTCCATGCTTTTTGTGAACATTCCACCACACTAGCAGACCTGACCTTAAGATTTCCACTGTACAGACAGGATCTGGTGCCCAATGTGTGAATGAAGGCAGGGACAGCTGTAAAGCTAAGGCTTTGAGGCACCACATCTGAGGAAAAGGGACCCAGGTAGAAAACAGGGTTTGGGTCTTCTTATGCCACATCCATAGTCTTTGAACCGAAAGCTAGGTAAGTTCCTAGACCCTTCTCAAGTATTCCAGTCATAAACAGGGAAATAGCCCTTCTCTTGCTCCCTCTTCCAAATGTGTATTGACCTGTCTGGATCCTGCCTTGTGACCCACATTCAGCATGATCTGCTTAAGGGTTACAAAGGATGCAGGATCTGGGGGACAAGAGGTCTGTGCAGCAGTAGACAACACCTTGAAGCCCATGCTTCACCTTAAAGCATGCAACTGCTATATAGAAGCCTTTCACCAGCCAAACTCAGAGAACCCCTGGCACTGTCCTAGTAGAAAGCCCAAATTCTATGTGCTGTGTTTTTCGCATCTCTTTTTCTTTGTAGTTCGGTGTGTTTTTATCTCGCTCTATAAAATATCTCCTTTTCTGTTTCCCTCTTATTTTTCTCCTTTAGTTGGCAATTACTATTTGAATCTTCTTTTTTTTTTTTTTTTTTTTTTTTGAGACGGAGTCTCGCTCTGTCGCCCAGGCCGTACTGCGGACTGCAGTGGCGCAATCTCGGCTCACTGCAAGCTCCGCTTCCCGGGTTCACGCCATTCTCCTGCCTCAGCCTCCCAAGTAGCTGGGACTACAGGCGCCCGCCACCGCGCCCGGCTAATTTTTTGTATTTTTTTTTAGTAGAGACGGGGTTTCACCTTGTTAGCCAGGATGGTCTCGATCTCCTGACCTCATGATCCACCCGCCTCGGCCTCCCAAAGTGCTGGGATTACAGGCGTGAGCCACCGCGCCCGGCCTATTTGAATCTTCTAATTGAATAGAGTTCTATGTTTGAAGTGCTTAATTTAAATATAAAGGCAGCAGCTTTGATACCAATATAACTTACAACTTCTGCTATAATCAAGTGTGTGCTTCTGGTTACGAAGCTCTGTGATCCCTGGTGAAACTACGTCTGTTCTGGATCTGGGAACAATCTCATTCAATGGTCAGCTTCTGATCCTGGCCCTGCTACTCCTACCACTGTAATGCTGTTTCTTGTAGCGTGACAGGTGTCAACTGTTCCATCACATTGGGGTTGTATCCATCAAGGTCCCAGCAGGAAACAGATGGTGTGTTTGAAACAGGCTAATCCAATGAGGGTTTCTTCATCCATTTGAAATGCTCTGTTTAATGAAGGTGTGGTAGAGGGGAACTGCAGGGCATGGTGTCATAACCTGAGGCTAGCAGCAGAGTTGTTACCAGCCTCAGGCATGCAGAACTTACAGACTGGTGTAGCTTTAGTCATCTTGGGAAAAGCAGTAACCTTTAGATGGTGGGGCATCTCCAGCTTGAGATGATCTTGCAGGGAGAGAGCCCCTACTCTTCACAGAATCACCTGAAGTCCCCATTAACCAAACTCAACTGGAACTCAGAGGACTTGGGAGTTTTCTGATGTCATCCATAAATAAGCTGCCCTGGAGCAGTGACCAAAATGGAGAAAAGAGGAGAGTGGTTCTGGAGGGGCAAATGGAAGACATCTGGCACAAGGATAGGCTAGCTTTTTATTCATCGAAGGCACAATGAAAGATCCCTTAAGCCTCACTGCTGTGGGTGGGAAGCCCAGTGCTAGTTGGTTTTCATAGCTCTTTATTTTGGGTTACATAAAGCAACTTCTGCAGTCCTGCAGGATGTCTTCTGGCCATCACTCCTAGCTCCACGTGATGCCTTGTGCAAGGCTGGTCCTCTATCACCTCTCTGGAATTGCTGCTCAGGGCAGGCTGCTGCAAAGTCTGCTGGCAGTGTCCCTTCTCACAGTTCACAGGTCTGTCTCTTTGGAAACCATGAACTGTCTCCTATTTCCATTCTTCAGGGTGACTCCTTCACCTACACTCAAAACAAAGTCTCCTTCACTTTCCCCTTTAGACAATCTGGTTACATCTCTTAGTGGATTTAGATCAGCATCACAACCTATTCACAACCTACAGGGACCAGACAGGAATACAATGAGTGTGTGTGGGAGTAAATATAGGGTAGAGCTCCAAGTCCAAGAAATAATTCACATTCCTCTTACTCTACAGTCAGGTAAATCACAGGTTTAGCATGATGCTACATGACAGCTGAAGCTTACATTCAAGAAATAGTGGACCACTGGCTTTTGAGATCTAGCTGTTTGCTGCCATTTGGGAATATAGGCTATTTTAAGACACATTGGCAATCCAGATTTTCATGTGGAACCTCTCAGTTTTTAAATGCAGGCAATGAGGAGGCATGACAAGGTAAATGAAGATAAATACCACAGTGTTGCATGAAGGGGATTAAGAAATAAACTTTTTCATGGGGTGGGTAGTTTATAGAGTGGAAGTTTAAGAAAATAGGCATAAAGTTTCCTGTTCTTTCATTACCCCCAGGAGAGCAGGCTGGAGCCAGGTGAAGCTTCTGGATACATAGGAGTTACGTTTCTGGGGATGAACTATGCACACGTGCTACCTTACCTTCTCAAAATGCAAGTATGAGGAATGATCTGGGTTCAGGGAATAAAGAATTGAGGTTGGGTACCAAGCATCCTGGAGTAAAACAGCAGCTATACAGGAAGTTGTTTGGGATGGCAGCTGCTACCCAGCAAAGTCATGAGATGTTGAATTTGCCCTCCTGAGGAAGGAACTCCTGGTTCCATGGGAAGTTGGGCTCACCGGGTGCTGGTCAGCTCCTTGACAAGAACTTGAGCTCTTGTTTCCTATGCCTTTGGTGTCATATCCAAAATAACATTGCCAAGACCAGTGTTAAGAAAGGAACTTCTTCCTTACATTTTCTTCTAGGAATTTTATGGTTTTAGGTTTTATGTTTAAGTCTTTAAATCCATTTTGTGTTGATTTTTGTGTGCAGTATAAGACAAGGGTACAATTTCTTTTGCATGTGGCTATCCAGTTTTTCCAACACCATTTATGGAAGAGTGTTCTGTGGTGTGCTGATATATGCAAACCTGCCCCTAATGGTTGAGGGAGCTGAGAGGCCAAAGAAAGAGGCTAACACATCTAGTTTGTCAGAAAGCAATATTTAATAGAGACTTACACAGAAAATATCCTTTTTATAGTAGGTAGTAGGTTCTTTTGACAAGCATGTACAGTTGGTCACATCTCAGACTTTCTTGTGAAACTTGTGACCACTGAGGAGGTTAGATAAGCATCTTTATGAGTGTTTATCTATGCTGCAGTTTAAAGATCTTGCTGCAGAACACCTTGGTATGGAGGCATCAAATATTGATCATCATGGTAGTTTTGCTTCAAGACGGCATCACTCTGCCATTCAACAGACTGCTTTCCTACAAAGAGACTACCCTTTCCTCATTGTGTATTCTTGGCACCCTTGTTGAAAGTTAGTTGATCACCTATGCCTGAGTTCATTTCTGGGCTCTATATTCTGTTCGTTTGGCCAATTTGTCTGTTTTTATTCCAGTACCATAATGTTTTAATTATTATAACTTTGTAATATAATTTGAAATCAGGAAGTGTAATGCCTCATATTTTGTTCTCCTTTCTTAAGATTGCTTTGGCTGTTTGGGGTCATTTGTGGTTCCACGCAAATTTTATAGGATTGCTTTTATTCTGTTTCTGTGAAGAATGCTACTGGAATTGTAATAACAATTGCATTTAATGTAAAGATCACTTTAGGTTGTGTAGATAGTTAAACAATATTAAGTCTTCTAATCCATGAGCACGAGATAATTCTCCATCCATTTGTTTCTTCAGTCTTTTTCTGTCAATGTTTTATCTTTTTTAGCATTCAGTTATTGCATCTCCTTGGTTAATTTATTCCTAATTATTTTATTCTTTTTGATGCTATCATAACAGAGATTGTTTTCTTGATTCCCTTTTTGGATAGTTTGGTGTTGGTTTAAAGAAATGCTACTGACTTTTGTATGTTGATTTTGTATCCTGCAACTTTACTAAATTTATTAGTTCTAATAGTTTTTAATGGAATCTTTAGGATTTTCTATATATAGGAATGAACAGAGGCAGGCAACAAAAGCAAAAATAAACAAGTGGGACTACATTAAAGTAAAAGCCCTTTACAGCCAAGGAAATAATCAACAAAATGAAAAGGCACCCTATAGGTTGGGAGATAAATATTTGCAAACCATTTATCTGATAAGGGGTTAGCATCTAAAACATATGAGGAAGTCATACAGCTCAGTAGCAAAAAAACAAACAAGCTTGCTAAAATGGGCAAAGGACTTGAATAGACATTTTTCTAAAGAAGACATGCAGATGGCCAGTTGGTATATTAAAAGGTGCTTAACATCATAAATCATCAGGGAAATGCACATTAAAAGCCCAACAATATATCACCTCACATCTGTTAGAATGACTGTTATTAGAAAGACAAAAGATATCAAGTATTGGCAAGGATGTGGTGAAAAGGGAACTCTTATTCATTGCTGGTAATATTGTAAATTGTTACAGGCATTATGGAAAACAGTATGGAGGTTTCTCAAAAAATTGAAAATAAAACTACCATATGATTCAGCAATATGATTTCTGGGTGTATAGCCAAGGAAATGAAATCAATATCTCAAAGAGGTATCTGCAGTCCCATATTCATTGCAGCATTATTCATAGTAGCCAAGATATGAAAACAATCTAAGTGTTCACTGTCATATGAATGGATGAAGACAATAGGATATTACTTGGTTTTTTAAACAGAGAAAATCTTGCCATTTGGAACAACGTGGATAAACTTGGAAGACATCATGCTAAGTGAAATAAACCAGACACAGAAAAAAATACTGCATGATCTCACTTATATGTGGAATATAAAAAAGTTGAATTCTCAGAAGCAGAGAGGAGAAGGGTGGTTACCAGGGAAAGGGGTAAATGGGAGATGTTGGTCAAATGATGGTTTCATTCACGCAGGGTGAATAAGTTCTAGAGATTTAATGTGCAGCATGAGGACTGTAGTTACTAATAATGTATTGTATACTGCAAATTTCCTAAGAGAGTAGGTCTTAAGTATTCTCTCTCACACACAAAATGGTAACTATGTGAAGATATGTATATGTTAATTAGCTTGACTGTAATATTCAGTTCACTATATATGTATATAAAAACCAAACCTCATGTCGTACACCTTAAATATATACAATTTTTATTACAAAAAAGAATTTGACCTCCATTTCTCTCATTGGACAATCCTATTGTTTTATCTCCACTGTAACTAATTCACAACTTTTAGAACACTGAACACATGTCAAACAAACAAAACAAAACATGTCTTTGGGCCACCAGTTAGATAATTTTTGAGCAACCATTGGAAACCAAAATGCCTACTTAAGGATTGTCTGCAAAAATGAACCCATCCCTGATATCTCCTTTTCAATACTCACACTGAAAAGGTATCCTCCTGTCTATTAATGTCCAGGAAAACCCAGATACTGGGAGGATAAATTAAATGCTGGACTATTCTTCTGAGGAGGAGAGGGACACATTTCATTTAGTTTTGATGAATTTGCAGCAGATAAAAGAAAACAGTGGTAATTTTTCAATACACTGATGTAGTAAATACTTAATGAATGACTTTCCTATATTAGTAAAGAAATTAGAATCTTTAAAATTGACCATAGAAGGAGAATGTTCTGGTGGAAGGAAATGACTGGACTATAGGATTCTCACCTTTTCTCCATGAATTTATCTATTTTTGGGAGTATGTTGCTCCTGACTGCTGTGCTGGTCACTCTAACGGGCTTCAGGGCTGTGGTGTGGGAAGCAGATACTGCTGCTCCTTAATGCTCTAGACAAACATTGAGTTCAAATTCTTTTTCTTTGTCTCCATGGCACAACTAGACAAGGTTATACTGCTTAAATAAGATTTGAGTGATGCTATGGGAAAAAATTCTTTCACTTATCATTTAACAAACATTTATGGGGTGCTTCTTTATGCCAGGCATTGAGTTAGGATTAGAGGTTTATTGGTGAGCAAAATAGCCACAGCTTTTGCCTTTGTGGTGCTACTCCAATGCTCATCAATGTGGGATGATACAGATTAAATAATCTTAATTACAACATATGACTTGACCACTATCCTATGTTCTATTATACATATCATTCTTAGCTCCTGGCCTTCTTCCAGATGGTGGAAGCTGCCCTAACTATCCATGACTAGAGGGACATCTGCTCCCTTCAAATTCCAAGACCGGCTGGGCACAGTGGCTCACGCTTGTAATCCCAGCACTCTGGGGGGCCGAGGTGGGTGGGTCATTTGGGGTCAGGAGTTCAAGACCAGCCTGGCCAACATGGTGAAACCCTGTCTCTACTAAAAATACAAAAATTAGCTGGGCATGGTGACAGGCACCTGTAATCCCAGCTACTTGGGAGGCTGAGGCAGAAGAATTTCTTGAACCTGGGAGGTGGAGGTTGCAGTGAGCTGAGATCATGTCTCTACACTCCAGCCTGGGTGACAAGAGCGAAACTCCATCTCAAAAAATAAATAAATAAATAAAATTCCAGGACCAAATGTGGAGGCGCCAGGATTGGTCTTTCCCCAATCTCCATGAGTCAGCCTCACCAGACCTTGTTTCCCTTTTGAAGCCATTTTTCTTACCTAGCAAGACTCCTAACCACAGGCATCTGGCATCCTTTTAGTCTATTTTCAAAGGATAAACATAGCAGAATGCAACATAACAATCCTAGATGCATGATACAGAGATGGGGTTGTGGTGGAGTGTCACTTAGCAATTAATTATATTCAGGCATACCCTGAAGACAGTGTGGGTTTGATTACAGACCAAACACAATAAAGTGATTATTGCCATAAAGCAAGGCACAGAGATTTTTTTGTTTCTCAATGCATATGAAACTTATGTTTACGCTATTCTGTACTCTATTCAGTGTGCAATAGCATTATATCTAAAAAAAAATACATAGCTTAATTTAAAAATATTTTGTTGCTAAAAAATGCTAACAATCCTTTGAGCCTTCAGAGAGTCATAATCTTTCTCCTGGTAGAGGGTTTGGCCTTGATGTTGATGGTTGCTTCCTGCTCAGGGTGTTTGTTGCTGAGGACTAGGGTGGCTGTGGCAATTTCTTAAAATAAGACAACAATAAAGTTTGCAACATCAATGAACTTTTCCTTTTATGAAAGATTTCTCTGTAGCATGCAGTGATGTTTGATAACATAATACAGTAGAACTTCTTTCAAAATTGGAATCAATCCTCTCAAACCCTGCCACTGCTTTATCAACTAAGTTTATGTAATATGCTAAATCCTTTGTTGTTATTTCAACAATGTTCAAAGCTTCTTCTTCAAGAAGAGATTCCACCTCAAGAAACTGCTTTCTTTGCTCATTCATAAGAAGAAATTCTCCCTTCATTAAAGTTTTATCATAAGGTTGCAGCAATCCAGTCACATCTTTAGCCTTCACTTCTAATTCTAGTTATTTTGCTATTCCCACCACATCTACAGTTACTTCCTTCATTGAAGTCTTGAACTCCTCAAATTATCCACGAGGGTTGGAATCAACTTCGTCTAAACTCTTATTAATGTTGACATTTTGACCTCCTCCTATGAATCTGAATATTCTTAATGACATCTAGAATGGTATATACTTTCCAGAAGGTTTTCAATTTGCTTTGCTCAGATCCATCAGAAGAATCACTACCTATGGCAGCTATAGTCTTACAAAATGTATTTCGTAAATAATAAGACTTGAAAGTTGAAATTACTCCATGATCCATGGACTGTAGAATACGTAATATATTAACAGGCATGACAATAACATTAACCTCCTTCTACATCTCCATCAGAGCTCTTGGGTGACAAGGTGCACTGTCAATGAGTAGAAATGTCCTGAAAGCAATCTTCTTCTTTTTTTTTCCCCTGAGCAGTAGTTCTCAACAGTAGGCTTAAAATATTTAGTAAGCTGGCCAGGCACGGTGGCTTAAGCCTGTAATCCCAACACTTTGGGAGGCCAAGGCAGGTGGATCACGAGGTTGGGATTTCAAGACCAGCCTGGCCAAGATGGTGAAACGTCATTTCTACTACAAATACAAAAAATTAGCTGGGCGTGGTGGTGGGTGCCTGTAATCCTAGCTACTTGGGAGGCTGAGGCAGAGAATTGCTTGAACCCAGGCAGAGGTTGCAGTGAGCTGAGACCGCACCACTGCACTCTAGCCTGGGTGACAGAGTGAGACTCTGTTTCAAAAAAAAAAGTTTATATATATATATATATATAGAGAGAGAGAGAGAGAGAGAGAGTAAGCCATGTTGTAAACAGATATGCTGTAATCAAGTCTTTATTGTTTCCTTTATAGAGCCGAGGCAGAGTCAATTTTTCATAATTCTTAAGAGCCCTAAGATTTTCAAAATGGTAAATGAGCATTGGCTTCAACTTCAGATCAGCAGGTTCATTAGTTCCTAACAAGACAGTCAGCCTGTTCTTTGAAGCCAGGCATTGACATCTTGCTAGCTATGAAAGTCCTAGATGATATCTTCTTCCAATAGAAGGCTGTTTGGTCTACATTGAAAACATGTTGTTTAGTGTAGCCACCTTCATCAATTATCTTAGCTAAATTTTTGGATAACTTATTGCAGCTTCTACGTCAGCACTTGCTGCTTCATCTTGCAATTTCACATTATAAAGATAGCTTCTTCCTTAAGCCTTATGAGGCAGCCTCTACTAGCTTCACATTTTCCTTCTGCACTTCTTTTTTTTTTTGAGACAGAGTCTCACTCTGTTGCCCAGGCTGGAATGCAGTGGCATAATCTCAGCTCACTGCAACCTCTGCCTCCCGGGTTCAAGAGATTCTCCCACCTCGGCCTCCCAAGTAGCTAGGATTACAGGCTCCCACCGCCACACTCAGCTAATTTTGTATTTTTAGTAGAGATGGGGTTTCACCATGTTGGCCAGCCTGGTCTTGAACTCCTGACCTCAGATGATCCTTCCTGGCTCAGCCTCCCAACGTTCTAGGATTACAGGCATGAGCCACCATGCCCGGCCATCCTTGTGCACCTTCCTCACCTCTATCAACCTTCATAGAACTGAAGAGAGTTAGGGTCTTGCTCTGAACTAGACTTTGGCTTACGAGAATGTTGTGGCTTCTATCCAGATCACTAAAATATTCTCCCTATCAACAATAAAAACTATTTCGTTTTCTTATTCATGTGTTCACTGGAGTAACACTTTCAATTTTCTTTAAGAACTTTTCTTTTGCATTCACAAGTTGGCTTACCGTTTGGTGCAAGAGGCCTAACTTTCAGCCTTTCTTGGCTTTCAACACTTCTTCCTCTTAAGTTTAGTCATTTCTAGCTTTTGATTTAAAATGAGAGACACAGGACTCTTCCTGCTACTTGACCTCTTAGTTACCATTGCAGGGTTACTAATAGGACTAATTTCAATATTGTTGTGTCTCGGGAAATAAGGAGGCCCGAAGAGAGGAAGAGAAATGGGGGAATGGCTGGTTTAGTCTGTAGAGCAGTCAGCACACACACAACATTTATCAAATAAGTTTGCTGTCTAATATGGGCATGGTTTGTGTCACCCGGAAATAATTACAGTAGCAGCATCAAATATCACTGATCACAGATCACCATAACAGTTATAAGAGTAATGAAAAAGTTTGAAATATTGCAAAATTACTAAAATGTGACACAGAGACACGATGTGGGTACATGCTGTTGGAAAAATGGCGCTGACAGATCTGCTTGATGCAGGGTTGCCACAAATCTTTAATTTACTAAAAATGCACTATCTGTGAAGTGCAATAAAGTGAAGTATAATGCAATGAGGTATGCCTATACTTGAAATTTCCTAATTTTAGGGAGAAAAGAAAATAGCTGACATGATATTGCAGGAAAACACTGTAGTTGAGCAGGTCTGGAATCTATTATCTCTGAATATTACTTTTAATAAGCCCATTATATATAATCATAAATCTAAATTTGAAAATTGTACTTTTAAGAACTCTTTGATGTTGGCATAATTTCCCAGAATTACTGAGCATTGACTTCCATTGGGTAGAAGAATATTTTTCAGCGATCTAAAAATTAGCTTGCCATTCATTTTGCATTCAATAAATACTGCATATACATTTTATATCAGATACTGTGCTAGGTATTGAGGATATAGAAAATGACTTAGAAACCTAGTTATAAGAATCATGTAATATATAAGGAATTTAATAAAGAATTATATAACATACATGTGGATAAATGCATGTGTACGTGTATGTATGTATGTATGCATGTAATGTGTGTAATATGTACAACTGTGTCAGTCAAAATTCATTTGGAAATGCAGAGCCACTATGCATATTATGGAGTAAATAAATTATAAAAATTAGTCCTTTCACAGCTGTGAGAGGGACTGGGGAAGTGAAGGTCTCAAAGTGGAAGTCAGAAAATCAGGGAAGCATCCTTAGTCTGTCTGAAGCCCTGGCATGGATGGACAAATCAGAGCTTCCATGTCCAGCTCTCACAACAGGGGAGCATGTGGAGAGGCCTCTGTGGGTCCACAGCTTAGCATCTGGTTGTGGGCCTGGGGCACTGTGGACTAGCTTTGCCATTAGTCAGGAGGGAGAGCTAGATACAGGACAGAAGGGAGTGGGGGCCAGCTGGGACCCTCCAGGGCACCTTTGCCTCCATCTATAACCAAATTTGACCATGTCTACAGTTTTACTTCTGCATTCCAATTTTTTGTACAAGTTCCTTTATTTTTTTTGGCTAACACTAACAACTAACCTGGAGTCACACAGAGATGATATTTTGGATTGTATAGTTTCCGTCTTTAATTAACTTGACATTCACAATACAGCAAAAAAAATTATATAAGAAAACACACATACACACACACACACACAATTAGCCTGTTATTATCTATTATAAAATTTTCTGAAATGGCTTCATAAATAGGTTTACACATATGCTGTGATTTCCATTTTGTTATTTCTCTCTTCAGTAATAACTTATTTTAAAGTAATGCTAAATAGGATTTTTTAGAGCAACCAAAAAGTTTAATAGTTTTTGTCTCTCTTGGGTGCATCCTATTTGGCAGAAAATCTTCCTCATCACAAGTGCTTAAAATAGCATGTGAAACCCTGCGACAGATACTGTACGATTTCCTCCAGTTCAGAGGCTGTGGATGTCAACAGACGTCCCATCAGCTAGAAACTCTTATACATCACAAGTTCTTGTTGTCTTGTTAGGTGTTCAGTGATTGTTGAGGAAAATCCATTTAGAGAACATACTCATACAACTCTTTTTGACTCTAATGCCCTCCAGAGAACTGGGAACAAATGTTGGTGTTCTCAGATGACAAAAATTTCATTCGGCAAGGGCTGCAGAATCTGAGGCAAAAGAAATCATCTAGGATTTTCCTTAATGATTGCTGTAGATTCATGACCACAAAATCCTCACAATTCTCAGGTAAAGAATTCTGAAATTAGCACATAATTATAACAATAGAAATTTCAGATTTTCTTATTCAAAATTTCTTTTCTTGTATTGAAAGGAGAAGGTCACGTCATATCCTCAAAAGCTTATTCCAATGCTCCTTTTGGATTGTTTGATGAGAAAAATCTCTAAGTGATGCAAGGGTACAAACCTGGGGAAAGAGAGATCTGGCTTTCTATTCACAGCTTTTCTTATTCGTAGACTTGGGCTATTAACCATTGTAGACTTGTTTTCTTTTCTTTCTCTTTTTTTTTTTTTTGCCAGATGGACATCTTAAAGGATTTTCGTGAGGACTAAGTAAATAATTCAAGTACTGAACTAATTGTAAGTACTCAATAAATATTAATGTCTTTACTATGCTATTCACTACAAAGTTATTTTATCATGGTCATACTGGACTTTTCTCTCCTAAAACTAGCACTAAGAACCTCTTGTGGGCATTGATTTTCTTCATAAATAAAGACAGACTCTTCCTGTTGAGGTAATAATGGATCTGCCATAAGGCTGATCGCTGGCCTTCCCTTCTGCTTTTTGCATCAGATTGTGAGGTGACCATGGCTCAATAGAATCTTTTTGTCCAATTATGTTTTGGAAGGTGTTTGACATTTTAATGGGATGATTGAAGTATTGTTTTGCTCGACAGCAGGAAGAAAGAGAATAATGAACAACTGATTGACTTGGTTTCTCACCTGGCAGGTTTATGCTTTTTTGTTTGCTCTAGATAACAACATCTTGATGTTCTCCTCTTAGTCTCAAAACCCACGAGGATGTTTCTTGCCTGAAAATCTCATATTCCTGTTAAAAACAAGGAAACCTACAAAAAAATGCTTGAGTCCTAAAGTACCTCAAATAAAATATTTTCCTTATGTTTATGCAGATGAATAAAAGTCTCTAGCTAGGATATTTCATTGCCAGATTATTCCTCGTGATTCCAGGGGGAGCTCAGATGTGAGCCAAGCTCCAGATTTAAGTTGTTTCTCTAGAAATTATTTAAACAAGACATAACATAATGTACCACTGAGGCCATAATTTACTTCAGTGTTATGTACTTGTTGTAAAAGAGTTAAACAGCTTCTTGGTATAGCTTATGAGTTAGGAGAAGTTGTCTCTATAGATAATCATTACATTTTATATGGATTGATATACCCCTTATAAAATTATATTGTAAGCACAAATCACACACATTAGCATATCGAATGTATCTATTTTAACTTTTACTAGGACTAGAATTTTCTAGGAGTTCCTTAATTGAGAAGACAATCTATATTAAAATGATTTGAACAGTGGTTTGGATAAAAGACCTTCGGACAGGAGTCAGAAGACCTGGGTGTGCCACATCACCTTTCTGGGCCACAGTAGCCTTTTCTGTAAAATTTGAGGGGCTCTTCTGATGACCTCTCAGGTCTTTTATGGTTTTGTAGTCATAGGAATCTCCCTACGCACAAGTGACTAGAAGATCTTCTTGTTGATTAGGTTTTATCAAATTAGAAATGCAATTATTCCCTCCTTTAAAAAGTGCATTTCCTCCCTTCATATTATTTGATTTTACTTACAAAATCATACAAAATTTTTGTCTGGGCTTTTTTCTCCTTCATAATAATGGCTCACTTATTAGCCCTTGTGATAGGTACTAGGGCAAAAATAAAATATCACAAAATAAATGGAGTTGGAAGGGACCGTGACAGATCATCTGGCCCAGCCATCTGCAATTGCAGCATGTTTTAGTGTTTACTTGCTCTATAAATAACCAGGAGTATCCAGCCAAGTCCATATTACTTTACCATGGCCAAAAGTGCTGGTCAAACTTGTGAACTTTTCCCTTTATTTATCCTTGGAACTCTTTTGCTTTACTTGGCTGGGGTTTCGGGAAAACTATCTGATTCCAGCCTGCAGTCTGAAAAAAATGGCTGTAGGAAATTAAGTTCTATAGGCAAGGTAATATCCAGATAATTTTCAGATAGACCTTCTCCATTTCTACTTTTACATCTATCTTGAGGGCAGGTCCATCTCTCTCTCTGACCTCTTGTTTCATCTCCATTTCTGTGGGGTACAAAGAAATAATGTGTACAAAGAGCTTAGCACAGTGCTAAGCAGGGAGCAGGACACAGGAAGGACAACACGAAACTTCTGGGATGTGAATTCCTTGTGTCTTGCTTACTGCTATTTTCTGTATAACCTGAATAGTGCCTGGCACACAGTAGGTGTTTGGTAAATACTTAGTGAACTTACTCACTGACGTATTCTCCTTTTCTGTCTCACTGTGCTTCCCTCCCCCATCTCTCTCTATCCTTCTCTCTGTGTCTGTCTTTCACCTGAAGAAACCCAAACTATAAGGGAATAAGGAGGATGATGCAGGGGCCCTTCAGTCACTGCTCCTTGACCAGAAAAATGAAAAATTTTGGTGGGCGTGGTGACTGGACAGGATGAAGAAGCTTTTGGGAGAAATATTTCTCTAGCCATCTATATATTTATTTGTGAACAAGAGATCCTAGAGAAATACAGCTTACATAAGCTACGTTACCCAAACTACAGATTCCACCTTGAAATGTTTCAGAGAGGAATGGCTGAGGAGCTCTGGTGAGAAGCAGCTGGGGTTTAGCAGTTAACTCTTATTTTTAAGCTCCCCCAAAGGGACCCATTCCCCTGGGGTGCATGTGGTTCCCTGCAGAAGAGGCCCATGTACTCCTTTGATGCATGACAACACTAATCCTTGCAATGGCACCTGTTCTCCTGCTCGGTCCATGTCTCCAGAACAGCTTCTAATGCTCAGTGATGCACAAGGGTGTTCAGGCAGTGTTGCTTTCTTGGGCATTTCTCCTTAAGATTGCAAGAGAATAAACCATAAAACTTTTTATATTGTAGATGCTTCTTACCTCTGCAGCTTTCTTTCTCTCCACTCTTAACTCGCAACCGACACCCAAGCCATATTAAACTCTCTACTCTCCCCAAATTCCCCAACCCTCTCTCACATTTCTGAGCCTTTGTGCACACCTCATTTACTTCCTAGAATGCCCCTCACCTGTCCCTTCTGTGGTAGGTAGAAAAGTGATCCCCCAAAAATAGCCATGTCCTAATTCCTGAACAAGCGATGTTACCTTCTGTGGAAAAAAAGTTAAGAATCTTTTGACATATGATTAAGTTAAGCATCTTGAAATGGAGAGATTATCCTGGATTATCTGGGGATGCTAAGTCTAATCCCAAGTGTCCTTTAATGAGGGAGGCAGAGGGAGACTTGACCCACACAGAGGAGAGGGCAATGTGAAGGTGGAGGCAAAGACTGGAGTGACATGAAAACAAACCAAGGAATGCCAGCAGCCCCCAGAAGCTGAAAGATGCAAGGAAGAGACATCCTGAAAATCTCCAGAGGGAACACAACCCTGACATCTTGGGGCCTGATGATGCTGATTTCAGACTTTGCCCTTCATAACCTGGAGAATTCTCTCCAGTTCCTGTTGCTTTAATTCACCAAGCCTATGGTAATTTGTTGCAGCAGCCTGAGAAATGACCGTCCTTTTATATTAGGCTAGCACCTGCTTAATCATGGTATCTCAGATCAGATGTCACTTCCTCCAGGAAGTTCTCCTGTGTCCTCCTTGGGTCCCAGTTTCTTGGACTCCTTATAGGTTCCCACAGTAGCCTATGCTCCCTTTTACTGGGGAGCCTGTTACATTTTCCTATAAAAGTCTCTCCTTTATTTAACTTCTAGGTCTTGGCAACAGGAAGACATGGCCTGTGGCTTCCAATTCTTCCTCCATGCTGCCTTAGGGACCAGCATGCAGCAGGTTCTTCATAAATGTGCAGTTACACATGGCTTACAGTGTTCTCTTAACCACCAGCAATCCCAACTGGAAAACTATGTTACCATATTATATTTTCCTTTCAACTTCTGATTGGGGAAATAAATCACACATGTTGTTTTCAAGGCATCTGGGCAAGTTTGCACTGCATCCTGCTGGAGGGTAGAGACTGCTGAAGCCTCCAGTTCCTAGCTAAGGCAGCTACAGTCTCTTATGCTTGCTTGGTGGTCTCCAGCACAGGTCTTTTCTGTATGCCTTCACAGTCCTCATTGATAAGAACTCTTGTTCCCAATCCCCTTCTCGCTCATCTCTCAGGATTGAGATGTGTGAAGTCTATTCCTAGCCTACTCTCATTCAAAGGTCTCAACCCAGGTTATTGGTTAATTCTTTCATACTCTTTAAGGCCTATGTTTTCCTGCCTCTTTTCACTAGCATCATCATTGATGATCCAAGATGTGGAATTTTATGCCATTGCATATGATTTGTGTGGGTGCAAAAGTCCTATGATGAAGTCAATGTTTTGTGAAGATTAATGTCATGGTGTTAAGTCCATATGTCAGGGAGAGTAATTCGGTTTCTGAATTCTAGGTTGTTGCAGGAATCTGGCCATCAGGCAGTGAGGAGCTGGACCAGAGTGATGGTGCTGGGATGCAGTGGGAAGGGATTAATTAAAAAGACATCGTATTAGCAAGTGCATTTTCAGCCCATATCAATCTGAATTTTCTACTTAAGCATAAATGATAATTCATGTTGGGTTTGCAACTTCTTGGAATTTTAGGATGTTAGGCCCTCACCCAGCCTGCCCGCCTCACTTTTTGTTCTTCCTGAGAGCCCTGTCTTATGTCTGTTTGTGATATATTTCTCACCAGCCCTTCTGCTCCAGGCTCCTTGTTAAGCAGCCCCACCAAGGCCTCTGTCTATTACCTTCTGAAGCTCCAGTCAACTCTTACAGACTGGAACAGTTTTCATTGTTCTGGCCTGCTTTGTCTTTCATCCCATCATTCCTAATTAGGTTAGGAAGTTCACTTAACTCCCCGTACAGAGTTGAGACCAAACCATGTGTTTTATTAGGACTTTATTGAAAGTTCAGGGAAAACACCATGGAACTTAATTTACAACCAGCTATGAGATTTGACTATTCTTTCACATCTCACAGTCCCAATTTGACCTCTGGCCTGAACCCCCCAGCTTGACATCCCCCCAGGCTGCAAGTTGCTTTGGAGCCTAAGCCCAATTACCACGCAGCTCAGAGAGAGGGAGGAATTTCTTAGATTATTTTCTGGTTCAAGATGCTGGCAATGGGAGTGTCCTCTCCCTTCAGAGAAAACCACACAAGGTCTTGTAGGATAGTGCCCAGCAGGCCCACATCTGTGCATTCTGACTTAATTGCCTTTTGAAAAATCACAGCATGAGAACCTGTGGAGGAGAGTCACATCTTTCCTCCAATGTGAATTGAAATTTTTTTCCGGCCATTTTTTCAATGTCAGATCTCCACTTACTATAATAAAAGAGAGTGAAACAAAACAAAATGCAAACAAATAAACAACCCCAAAACTCCTCCACAAGAACGAGGAATAATTTGAAATACAGTGCATTGCCTCGATCAGACAGAACCTGACCTAATGTCCTGTCTCTCACACACCTCCCTTTCTTCTCTCCTCTCCAAACAAGGCTGGCTCATAGGCGGAGTGCTACTGCATTTCTGAACAGCACGCTCAACTGTCTAAAACACCTTTTCTAAAGCATGAAGGAGGCTGATGGCCATGTCAACGTTTTCCTCAAGATCAAGGAATCAATCCTTTACGTTGTGTAATGAAAGGATTCATTCTGTTGATTTCCCCCATACAAATTATGTGTTCCACAGATGAATTTCTGCTTCAACCTCTCGGGAGGCTTAATAAAAGGCCTTGAGGCTTTGAAATGACAATTTTTCGGGCTTCTACTCATTAAGACTTCAAAAACCCTGGTTTCCCGTCCTCAGTGATAAAATAAACTCCTTCCTTTACATAATTCTGGCAGAACATGTGGCTACCTGATGTCACAGTGAAAGAGGAAGACATGTTATGGTTTTCAAATATGGGTGATAGAATAGTGTGTATTATTGATAGATATGCAGTGCTAAGAATTCTGGGAGTATGATTTTAGGCAGTGAGATAAAAACTTGGTTAATCGTAACTTTTTTGTTGTTGTTTGTTTGGCTAACTCCAATTCCCAGATGTAGAACTTGGATGGATCTTTGGCTTTGATTGTATCCAAATCTTGCAGCAAACATGAATAGCCATCCAATGTTTTCCTGTCATCAGAAAACAATAAAGCAGCCTTTTCATTTTAGGGTATAGAGGTAAGACAGTTGTTCAATTTTGGTGGTTCAGGGTTCCCCCAACCATAGGAGTCATTCTGTAACACTGGTTTTTCAAAAACAGACTTCTTATTTGAAATAGCTTTTCAGAACATACAGTTTTCAGAGTAGTTCAGATTAGACAAGTTAGCTGATGATTTTAGTATAACTTTAAAAACTATGTTAACATTTCCACTAATGCAAGGGAGAGACATCTGCTACAAATCATTATCTTTATTGCCCAGTGTTTTTCTAGAATTAGATAATATGAAGCAAGGTCTCACCAATAACACTGTATTCTATTTTCATCATTATGCTTAATTATATTACTGTTTTATCTGCATATACACAGAATCTAATCCATTAATTATAATTTTATTTTAATTACTGAAGTGTTATATTTTTGAAACTACCCTAGAGGATTATTTTGTTTTCTCAGGTAATAAGCAAATATCTATTTTCCCATCATTATTAAAAAGATTTGCTTTTTTTAATCAGTTTTTAAAAATAGTGATAGTGATAATTATTCTTGATATTTAGTTAGTATATTGCACAATGTTTGGTTTTTGTTTGCTAATAAGATGCTTTTCTTTCACTTAGTTGTTTTTTAAATTCTAGACCTTTCCTTCATTTAGAGGTAAATACTTAGCACATTATTAGTACCATTTAATGTGTCTGAAATGCATTCCTTAATGTCTTTCTTAATCTTTAAATAAGCTTCTCTTTCAATTTCAATACACTGGAAATAAGTCCCATTAGCTTATAAATGACTTATTTATTGACATCTATTTTCTTGCAGGATTAAAAAAATAATTATATTGGCATATGCTTGATAAACTTCTTAGTAAATCACTTCAATGTTCTCATCCCCCTGTCTTCAATTTAAGGTAAAGAGAATAAATCAGTCTGGTGTAGGTACACTAAAATGTAACTTTTCCCCATGGGTCTCAATGACCTTCATACATCTGCTACCTAAAATGTAATACTAATTTCTCATTGTTTCAGAAAAACTTGGGAAATGACTATTATTTATAGTCTTTTAAGGTATTTGTTATTTTTCAATATTTTCTTTCAAACGCATTTGAATTTGTGAGACCTTCAGCAGTTCTTTAAAACACCATTTTATGGATTAACAATACGAACACTAGGAGAAAATGTTTGCAAGACCACATATCCAATAAAGGACTTGTAGCTAGATTAGAATATATGAAAAACTAAGACTCAAGAGTAAAGAAACAAATAATCTACTTAGAAAATGAGCAAAAGGCATGAAGACACATTTCACCAAAGAGGACCTATGAAAGGCAAATAAACATGAAAAGTTGTTCAACATCATTAGCCATTAGGAAAATGCAAATTAAAATCACAATGAGACATCACCACTCACCTATTAGGTCACGTAAAATTAAAAATAGTGACAATATCAAATGCTGTGGAGAATGGCAGCGTGGAGAAACTAGATCAGTCTTACATTACTGGTGGGAATGTATATTGGTACAGCCACTCTGAAAATTGTCTGGCAATTTCTTATAAAACTAAATATGCATTTTTTGTATGACCCAAAGACTGTACTTTTGGCATTTATTCCAGAGAAATAAAAACTTATGCTCATGCAAAAATCTGCTCTTGAATGTTCACAGCAGCGTTATTTGCAATAGTCAAAAATTGGAAACAACCCAAATGCTCCTCAGTGGGTAAATGGTTAAACAAACTCTGGTGCATTCATTCAGTGGAATGGTACTCAACAATGGAAAGGAGCAAACTACTGAGACCTGCATAAACTTGGATAGACTTGAAGAGCATCATGCTTAGTGAAAAAAGGGCCAATATAAAAAAATTACAACCTGTATGATTGCATTTACATAGTATTCTTGAAATGATAAAACTATAGAGATGGGGAACAGTGGCTACTAGGTAACAGGGATGGGGTTGGGTGAAAATAAAGGAGTAGTATGAGTGAGTCTTTTTTGGTGATGGAGCAGTTCTGTTTCCTGATGGTGGTTGTGATGAAGTTTTACATGGGATCAAACTGCATAGAACTACCTACCTACCTACACACACACACACACACACATGCGCGCGCGCGCGCGCGCGCGCGCATGAAAATGCTAATGGAAACTGAGTAAGGTTCATTGAGTGTATACGGTTAATTATTGTTGCAAACTTTCTTTCTACTATCAATGAATTTTCTTCCATATAAATGGAAATTCTCATTGATAGAATAATATGTATCAGAGGTTTTTAAAAATATAATCTAACCTTAGAGCATTACCTATATCCTTTTATAGTAAGTAGTCACCAGGCTACCATCTCCTGATGCCCCTTGCCCACTACGAGTATATCTGAATAGAAATTTAGTTAGAAAGGACTTAAAGTTCCTCTAGACCAAACTCCCCAGTTAATGTTTAGTGATTTGTCTGATATCTGAGAGGCCAACCAGAACCTATGTCTGTTGTGTCTAAGTCCAGCATCACTTCCATTACCCACACAGTCTTGCAAACAGCACAGTGCAGGTGGATGAGTACAAAAAGCCCAATAATTCTACGTTCTCCTCTGAAAGTTAGGTGATGTAGACAGCTAACAGTGGGGAAAGAGTTAGGCTGGAGTAAGCCTAAAGGTTTTCCATCATCGTTGGAGTTTTCTCTGAATCTCTATACGTCCTGGCAATTTAGGGAAACCTCTGGGGAAGAAGGAGTTCTAAGGCATTTTGTGGCCCATGAAAGGAACTGAGAGGAGACTGGCTGATGGCCCTCCGCTCTTTCTGTTGCCACTCTTTGGATTATTGCTGTCCCAAAAATGAGTGAGGAGTAGAGAAAGGAAATTAATGATGCACCTAAGGATATCCAGTCAGTAGACAGAGAAAGAACATGTAGTACTGGCGGAAATGCTCCACAGATTGGCTCCTCCCTCTATTTAGTGAGCTGCTAAATGTTTAACAACTGGCTTCTTGAAAAAAAAAATACACTCGCATATACATTTATTATGTGTATTATAGTGTATAAATGTATAAAATGTATTATATACATTTTACTGGTAGCCAATTGATTCTTACAGAATGCTTTCATTGATCTTTGACAAAACTCTTGTATTTGTGGCTGAACTGTGGTTGCAACTGATGAACAAGCATAATTCTAACAGGAATGTTGGTTGCTATTTTTATGTACTTTAATGAGTAAGATGAAAGTGAAACAATGCAGATGTGCATTGCAACTTTACTCATTTGTCATCAACACAAAGCCTTTGCTAAATCAGATGAAGGTTTTGAATACTGGAATATTTCCTCAACTCTGTGTATTCACAGTGTATTATAATAGACACAGCTATATATCTTTAAATTTAATCTATAACATTAACATTTTTTCTTTCACTTTCTTAAGTCTAGACAAGCAACCAAACAATAACTCAAGCTCTTATTTTTAGCATTTTCCAATTTCTGTGGTGTAAATACTCTAATCATGACTGATTTCAAACTACTAGTTTTATGTAACTGAATGCACAGTTGGGAAGAGATGCATAGTAGCACACTATTATAAGGTATTTACACCACACAGAAATAATAGGTATAAATAACCTCAAGAACATCAATATGGCAAAATGCAGTAAACTAATCAGTGTTGAGTATTTACTATTTTTGTTTTTAATATAAATTATTTAATTGAGAAGGTGTGTAATTTAATTTTTAATAATGGCTGTGTTTAACAACTGGCTCGAAGAATTCTTGGAAATTTAATGTTTGGCTTTGAGCCAGTATAAGTCTGCTCCAGTACTCCACTGGCATATGGCAACTCTATTTTTCCCATTGTTCACAACAAAAAACTTGGAGTCATCCTTCAGTCCTTTTCTTGTGTGCGTATTCCACACACAGTCTACCAGCAAGTCCTGTTGACTCAGTGCCTTGCTTCCTGCTTTATAGAGAAAGCAAAAGAAGTTAGAAGAAAACTTCTACACATTTCTACCACCACATTAATTCACTACCAGTATCTATGCCACATGCTCTGCTGTCCTACCTGTTACAACAGAATCATAGATGAACAATTTACGTGTCTATCTAAAGTCAATTCCTTCACTTGGGGAATACATTGCATCCCCTCTCAATTACTCAAGGGCATTGCTCCAGCAATTCTTCCCATTTTCTACATCATCAATTTTTTATTTCCTGATGAATTATTCCATCCAACACACAAACATGCTGCTATTTCTACCACTGTAAACATTCATTCTCTTGATCTCACTCCCTTGCCAGCTTCTGCCCCATTTCTTTCCTCCACTTTGGAGAAATACTTCTTGAAAGAGTTGTCTACATTCACTGTTTTCAATTCCATTCCTCCCATTATTTTGTGACTCTACTTTCTACTTTGCTGCTTGCTGTATCTCAGTCCCCTTTGTTGGTTGATCTTCTTCCCAGTTCTTTAATGTTAGAGTGCCCCAGGGCTCAGTGCTTGGCCCTTTCTTCTGTGGACACTCAGTCCCTTGATCTTCTCAGTCTCAGCACTTTAAATACCATCTATATTCCCATGATTCCATATTTATATTTCCAGCACAGACCTCTACTCTGATCTCTAGATGAAACACTACCCCACATCCTCTTGGATGTCTAATAGACAACCCCCATGTCCAAAGCTGAACTCTCGTCTTCCTCTCTGGACTTACTTATTCATTTTCATCCTTCCAGTTTCTCATCAACTTCATTCTTTCAGTTTCTCAGGCTAAGACTTTAGGGCCATTCTCAACTCCTCTATCTCACAACCCACATTCAGTCCTGTAGGAAATTCTGTTGGTTTTACCTGCAATATATGTCAAAAGTCTGACCACTTTTTACCATCTCTTCTGCTATCAACTTGATCAGAACTACCATCACTTTTCATCTGGATTATTGCATAGTTTTCAAACTGGTTTGATCCTTGCCCTTCTATAGTTGATTCTGTATACACCCATAATACTTTTAAACATAATCAGATGGGACTCTTCTGCTCAAATCCCTTCAATAGCTCCTCATTTCATTCAGTAAATGTCAAAGTGCTTCAATGGCTACAAGACCCTATGGTATCTGCCCATCCTCCTTCATTCCTCTTCATCTCCTACTTTCTCCCTTGCTTATGCTACTCTTGGAACATAGTGAGGATACTCCTACAATAGAGTCTTTTGTTAGCTGTTCTTAGGGAGTCTCATTTCCCAGGTATTCTCTTCATCAATTCTGTTATCTTAATTAAGTGTGTTCAGACAACTTACCTCAAGGAGGCCTGTCCTGACTACTCCATTTAATCATATAAGTTCAGGTCTACACCTTTCTTCAAGTCTCTTTACCAGATTCTACTTTTTTTCTTCATAGCACTAGTCACCTTCAAATATACAGATTAATTGGCTTATTATTATGTTTATTGTCCATTATCTGCTTCACAGTGTAAATCCCACGAGAATATAATTTTTCTGTTTTGTTCCTTGATGGAATGTCAGATCCTATTTCCAGTAGTGAATGACCAACAAATATTTGCTGCATACAGGACTGCATAATGTGCTACATAATTTGTGGGTCCAGTGCAAAGTGAAAATTCAGGTTTCCTTATTCAAAATTTATCAATAATTTCAAGATGACCACAGCAGAGCATTTATTCACACACGGGGCCCCTCTAAGCACAGGGCCCTGGGCTCCTGCACAGGTTGCATGCCCATGAAGCCAGCCCTGGATGGATGGCCAGGTGACTTTACTTTCAAAACACAAGCAGAATCTGACCACTTTTCATCACGTCTACTACTACAAACTTGGTACCAGCTGCCATCATTTCTTACCTAGATATTGCAGTAGCTTCCTAACTGGCCTCTTTGTGTCCATACTTGCTTATACTGGAAGGCTTCTCATTCACATAGACTCTAATACAAACATTTCCCCTAGAGTTGTACAATGTGGCAGCCCTGAGACTGGCTTACAGGATCTGACCCCTCTTATGCTCTCCAACCATATTTCCTACTCCCACCCCCTTCTCCCAGTCTGCTTTTAATTACATTTGACCTTAGGTTCCCTTACCTAGAGCACTCATCACCCAAGACTTTCACCTTCTACAAGTCTTTGCTCTACTTTTACTTTCTTAGTGAAGGCTTCCTTGACTATGTATATAAAATAGCAACCTATCCTACCCTTAATCACTTAGTCTACTTCCTTGCTTTATTTCCTCCAGTTCATTTATCACTCTGACACACGATGTATTTTATTTATCAACTTCATTTCTCCATAAGGGAAGAGCCCTTTTTCTGTCTTTTCTACTGGTCTATCCTCAGCATCTATAAAAGTGTCTAACACGCAGTGGGCACACAACACATGTTAGTTGAAAAGGTGAATAAATTAAAAAATGAACACACAGAACACAAATCTCCTAATGGAGCACAAATGCTGGAGGAGATAGATGATGGCATGAACTAAAAATTATTAGAGCATGAGGAAAATTTAGTTACTGAGTAAAGAGACACATTTGATCAAAGGAAAACAAACCAACCGTGATTTCTCAGTCTTAAATTTGGTAGATAATTTGAAAGGGAAATTGGTGAGGCCAGAATTTGTGGCCTGGAAGAATTAAGAGCAGAGTAAAACCAAAAAGAATTGGGAATCATGAGGGAAACTATAATGGATTTGGTTGTCACATTTGTGTTTTCTAGCAAGCAATTTATAGGGCCCTGGAAGGAGGAAAACCCAAAAAACAACAGATAGAAGAGAGACAAATAATAGATTAACATTTCTCTCATCTGAAAAAAGATGGAGTCTACAGATTAAAGGAGCTCACAAAGTTAAATGTAAAACTCATACTCCATATCCTGGGAACATTCCTGAACTCCAAGAATAAAGATAATATTTTATAATCTTACAGGCAAAACGACCAGGTTACCTCTAAGATAAGAAAGAATCACACTGTCATCAGACTTCTCATCTACAAACTAGAAGTGAAAAAATATGAGACTCCTGAGGAAAGGACTGGAATTCATCTCCCAGGCTGAAAGAAATCTATTTATATATGTGGAAGGATTTAAAAAATGTGTTATTCACTTGTCCTGCCTGACAAAAGGACTAGAGGAAGAACACTATCCAGACAACAAATAAATCAGAAAAGAAACTTTAATATAGGGGAAAATGAAGAGCCAAGTGGTAGCCAATGAAACTTGCAGCATATATAGTTAAGTTTAATATGATACAATACTTGAAAATGTGATAGAAATAAAAACCAAAATTACTGAAATGGAAGAGTCATGTTGCAATGGAAACAGTGGTAGTCTAGAATTACGATACTAAATTGTCTAAGCAAAGCCTAGGAATTTATTTGTAGGGTATGGTGAGAGGCGTGCAATAATCATTCTAAAGATTTCATCTGGTTGGAGGAGTACAGAGATCAAAGTATTTGAAAGGTATAATCTAATTGGGTTAGGGTGGCAAGAAATTGGGATCTAGAACATCTCATTGGTGAAGATAATTGGCATATTATGAGTTTTAGGAAGGAAAGTTTCCACCGGCAGAAGTGAAGAGCACAGTAGAACGTCCAAATAAAAAGAAAAACATAAATAAATTCCAACCTCTTAAACCAACCTAAAGTTAGAGAGAGAAAAAAAGAAACAATAAAATTAATAATTACCAAACATGGAAAATATAAAACCTAGTAAATTAAATGTGAAAAGGCTGAATTCTTCTTTCAAAAGACAAATATAGTTGTATTAGGTTAAAAAACAAAATCCAGCAATATATTGGTTACAAGAAACACTTAAAGCAGAGTAATAGAAAAAAATGTGTAAAAATATGTTAGATACAAGGAAATACAAACAGAATGCAATAGTGGCAATATTAATATAAGATCATAATTAATCCAATTAAAGTTAAAAACACTAAACAAGATAAAAATATTAGCAGGATAAATAATGACATGATGTAATTATGGGAGGCAAAATTTATGAGTACATTAAAAACCTGTATGCACTAAACATCAGGACATTTAAATAAATAAAGCAAAAGCTTTCAGAAACACAAGGAAGACCTGATAAAAATAATAGGACATTTCCATATACATTATCTAAATGGGTACCATTTCATGACAAAATCTGTTTGCAGTTAAAGCTATAGTCAGAGGAAAACATATAACACTGAATACCATCATTATTAAAAACACAAAAGAACTCAATATACAAATTTAGAAATTAGAAAAAAGATTAATAAAATTAGAAGATATTGAGAAGAAGCGTAAAGATAGAAACTGATATTAATGAAGGAGAAACAACAACAAACAAAATGAAAAAAATAAATCCAAGGGCTCATCCTTTGGAAAGACTAACAAAATAGACAAAATTCTCCATGAGCCTAATGAGTAAAAGAAAAAAACATAAAATGGTTATAACACAGATGTGGAAGGGCCTTAAAATTATAAAATAATACATAGTGATTGATGCTTTTTGACAAATCTGAAAATCCAGACAGGATGAATGATTTTCATCAAAGGTATGCTATGCCAATGAATAGAAACTTTGAATAGATGCATTGCCATAGAAGGGATTGGAAGGGCAATTAAAGATCTATGATTAAAATAGGTACCCAAATCCAGATGGTTTCACAGCTGAGTTTTATCCAACCTTTAAAGAGCAGATGATTCCAATGTTATTTAAACTATTTCAGACCTCAGAAATAGACTGAAAGTTCTCCAATTAATTTTATGTAAACAACTTAACCTTAATAGCAAAACTTGATCAATATAATACAAAAATACCACCCCCAAAGTGATAACACTTATGAATATGGATGCTAAAATTCTAGATTAAATAGGCAAATTCAATTTAGCAGTATATCAAAGTAATATACCTTCTTACTATTTAGGCTGTATGCCATAATAAAAATACAGTTGAATATTAGGAAATCTATTAACACAATCACATTATAGACTATAAACTCTGTTAGATGTTAAGTTACATAAAGGTAAGAATTTTGCATGCTTTTTTCTTCACTGCTGTATCCCCAGTGCACAGAACTTGTCATGATAGTGTCTGCTCAGTAGGTACTTTTTGAATGAATGGGTCATGTTAATTAAATCAGTGAGAAAAACTATATGATTATATCCAGTGGCTGCTGTAAATGGCTATAAATGTTAAGATCAGCCCTCAAAAAAAGAAAATCTCTGATTTATTGCATTTGCTGATATTCATGGTGTAAATATTTCCACGATGACCATTTAAAAACAGTTCAACCAATTGGCCAATGTGATGACACTGAATGGAGTTGGGAAGAGGGTGAGCTGGCTCTGGCACACCACTGACATACAGACAGATGCTGAAAGTGCATTTGACGAATTAGCAACTGTATTAATCAAGGTTCTCTAGAGGAACAGAACTAATAGGATAGATATCTATATAAAGGGGAGTTTATTAAGTATTAACTCACACAATCACAAGGTCCCACAATAGACCACCTGCAAGCTGAGGAGCAAGGAAAGCCAGTCTGGGCCCCAAAACTGAAGAACTTGGAGTCCAACGTTTGATGGCAGGAAGTATCCAGCATGGGAGAAAGACATAGGCTGGGAGGCTAGGCCAGTCTAGTAGCCTTTTCGCATTTTCCTGCCTGCTTTTATATCCTGACCACGCTGGCAGCTGATTAGATGGTGCCCACCCAGATTAAGGGTGGGTCTGCCTTTTCAAGCCCACTGACTCAAATGTTAATCTCCTTTGCCAATACCCTCACAGACACACCCAGGATCAATACTTGCATCCTTTAATCCAAGCAAGCTGACACTCAGTATTAACCATCACAGCAGCCGTTCCTAAATAACTAATGGAGGGTTATTACTTAAATATGACAAATTATATTTGCTAAAATCCAGTTAAATAAACACAACTATAAATATTGACCCACTAAAGCCATTTCAGTTAAAATCAATAACTAAATAGGGGCTGTTGCTATCAGCAATATTCAACAGTGTTTTATTGAGGCACAAAACAACTAGAGATGAAAATGGCAAAAGTAGTCCATAGTTTACTGGAAGCCCTAGCCAGAGGAATTGGACAAGAGAAAGAAATAAAGGCATCCCAACTGAAAAAAAAATAAATTATTATTGTTCACAAATGATATCATATTTAGAAAAATCTGAAGACCCTACTACTAAAAAGCTGTTATAATTAACAAACCAATTCAGTAAAGTTTTAGGATACAAAATCAATATACAGTAGCACTTACATATGCCAACAGCAAACAATCCTTAAAAAAATAAAGCAATCCCATTTACAATAGTTACAAAAAATCTAAGATACCTAAGAAAAAATTTAACCTAGGAGGTAAAAGACCTCTATAAGGAAAACTAAAACACTCTGATAAAAGAAATTGAAAGGATGCACACCAAAAAATGGAAAGACATCCCAAACTTCTGGACTGGAAGAATTAATATTGTTAAAATGTCAAAACTGTTCAAAGCAATCTTTATAATCAATGTAATTCCTATCAAAATATAAATGACATTCCTCACAGAACTAGAAAAAAAATAATCCTAAAATTTGTGTGGAGCACAAAAGAGCCTGAATAGCCAAAGCAACTCTAAACAAAATGAACAAAGCTAAAGGCATCATACTACCTAACTTCAAAATATACTACAAAGCCATAGTAACCAAAACAGCATGGTACTGGCATAAAAACAGACATATAGACTAATAGAACAGAATAGTGATCCCCAAAATAAATTCAAAAATAAATATTTACAGCCAATGATTTTTGACAACTATGTCAAGAACATTTATTAGGGAAAGGGCAGTCTCTTCAATAAATGGTGCTGGGAAAACTAGATAACCATATGCAAAAGAATGAAGCCAGATCCTTATCTCTCACCATATACAAAAATAAAATCAAAATGGATTACGGACTTAAACCTAAGACATGAAACTATGCAACTACTAGAATAAAACATTGGGGGCTGGGCACAGTGGCTCATGCCTGTAATCCCAACACTTAGGGAGGCTGAGGTGGGCAGATCACTCAAGGCTGGTTTGAGACCAGCCTGGCCAACATGGTGAAACCCTGTCTCTACTAAAAATACAAAAATTAGCCAGGTGTGGTGACACACACCTGTAATCCCAGCTACTTGGAAGGCTGAGGCATGAGAATCGCTTCAACCTGGGAGGTGGAGGTTGCAGTGAGCTGAGATTGCACCACTGCACTCCAGCCTGGGTGACCGAATGAGACCCTGTCTCAAGAAAAACGAAAAGAGAAGAAAAAAAAAGGATAAAACATTGGGAAGGTATTTAAGGACTTAGTCTGGGGAAAGATATTTTGGGCAAGACCTCAAGAACACAAGCAACAACAACAAAAAAATACACAAATGGGATCACAACAAGCTAAAAATCTTCTACACAGCAAAGAAAATAATCAACAAAGTAAAGGGACAACATGCAGAATGGAAGAAATTATTTACAAACTACCCATTTGATAAGAGATTAATAATTAGAATACATAAGGAACTCAACTCAGCAAAATAAAAATAACTAAAAAAGATTCAATTTAAAAATAGATGAAAGACCTGAATAGACATCATGCAAAAGAAGAAATACAAATGGCCAACAGGTATAATATATGAAAAAAGAAGCTCAGCATCACTAATTAACAGGGAAATGTAAATCAAAACCACAATAAGATATCATCTCACCCCAGTTAGAATGGCTTTCATAAAAAAGACAAAATAACATGCTGATGAAGATACAGAGAAAAGGCAATCCTCATACACTGTTAGTGGCAATGTAAATTAATATAGCCACTAAAGAAAATAGTATGAGATTCCTCAAAAAACTAAAAATAGAGCTACCACATGATTCGGCAATCCTACTACTGGGTATATATCTGAAAGAAAGGGAATTAGAATCGCCTCTCGGCCTTTTGGCTAGGATCAAGCAAGAAAGGAAATGAGCATATCAAAGAATTATCTGCACTCCCATTTTTATTGCAGAACTATTCACCGTAACTAATATATGGAATCAACCTAAGTATTGACCAACAGATGAGTGGATAAAGAAAATATGGTGCATATACAGAATAGAATATTATCTCATCATAAAAAAGAATAAAATCCTGTCATTTTCAGCAGCACGGATGGAACTGGAGGTCATTTTGTTAAGTTAAATAAGCCAGGCACAGAAAGACAAATGTTACATGTTCTCACTCATACATGGTAGCTAAAAAAGTAGATCTTAGGAAGGTAGAGAGTTGATTTGATGTACCAGAGGGAAGAGTAGAAGGAAGAGAGGAAAGAAGAGAGGCTGGTTAATGAGTACGAAAATATTTAGATAGAATGATAATATCTAGTGTCTGACAGCATAGTAGGGTGACTATAGTTAACAAGATTTGTTATATAGTTCAAAGTTGCTGAAGAAGAAAAATTTGATCCCAACATAAAGAGTGAATGTTTGGGGTGATGGATGTCCCAGTTGCCCTGGTTTGATCATTACACATTGTATGCATGTATGAAAATACCACGTATACCCCCAAATATGTACAACCATTATGTATCAATTTTTGAGAATAAGAATATGTCTTTGTAAATGTAAATATGATATTGCATCATCTGTGAACAGTAATAATTTGATTTTTTTTTTCAGTTGGGATGCCTTTATTTCTTTCTCTTGCCCAATTGCTCTGGCTAGGGCTTCCAGTAAAATACCGGATAAAAATGGTAAAAGTGAGCATCCTTGTGTTGTTTCAGATCCCAAAGGAAAAGCTTTAAATTTTTCCCTGTTCAATATGTTAGCTGTGAATTTTTAAATCTATGTCGTTTATTGTTTTGAGGGATGTTCCTTTTATACCCAGTTTATTAAGAGTTTTTTTTTCCATAAACAGGAGTTGAATTTTGTCAACTGCTTTTTCACCATCTATTGAAATTTTTAGTTTATTTATTATAGGTTTTTGCTTTGTGGTTATCATAAGACTTAAAAACATTTTATAGATATAACAAGTTATTTTAAACAGATGATAACTTGGACCATACACACAAAAAAATAAGATGAACAAATGAAGGAAAAACTAAAAAAACTCTGTAATTTAATTCCTTTCTCTTCACATTTTGACTTTTTGTTGTCTCAATTATCTGTTTATATTGGCTATCTCTTAACAAATTGGTGTAGTTTTTATTATTTTTGGTAGATTTGTCTTTTAGTTTTCATACTAGAGATGTGAGTGGATTACACACAACAATTACTGTATTAGATTATTCTAAATTTGACTGTATACTGACTTTTACCAGCAAACTCTACATTTTCAAATGTTTTCTTTTTGCACATTAGCATTCTTTTTTTTTTCAGGTTGAAGAATTCTCTTTAGCATTTCTTGTAAGATGAATCTGCTGGTGAGGAATTCTCTCAAATTTAGTTTGAGAAAGAGTTTCTCTTGTCTTCATTTTGAAGAAAAGCTTTTTTTTCTGGGTATGGTATTTTCTGTTGGCAGTTTTTTTTTCTTCAGCAGTTTGAATATGCCATTCTACTTTTTCCAAGTCTACATAAGAAGTCTGTTGCCAGATAAATCAGAGCTCCTTTTTATGTTATTTGCTTCTTTTCTCTTGCTGCTTTTAGTATTCTCTTTGTCTTTGACCTTTGAGAGTTTGATTATTATATACCTTGGGGTGGTCTTATTTTTACTGAATCTGTATGGTAATCTATGACCTTCCTGATATGGTTTGGCTGTGTCCCCACCCAAATCTCATCTTGAATTGTAGCTCCTATAATTCCCACATGTTGTGGGAGGGACCCAGTGGGAGGTAATTGAATAATGGTGGCTAGTCTTTCCTGTGCTGGTCTCATGATAGTGAATAAGTCGCACGAGATCTAATGGTTTTGTAAAGGGGAGTTTCCATGCACAAGCTCTCTTCTCTTGTCTGCCACCATGTGGCCACCATGATTGTGAGGCCTCCCCAGCTATGTGGAACTGTGAGTCCATTAAACCTCTTTCTTTTGTAAATGGCTCAGTCACAGGTATGTCTCTATCAGCAGTGTGAGAACAGACTAATATAGTGAATTGGTACCAGTAGAGTGGACACTGCTGAAAAGATACCCGAAAATGTGGAGGTGACTTTGGAACTGGGTAACAGACAGAGGTTGGAACAGCTCAGAAGAAGACAGGAACATGGGAAAAATGTTTGGAACTCCACAGAGATTTGTTGAATAGCTTTGACCAAAATGCTGATAATGATATGGACAATGAAATCCAGGGTGAAGTAGTCTCAGATGGAGATGAGGAATTTGTTGGGAACTGGGGCAAAGGTGACTCTTGTTACATTTTAGCAAAGATACTGGTGGCATTTTACTCCTGCCCTAGAGATTTGTGAAGCTTTGAACTTGAGAGAGGTGATTTAGGGTATCTGGCAGAAGAAATTTCTAAGCAGCAAAGCATTCAAGAAGTGACTTGGGTGCTGTTAAAGGCATTCAGCTTTAAAAGGGAAACACAGCATAAAAGTTTGGAAAATTTGCAGCCTGACAATGCCACAGAAAAGAAAATCTCATTTTCTGAGGAGAAATTCAAACTCTCTTGAAGGCTCTCTTTGTGCTCACTGATTCTTTCTTCTGTTTCATCTAGTCTGCTATTGAGAGCCTCTAATTCATTTTTCAGTTCAGCAAATATATTTTTTAGTTCCAGGATTTCTGTTTGATTTTAAAAAAATTATTTTAATCTATTTGTTAAATTTTTCTTATAAATCTCTGAAATGATTTTTCAGTGTTATCTTAGAGTGATCTTAGACCTTCTATTTTGAATTCTTGAGTTGAGGGCTCACGTATCACCATTTCATTAGAGTTGATCACTGACTCCTTATTTTTTCCACTTGGGGATGTTATGGTTCCCTGTTTACTATTGTTTCTTGTGGATGTATGTCTATGGCTTTGCACTGAAGGATTGGTTATTTATTCCATGCTTTACTCTCTGGCTTCTTTGGTCTTCCTAAGGTACGTTTACTTAGATAACTGCCTCCTTTTCATCACTAGATGGTGCCATAAACCCAGCTTCGTTCAGCTCTTGCAAAGATTTGGAGCACTGTTTGTCTCAAATTGGGGAGGAGGTCTTAAAGGAGACACCCCAACAATGTTGAAAATCTGAGTCAGGGTTCATGCTTAGAAGACCTGTGGAGCCTACCGCCTACAGCATGGTGCTGCTGAATAACCACTCTGATTTGGCATGGTCTTTAGCTGAGATAAAGAGTAGAATTTAACAGGCTAGGGTTGCTAGTCCTGTCTCCCCACTTTGTCTTTAGCTGCCTTCAGGGGTTTTTCTTTCTATAGGCACTCACAATGTTTCTGTGGGTTGAGGTAGAAAAGGTTTCCCTGCAAGGGAACTCAAGATGGTGAGGAAACTGGCTGCCCACCTTGATCTCACTTTGCCATGTGTAGAAACTGTTGAATCCAGGGGTATTTTTCCACGTATAGTGCCTGGCAGATTGGAGACAGGGGTGTTGCAGATACAGAAGTCCAATTGTGTTACCACCTGCTTGGAGTTTTTTACTTTTCTGTGGCCCTAGAAATTTTCTCAGCCTCAGCTTTGAGGTCTGGGATACTGCTGGTAATAATTGTTATGCTAGATATTTGTTTTGGTTTTCTAGGGAAGGAAGGTGAGGGTGAAGCCAGATTGTTCCCCAAAAAGACCTAGTATTGACTACATTCACACCCACTCAAGTTTCTTCTATTCAAAAGCAGCATCATGATTTAGGCTAGCCAAAAGGAAAACAAACTATGAAAAATGAACTGGAGGTTAATCGTATGTAACTGAGGTGAGGGGGACAAGCATGTATTGAAGATGTTTGTGGTACTCATTACTTGGCAATATAAAAACGAGTTAATTTTTTTTTAGGGTCACCAATCAGGAGCAAATTTTTTGTCTTTTCTGCTATTGCCAAATATTCTGATTATACTTATTTTTTCATACCTGGACCATCTTGTTGACATAGTTGTTATAGCCCTTTAAGGTTCTGAGTAGCATAGAGAAGACATAGGCTAGTCTGGCTCATAGACTCTTAAGAGAGTTTATCGACCTCATGATAGATGGCATGTGGAGCAAACATAATCTCTCATGCTCCAGTTTTGTCTCAAAGAAAAAGATATTTACTAAGCGTTCATACTCCTATTATACTTTCTGTCATCATCATGATCTATCATATGCCAAAATATTTTGGGGGAAGAGGAATACCTTAGTATTTGTATTGCTGGATCTCTGCCTTTTTTTTTTCTCACATCCATAGTCTGTAGTACCTTGAATGAACAAGGTATATATTTCCAGTGATTGCAGACTCCGTAGTAACCCATAATATAGGTATTTGTTGTATATAAAAAGTCCTATATGTCATAGATTTCAGACAACAAACTTTAGAAAACAAAATCTTTATCCAGGGAGCCATAAAAAATAGAAGTTTGGGATAGGGTGGTTGGTAAAGGAAAAATATCTTAAAGCACTTGTTTCTATACCTGGCTATGCTTTTGTGGAAATATAATTAGAATTAAAATAAAATTTGGACACTTAAAGGAATAAGCTTTAGTAATTTGGAAGATTTCCTTACATAGGATGACACGCATAGTGTATTTACGTACTGAAATACGTAACATTGGTTCTCAAAGCTAGTGTTCTAATACACTATTGGTAAGGGTCAGTGGGAGGTAAAGAGGTGATTTCACAGCTTCTATGCACAGATTACGTATCACAGGCAAATAATCTTAGTAGTCCCAAATGTGAGTGTCACTGAGTGTATCTTCATGAAGAAAATATTTGGAAATGTTGAGATATAAGATTTTTACCAATACATCTTTAATCAGTTGTACACATAAGTGAACATATGGCTCTGAGATTACATTTGGCCCCTGACTCTATCTTAGACCGATCAATGTTTTTAATGACTTTAAAATTGTTTAGGTATTTGGGTTAGTTTTTCTTGATATTGACTTGAGAGCCTTTTATAAATTAAAAATCCTAAGAACATAACTATAGGCAAATATTATAATGAAAACAATATAGAGACTGTGTCTGTGCTGATTGGAGTGTAGCCTAGTACTGTATTCTGGTGGGTAATCTGGTAGTAGTTGGATTAAAACATGTGAATACTATGCTTGCTTTGGTGTAGATCCCAAAGGATGTCACATAAGCTGTATGAACTAGTTTACCTTGGCAGGTTAAGTAATAGTACCACTAATCTCTCTCAGAAGTATTCTGGATTGGACAGTCTGTCATCTAACCTCTAAGTATACATGTATGAAGGTACTCATTGCAGTAACAGAGAGGGTCCTTCATGAGAAGAGGGAATAGGGAAAACATGGTGGAAATATACACAGAGTAAGTTCTATGCAGTAGTTAGAATCAAATAATTAGATGTTCTTTAAGTAGGTTATCTTAAAAACCTATCGCTTATTCAAAAATGAAATAACCAGACTAAAATATATACTATTTTATAAGATAATACATGCAAAAATGAGTAATATACATGTTGCAAGAATTCATGAAAACAGAAAGACATCAAACACATTACAATAGTTGTCTAAGAGGAAAGAGAAAACTGTGAGTGGGTTATAGAATTAAAAGAAAGTGATTTCACTGCTGGGTGCAGTGGCTCACTTTGGAAGGCTGAGGTGGGCAGATCGTTTGAGCCCTAGAGTTCAAGACCAGCCTGTGTAACACAGCAAACCCTGTCTCTACAAAAAATACAAAAAAATTAGCAGGGCACAGTGGCGCATACCTGTATTCCCTGTTACCTGGGAGGATCACTTGAACCCAGGAGGTCAAGGATGCAGTAAGCCATGATCGTGCCACTGCATTGCAACCTGGGGGACAGAGTGAGTCCTGTCTAAAAACAAGACAAAAAGAAAATAAAACCCAGAGTCAAATAAAACAAGATAGTGCCTTGTATAGACCAGTGATAATAATTAGCTGTGAACTGAATGGTATGATTAAGAGAACATTCTGTACCTGATGTCCAAAAAACAAAGAACCCTGTAGACTGTAATTATATTATACATGATACAAGTATAAGGAATGTGTCTTTTAAAATATTTTTTACAAGCCAGAATTAAGACATTAAAAACATCATGTATAACTACCCCAGGTATGAGAAACTGGACATAAATGAATATTAATGAATCTTTGCCAAAATAGAAGCTTCTGTTTTAAGACTCCCTAATTTGAGAATTTATAAAGCTATGAGGCTGAAAGAATTAAAGTAGCCTCTGGGTAGGATAAAACACATCCTAGTTTTTCATCCACACTCCTGGCCAGTCTCTGAATGACAGCAATTTTCCACAACTTATGTAATTATAAATATAGCCCTTCATCCTCAGTACTCAGGCGCTTCCCATCTAAACTCTTTTAAGAAATTAAATACCATAAGTTTGAATATTCCCTCTGGAACTTTAATGATACATTTGGAGGTTTTCACAAAGAGAAACTGTGTTGATGTTTCCTACGGACTTTCTGGGATACCCTGAAGGGAGGCTTTGGCTGACAATTCTAGCTAGCTTTAGGGGTGACTCAGGCATGCTTGGCAATTGTTACCCATAAATGTTGATGCAGCTCAATAGCTGAGTGTCCCCTCCATTTTCCTGTGTGTGTCTCTCCTGATTCTGAATGTGGCTTTCTTGAAAAAGAAGAAGGACTGGCTTTCGCTATAGAGAATAGATGTCCTTGAACCTGCTGGAAACTTGGAACAAATTCTCAATTCCAGTTGGCTCAAGCATGCACAATTGCTAGAAAAATGATCCCCCTTATGCTGTTGATAACTGTGTCACAAGAGGAAGTCTGAGATGTCACTGAGTGCTGCAGGAGACTTTTAAGAAAGGCAGTTCTAATGAGAACACATGGACACAGGAAGGGGAACATCACACTCTGGGGGACTGTTGTGGGGTGGGGGGAGGGGGGAGGGATAGCTTTTGGAAATATAACTAATGCTAAATGACGAGTTAATGGGTGCAGCACACCAGCATGGCACATGTATACATATGTAACTAACCTCACATTGTGCACATGTACCCTAAAACTTAAAGTATAATAATAATAAAATAAAAAAAATAATAAAATAAAATAAAAAAGAAAGGCAGTTCTCTCTGCAACCTGTTTTCTACATCACAGGGAAATCTATTTAGTAACTTTTTCAGAATACTACAGTTCATTATCCTATTGGCCCTAGAAGACAATCAGGATAGTAAAAATTGTAATGCCAGGCACTGTTTTAAGCTTTTTGTATGGCATACCTTATTCAATCCCCTCAACAACCCTCTGAGATAGATGACATATAATCTTTGGTTGATGGGTGAGGAAACAGAGGCACAGTGACATAACATAACTCTCCCTAGGGTACTCAGCTAGTGCTTGGCAGAAGGAGGATGAGAACTTGGGTATCCTGGTGGCAGAGGTGCATCTTTGGGTTACTGACTATCACCACCTTGCAGAAACCACCAAGACTCATTCTTGGGTGGACTGTCTGGCTGGAAGCATTAAGGTAGGAAGGAAAGAGCATGTATTTTATAGTCAGACAGACTTAGAATTCTATTGATTTCACCACTTTCTATTTGTGTGATTCTAGGACAAGTGATTTGATCTCCTGAACTTCAATACAGTTATGTACTGCATAAAGTTATTTCTGTCAATGATAGACTGCATAAATAAGGCTGGTCCCATAAGATTACAATGGGGGTGAAAATTTGTATTGCCTAGTGACATCATAGCCATTGTAATATCGTGGCATGACTCATGTGTTTGTGGTGATGCTGGTGTAAACAAACTTGTGTTGCCAGGTATAGGAAAGTATATTGCATACAATTATATACAGTACATACTTGATAATATACTCTAAAATAACAAAGTATAGTATAAACCAGTAACATAGTCAGTAAGATATGTTAACATACGTCAGAGACCTTTGAGGCAGCCTCCTCCCATCACAGATGTTAACATATGTTACTGGTTTATACCGTTACTATACCATTAATTGTTACTTAGAGCTTACTACTTCTACTTATAAAAAAAGGTCAACTGTAAAACAGCCTTAGGGAGGTCCTTTAGGAGGTATTCCAGGAGACAGCATTGTTGTCATAGGAGATGACAGCTCCATGCATGTTATTTCCCCTGAAGACCTTTCAGTGGGACAAGATGTAGTGGTGGAAGACAGTGATATTGACGATCTTTACCCTGTGTAGGTCTAAGTTAATGTGTCTTAGTTTTTTTTTTTTTTTTTTTTTTTGAAAGAACACTAGATAAATGTTTATTCTTTGTTTGTTTAAAAAGAACAGGGCAGTGGATTTTTATGTTAATCAAGATAATAAATCACTACTATTATAGACCATTTACAAGAACTTAGAGATACCCTTTGTTAATTTTAATCAACAGATTATCTTGGTAGTCTAATTGCTAATAATTTTATTCTACATTTATAATATATATTAGCATTATACAAGTTGTTCTAATACTTACAAAGATTCATGTTGTATAAAATAAATCAATGCTGGATACAGGAGTGATGAGACCATGATTTCACTATTTTTCACAGAAATCTCTCCTCTCACGACAGAAGTAGATGATGCTGAACTTCCTGTGCTTTTTTCTCTATCCATTGCTATGTCAAGAAGATTATGGATTTCCTAGGCAAGACCTTTAACATTTTGTACAGGTTTTTATTTTTTTAATTTTTTTTTTTATTATACTTTAAGTTTTAGGGTACATGTGCACAATGTGCAGGTTAGTTACATATGTATACATGTGTCATGTCGGTGTGCTGCACCCATTAACTCATCATTTAACATTAGGTATATCTCCTAATGCTATCCCTCCTCCCTCCCCCCACCCCACAACAGTCCCCGGAGTGTGATGCTCCCCTTCCTGTGTCCCTGTGTTCTCATTGTTCAATTCCCACCTATGAGTGAGAACATGTGGTGTTTGGTTTTCTGTCCTTGCAATAGTTTGCTGAGAATGATGGTTTCCAGCTTCATCCATGTCCCTACAAAGGACATGAACTCATCATTTTTTTTAAAATTTTATTATTATTATACTTTAAGTTTTAGGGTACATGTGCACAATGTGCAGGTTTGTTACATATGTATACATGTGTCATGTTGGTGTGCTGCACCCATTAACTCGTCATTTAGCATTAGGTATATCTCCTAATGCTATCCCTCCCCCTTCCCCCCACTCCACAACAGTCCCCAGAGTGTGATGTTCCCCTTCCTGTGTCCATGTGTTCTCATTGTTCAATTCCCACCTATGAGTGAGAACATGCAGTGTTTGGTTTTTTGTCCTTGTGATAGTTTGCTGAGAATGATGGTTTCCAGTTTCATCCATGTCCCTACAAAGGACATGAACTCATCATTTTTTATGGCTGCATAGTATTCCATGGTGTATATGTGCCACATTTTCTTAATCCAGTCTATCATTGTTGGACATTTGGGTTGGTTCCAAGTCTTTGCTATTGTGAATAGTGCCGCAATAAATATACATGTGCATGTGTCTTTATAGCAGCATGATTTATAATCCTTTGGGTATATACCCAGTAATGGGATTGCTGGGTCAAATGATATTTCTAGTTCTAGATCCCTGAGGAATCGCCACACTGTCTTCCACAATGGTTGAACTAGTTTACAGTCCCACCAACAGTGTAAAAGTGTTCCTATTTCTCCACATCCTCTCCAGCACCTGTTGTTTCCTGACTTTTTAACGATCGCCATTCTAACTGGTGTGAGATGGTATCTCATTGTGGTTTTGATTTGCATTTCTCTGATGGCCAGTGATGATGAGCATTTTTTCATGTGTCTTTTGGCTGCATAAATGTCTTCTTTTGAGAAGTGTCTGTTCATATCCTTCGCCCACTTTTTGATGGGGTTGTTTTTTTCTTGTAAATTTGTTTGAGTTCATTGTAGATTCTGGACAATAGCCTTTTGTCAAATGAGTAGATTGCAAAAATTTTCTCCCATTCTGTAGGCTGCCTGTTCACTCTGATGGTAGTTTCTTTTGCTGTGCAGAAGCTCTTTAGTGTAATTAGATGCCATTTGTCAATTTTGGCTTTTGTTGCCATTGCTTTTGGTGTTTTAGACATGAAGTCTTTGCCCATGCCTATGTCCTGAATGGTATTGCCTAGGTTTTCTTCTAGGGTTTTTATGGTTTCAGGTCTAACATCTAAGTCTTTAATCCATCTTGAATTAATTTTTGTATAAGGTGTAAGGAAGGGATCTAGTTTCAGCTTTCTACATATGGCTAGCCAGTTTTCCCAGCACCATTTATTAAATAGGGAATCCTTTCCCCATTTCTTGGTTTTTCAGGTTTGTCTTAGTTTTTAACTAAAAAGTTTAAAAAGTAACATAAAAGAATTAAATATTTGAGAAATAGAAAAAGGCTTATAGAAGAAGGATATGAAGAAAGAAAATATTTTTGTACAGCTGTATAATGTGTTTGTGTTTTAAGCTAAGTGTTACTACATAAGAATAAAAAATTTTTAAAAAATTTAAAAAGTGTATAAAGTAAAACTGTTATGGTAAGCTAAAGTTAATTTATCGTTGAAGGAAGAAAATATGTTTTAAAATAAATTTAGTGTAGCTTAAGTGTACGGTATTTATAAAGTCTATAGTAGTGTACAGTAATGTCCTAGGCCTTCACATTCACTCGCTCATTGACTCACCCAGCAAATTCCAGCCCTGCAAGCTCCATTCATAAGTGCCCTACACAGGTGTACCTTTTTTTAACCTTTTATACCTTACCTTTTCTATGTTTAGATATGTTTAGATACACAAACACTTAACATTGTTTTACAGTTGCACATAGTATTCAGTGCAGAAACATGCTGTACAGGTTCATAGTCTAGGAGTAATAAGCTACACCACATAGCCTAGGTGTATAGTAAGCTACACCGCGTAGGTTTGTGTGAGTATAATCTGATATTAGCATGATGATTAAATCAACTAACAGTGCATTTCCCAGAACATATTGCCACCACTAAATGATGCATGACTGCAGTCTCATTCATAAAGTGTGAATAATTGTACTGGTTCTGATCTTAGAAAGGAGGGAGTTTTAAAATAGCTAACACTAAATCTTAATGTGCTAATAATTATTGGCCCTCAATTGTTACTGTTACAGATTGCAATGTCACAAATTTTATTTGATTTAAGAACCCTTCCTTAGTGTGATTACGTATCATGATGCTCATTTTATGGAAGAGTAAACATGCATAGAGAAGTCAGTAATTAGTCCAAGGTCATATAGCTAGTAAGCTGAGTCAGGATTTAAACTCATGTCTCTCCAAATCCAACCTCTATGCTCTTGATTCTTATGGAGACTGCCTCTAAATGCCATCTAGCTGTAAGAATGATTCTTAAGGGTGTAAATTGGCCAGTAAAAAACCTAAAAATAAAAAAAAAACTGTTTCTTTGAATTTCATAAGGAAGTATTTTTGTTAATTAAGAGAAATAATTATTTGCTTGGATATGTATCATGTGATATCTGACTTGTGAATTTAACATTATTCAGCCCCTTTAGAACTCAGTGGTATGTTTGCATGCAGACTGATTTTTGCCTAGGGTTAAAAAGGTATTAGAAATTGATACTAAAGAGAACTGTGAACTAAACCAAATAGCTTGTGTTTTTCAAGGGCATGGAGAATTGAAACAATGAAATGAATATTTTATTTTTCATTTAAAATATTATTTTGATATTTAAATGATGAATGAAATAAAATTTATGTCTAAACTAGTAGTGAGTTACGCCCTCCCCTTTGTTTCTCCCCTAAATTTTATTTTATTTTTAACTGTAACTGTAGTAAAATCAATGATATTCCTAGTATTCTAAAATGTACTACAAATAATTTATTAATTATTGTTTAAATTTTTAATTTAGCAAAATGCTTTACAAGTAAATTAGATCATATTTTGGGTTATCTCTATGAATTCATGTGACTTGAATTCCAATATGCTTTTTTTTGAGTGGGAGAGAAATGAGTGGAGTTATAAATAACCATCCAGAACTGAGCATAACCCTGGGATACTTCTTCAAGTGTCTTGCCTATGTGTTAAGGGGTAAAAAATGTTACCAGCATTCCTGTAAAAAACTAGTATTTTTCACACTGCTGCGTGTGTGTGGTGTGTGTGTGTGGTGCGTGTGTGTGGTATGTGTGTGTGTATGCATGTGTGTGTGTTCTTGGGGATTTGAAGTATACAGAAGATATTTTAAATTTAATGTTTCATTTGGATTACGATCTGCAAATTGGTATATTCTGGTTGAACTAAATTTCATATAGTTTTGGTGCTCCTGTGTATATTTATGACTTTTTTCGTAACATGTGAAGGCTAAATACTGTGTTAGCACACTACACACATGGAGGTTTTCCACAGTTGTTCAAATACAGAAAAACAGTGAACTAATGATTATAATATGGAATGCTTCAACACAGGTATGCAAAATTCAAAAGCATCTGGGCCATAGAACTTAATGATATATTATGATTTGGTGTGAATGTATTGTGAGGATCCCACCTTTGTTCACACCATTCTGCAACAATTGATTAGCAATTAAGTATATATATATATATATATATATATATATACTTAATTTTATATAATATATAATGTATAAATATATATAAGACATTTTCTTTTCCAAGTTCCTTTTATAATTGATCAGATACCAATTTTAATTAAGGTTTTAATAATGCCACAAGTGTAATAATATATTCAAGGAAACAAGATAGTTGTAGAGAATTATCAAGAGAAACTTTATTTTCTTATTTGCTGATTTGGATAAATGTGAGATCTGATTATCCTGAAATAGAGCACAAAGATTTTAGTGTATTAGCTTTTCTGAAAAACACATTTATGTAAAAGTCATCCTTTGCATTATTGTCATTAAAGCTAATTTGTGGATAAAACAAATAGGAAACTAGATCTGAAATATATCTTTTTCATTAAACCTAAAAAGTGCTATTTAGTTTCAACAAATCATCATTTGTCATTTGAAATGAACGTGATCGGCTGGGCACGGTGGCTCACACCTGTAATACCAGCACTTTAGGAGGCCGAGGTGGGCGGATCATGAGGTCAGGAGATCAAGACCATCCTGGCCAACATGGTGAAACCCCTTCTCTACTAAAAATACAAAAATTAGCTGGGTGTGTGCCTGTAGTCCCAGCTACTTGGAAGCCTGAGGCAGGAGAATCGCTTGAACCTGGGAGGCGGAGGTTGCAGTGAGCCGAGATCATGCCACTGCACTCCAGCCTGGTGACAGAGCAAGACTACATCTCAACAACAACAACAACAACAAAAAGAAATTAACGTGATTTTATAAAGAATAGTAAACATATGTTTATACTTTATTATTTAATTTTCAGTGCACATATTAAAGTAACATTGAAATAAAATAAATTTAAGTCCATATTGTGAGTCCATGAGAATCTTTTTCATTGAAAGATGTGCATATATGACTTATTGAAACTTTCACTAACCAAAATCCATGCCCATTAAAAGACTTTGCTATCATCCAGATAATACACATGTAAGCATTTGTAGCTGAACAATTTAGTTTTTTAATCATATATGTCCTTCAAATTTAGTTCTGTAAAATATTACCATGAGATAATCTAAAAAATAAATTTTTAGCATCTTTAGAAAACATCTATCTTCTGTATTTACATATGTATTAGTGCTTACACATGTGTAAGAGCTAAGAAATTTGTGCATTTTTGAAAATGTTGTCCAGTGAAAATCTGAAAGCAGTCATAGTGTAAAATCAGTAGATAATATCTTCGAGTTTCCATAGCATTGTGGTTGGTTTTTTACCCAAATTTTGTGTTATCCAATGAGGACTACTTTATGATCTACTGTTTCCTAAAAAGGAGCTCCTGGAACCCATGTCCAGTCATGCTGTGATTTTTTTCATTTTAAATCTAGGCTGCCTTTTGACTGTCTTACACAAAGGCATGAGAGAAGTATGATTAGCTTAGCGATTCTATGGTGATTATACATAATTCTTTGCTTAATCTGCTTCACAACTTTAAACTATTCTGCTGTTCGAGCTATTGTCTCCTCTTTCATAGGTATATATCTAATCTAGGGATAAAAATTGAGAAATAAATGAGGTAAAAATAAAGCATTGTTCAAAGTAGTCTTTTTACTGCCTTGGAATTTGGGAATGATTGCTCGCTACCTTGGCATTTGAGAGAAAAATTTGGCTATTATGGTTTTTCTTGTTATTTTTATTAAGCGAATGAAAAAGGATGGTAGCAGTTCAGCCATTGGGGTGTTGGAACAGCAAATTGAGGGGCCCCCAAGGACCTTGATACCCATTTCTGAAGTTCAATTCCATCCCTAAGATTAGAGCAGCCTTTCCAAAATGAGGGTCACAAATGCATTTGTGATTTAGACTATTTGTCTGGATGCTGTCAGGGAAACAATTGGCTATTATTGAACAGAACTGCTGATTTTCTCTTTGTACCATTTTTTTCCTTTTGTTTTGGTCATTTCTGAATGGTAAAGTCTGACAGCAAGTAAAAAAAAATACTAGTTACATGGAAGAGAAAGGAACATGGAGACAGAAAGGAAACATACAAAAAGAGATAGGGAGAAAAAAAGAGACAGATTTTCAATTTCATGTGACATTGATTTAGTCTTGAGTAATTTAGTTTATTTGGAAATATATTTATCGAGCACATACTATGTAAAAAACATTGTTAATTGATGTGGGGGTACAAATTTGACAAGATAAAAATTCATGTCATGAAGAGCTCACTCTCTAGTATGGGAGATGAGATTGAATAGAAGAAATGTGACATTTTTTCATAGAGCCTGCTTCATCCACAGCCTCTCCAAGGATTACCCCTCATGCTGCCTCTGGTCCCTGATCATAGCTGGTTGGTTGGGAATAGACACAGAGCTCAGAGGAAGCCAATCATTGACTAAGCAGCGACTCAAGATGTATTAGGCCTAATCTTGAATGGGTGAGAGCCTGTTATGTCAGAATCTCTTCAATCCATCAGCACTGTTCTTCATTTTCTCTCAAAAATATATCTTGCCTCTATTCATTTCGCTTTGTTACTCTCCTGTCACTACTGATGCATTGCCATTGCTTCCTACTTGGTTTCTTCATTTGTAGTGTGTTATCTGTTAAGCCCATTATCCAGTTGGAGTAATTTTTTAAAAAATACTATCAGATCATGTCATTCCTCTACTTAAAAAATTTCAGTGGTTTCTCATTGCACTTAATGTATAATCTGAACTCCACAACATGGACCTCCATGACCACTCGGCTCCTTTTTTCCTCATCACTCTTCTCCCTTGCTTGCTCTCTCTCCTCAGATCCCCTGTCCTCAGCGGCTCCAGCACTGCTGCATTCCTCCAATATGCCTCGGCAATTCCACATTATGGCCTCTGCACATGATTACTCTGCCTTTTGTTCCTCACATATTGGCTCCTTTAAACACTTTAAAAGTCTCAGCCTAAATTTTATCTTCTGGCAGATGCCTTTCTGTGACACTCTTGTTAAAGGAGATTTCACTTGTCACCCTGTTACTGTGCCCTGTGATATTTTTCACAGTACTCTTTACAATTTTAAACACACACACACACACACACACACACTTTTACTTAGGGTAGGTACTGTCTGATCATCTCACTAGATTGCAGCAGCATTACTCCCTACTGTAGACCCCCATGCCTTATGCAGTGCTTAGACTCATATTAGAAGCATGATAAGTTCAGTAAATAAATGAATTTACATTAAGACATAGAGAAATTGTTGCCTATCAGTGGTGAATCCTGGAGTTAGCAGAGAAGGTTGAGGGTGATCATTTTGGGCTCATGAGTAGTTTTATCAGTACAGTATCGTGTAGAGGTTGACCACGTAGGTCTCAGAGTCAAAGAGATCTGGGTTCATGCTCAAGCTCTACTACTTACTAGCAACATTATCTCAGGTATAATACTTAACCTCCATGAACTGTTTCCCAATATGTAACATAGAGGTAATTTTTTTTTACAAAATTGTTGCAGGGATATATGATAATGTGTGCAAGGTAATTAGTAAGAATAATAATGAATAACATTTATTTATTACTTTTCTGTGCCAGGTCCTAGGCAGAGGGCTTTACAGTGCTATGTCATCAGATCTCTTCATCAATCCTGCTAGATACAAACCATTATCTTTATTTTACAAGCGAGGAACTTGAAAAAGAGGTGAAGTTGGCTGGGCGTGGTGGCTCACCCCTGTAATCCCAGCACTTTGGGAGGCCGAGGCAGGCGGATCACAAGGTCAGGAGTTCGAGACCAGCCTGACTAACATGGTGAGACCCCGTCTCTACTAAAAATACAAAAAATTAGCCAGGCATGATGGTAGGCACCTTAATCCCAGCTACTTGGGAGGCAGAGGCAGGAGAATCGTTTGAACCTGGGAGGCAGAGGTTGCAGTGAACTGAGATCGAGCCATTGCACTCAAGCACCTGGGGGACAAGAGTGAGACTTCTCTCAAAAAAAAAAAAAAGGAGGTGAAGTTGAAGATCACACAGCCAGTAAGTGGCAGCATCAAGGTAAATTCAGAAATTTTAATTACGGAATCTAATGTTACAACACTAAGCTATACTGGCTTCCATATGGCATATGGAAGAATACATTCAAATGGAAGTAAAGAGCAAAGAGTTATTATTTTTAAGTAGATAAAGGAAATCTGAAGGGAGCAGAGAATTGAAATGTACACTAGGAAGCCACATCAAGGTAGCACATGGCCCCTAAAAGAGACAACTTTTCAAAGAATAGTTGCCTTTGTTTTGGTAGTTTTTGGTTTCCAAGACTAGTCCGATGACAGCCAATCGAACTCTATATTCTTTCCTTTTATCAAAGTGTTCTACTACCTCCAGTTTTTGGTGAACTACTTTCTCAATTGTTGCATCTTCCCTGGCTCATGGTGGATTGCTTTTTCCTAGGGTTTGTAATATTTTATTGGAAAAATAATCTTCTGTGGTTTTTTTTTTGGAAAATGTCCATGAGCATTGAATTGTAGACATGTTCTCACTGAATAGCTTCCTGTTTGCTTCTGACTGGGCTCTGGGGATTTCACAGCCTAGGTCAATGTTTATTTTGGGGTTTCTTTACAACACAGGCAATGCAAATTTAGAACGAAACCCATTCTGGATGGGCCTGAGGTTTTGATTTCTCATTGGAACCTTCCCTCTCCCACTGGCCTGATCAAATGGCAGCCTTCCTTACAGCTTCCTCTGGGCTAATGGTTAGAATTTTTGTAGTCTCATTTCCACAGATAGACCAGACCTTAGAGGCTGTTGAACTTATTCAGTGTTTTAGGTCCATTTTCCTTTCACATGGGCCAAAGCTACATATTTTCTCCACATGTGGTGGGTAGAAGCTCAGCCCTTACACTCTACAGCCCTTATCTGGGGCTGAAACCCTTTTATATGGCTGGGCAGCATCTTCTGCTTACTATACAGGCTTTATCATTCCTTATTGTTTCCCCAACCCAGCTCTTATTGTTCTTTCTTTTGAGGTGAGATATATATTTGGATCTTTTTTTTTTTTTTTTTTTTTTTTTAGTTTTATTATAACCTTGTATTTTCTAGCAAAAAGATAAATCTGAACTGGGCACACAGCTCAAGTGTCAGCCTTGAGATGACCTAAGCAGCAAAAATTTGGCCTATTTAATAAAATGCACAGGAGCTTGCAGCCGCATTTATTAGAAAAATATTATCCTTTGGAAACTCCTTTCTTAAAGATTGGCTCCAGGGCATTGTTCTTCCTGTTTTTATCCAATTCCCCTTCCTTGGCAGGCAGCCAGGCGCTCCGATGCTCACAGGCCATGGGACAGTCCAGTTCCGTGCAGACCCGGCAGGGCATGGGCGGGCAGAACCGCACCGTGAAGCCCGCCTGTTAATTTCCATCGGGTGGTCCTGGAGACGACATGGCTGGGGTAATGGGTCACCGGAACTCCACGGCGGCCAGACGCCCATCCAATTTGCCTGCGGGAACTCGCTCTTCACCTTTTCTTCACAAACTTCTTTCTGGAAGCGTTGGGATTTAAGCGTCTCCGCCCAGCTCCCAAGGTGCTGTCCCGGACCTGTAGGGTAGCTGAGCGGCTGGAGATGTCATTCTCGACAAAGGGCGACATCCCGGCGATGTAGTCAGGGGCGAACACGTTGGTTTTCTGCCTGGCCTTTCGGGAGAGTCGCGGTTGAGGGAAGCGCTGATCCTCGGTGAGATGGGGGTTGATGGCGTATGTGCCCCCTTTGGGAGTGGGAAGCGAGTACCGGAGGCCGCGGGCGTTCAGCACCTTGGGGTTGCGGGAGAAGTGCATGTGCAGGGTGCCGTCGTCACTGATGGTCACGGACACTTTCTTCAGGGTCTTGTTCCCACAGTGTGAACAGAACACTCGGCTCATGTCAGACGTTGTCTTGAAACAGCCGTGGCAGCCCAGACGTAGCTCTGGGCCTCACGAATCAGCATGCAGTTCACCGCCAGCACGTGCAGCCCCATCTGCAGCAGAACATTCTGCCTGGGGAAGTCTGTGGTCACGCAGCCAACCCGCACGTCCTCGGGGACGTCGCACTGCTCCAGCTCCTGCTGGATCTGCTTGATGTTACTGGGGGTTATCCAGCCACCCCCGTCGTCATCGCTGTCATCTTTTCTGTCTTCAAACCCGTTTTCTTCCTCCTCCTCCTCCTCTCTTGGAACGTCCTCACCTCTGTCAATCAGCGGCTCCTGCAGTTCATGATCGATGTTGGGCAGAGGGTTTCTCCGGAACATGAAGGAACTAAATTCCAGGTTCTCAGGCTCACAAGCTGGGTGTCCTTTTTCTGTTTCTTGTGGGGGTTTAGGCTTGGAGGGCAGATGGAAACCAGAAATGTGCAGAGGTGTTTCTGGGTGCTGAATCGATGAGCTCAGTTTAACCTTCTGTGGTTCTTGTTTTAGGTGAGACACCCCAACAAACTCTGCTTCCAACTGGTATGTGAGCGCAAGCACTTGGATGTCCGTGGCAGAGAGGCTGGGGTAGTCTCCTGTTTTCTTTGAAAACTCAGTCACCAGCTGCACGTATTCTGGTAAGGGCTCCTTGAACCGCAGCTCATAGGGCAGGACAGCGAGCCGCCTGCATGTGGCCTTGTCCCGAAACTCAGTGACCACCTCCCGGATGATGTAAATGTTCTTCCCGATGTCCTGCAGAGCCGCATCCCGAAGGAAAGCCCCAGCATCCGCCACAACTTGCTCCACTGGAGCCACGTTGTCTGCGTGAGCGGGGAGCGCGCATGCGCACGGAGCTTGCGCTGGCTCCTAAGTGCAAGTCTGGGCCTCTGGGAACCAGGAAGAGCAGCCGCGACTTGGCTGCGCCTCCTGGCGGCCACGCCAGCACTATATTTGGATCTATTAATCAGCATTTCCATGTTCCTTGTGAGATGTGAGCCCATTTATATTAATATTGTTTCAGTCCCTCATGTTACCAGAAGTGTTATGCAAAGGGGTAGAAAGCTGTGCAAAGAGCTGGGCTTTATTCTGTAGGTCACAGGGAGCCGCAAAAGACTTTTGATTAAGTATATAGATAATCAAATCTATATTTTAAAGAAATTAACTCAGGAGCACCATAAAGAATGGATGGAAAATGGAAAGATCAATGACATGGAAACACATTAGAATGCTATTCAAAGTGTCTAAATCAAAGATAGTTGAGAGACTGACCCAAGCAGTAGAAACAGAAGAGAGAGGATAGATCTGTGAGAAAAGGAAAAGTCACACTTACAAAACATTAAGACTTATTACATAAGAGGGAAGAGAAGTCCTAGACTTCTGACCTCAGCAATGAGGAGAATATTTGGCTGGATTTATAATATAGATGCTCCTCTACTTACCATGGGGTTACATCTCAATCAGCCCATCGTAAGTTGAAAATACTGTTAAGTCAAAATGCATTTAATACACCTAACCTACCGAATTTCATAGTTTAACTTAGCCTACCTTAAATGTGCTTGCATTAGTTTATAGATGGGCAAATCATCTAATACAAAGCCCATTTCCTAATAAAATGTTGAATATCTCATGTGACTTGTTGACTACTGCACTGGAAGTGTAAAACAAAGTGGTTATAGGTTCTGACTACTAATGTACACAGCTGAAAGTGCCATCATAAAGTCAAAATATCCCAAGTTAAACCATTGTAAGTCAAACCACTGTAGGTCAAGGACCACCTGTACTTTCTTGGAAATACAGGTTATCACTGACTACAGGCATGGCATTGCCCCATTCCTCTGCTACAAATATCTCAACTTATGATGGTTTCTGGTAAAAACCAAGATTGTGGTGTAGCAGAGCGAGTAGGTAGTGGAATTAGCTGGTGGACTCACTTCTGGCTCAAAGATAACGCTTAACAATCCTATTTAGTGTGTTAGCTTAAGTATACTCGAGCTAGTAGAAATATTCTGCTGTTGTGAATTCCACACTTATTCAACTGTCAGGAACTGGGGCTTGGTTTCTTTAAACACACTCGTGTTAACTGCATTCTCTGGTCTCCAGATTCTTATGTGATGGGAGGTTAGTGGGTTTTCTAGGTGAGTAGCTTTTTCTTTTCTCTGTCTGGGAATATAATATGTGGTCTATAGGTGGAAAAAAGTGAAATTAAATGATACTGTACAAATCGACTGAAAAAAAATACTACTGTATGTTAGCAGTTTGTGAACATTTTGTGCTGACAAAGCTCAGCAAGCCTGGACAGAAATACTTGCACAAATCTGATTATAAGGTTTCTCTCACTGAAGCAGGAACTGGCTCAGCAGAGGGAATCAGAAGAATAAACTGATATAATTTATCCTTTTCCTGTTTCTCTTGAGAAGAGATGCTTGGTAGGAAATCCACAGATATTTCACCATAAGATTCCAGTGCAAACGCATAGTTTCTCTGTTTGATATAATTGCTTCTGCATTCTAGAGACAGGGGAAGAGTAATGCTTCAGTCAAGCTGGTTGAGTCTCATCAGAGATTATCTTCATCAACATAGGCTCTTTACTTGCTTGCCCCACTTCTTTCTTCCAACTGCTTTTATTTCCTTTAGGGATGAAACCCATTAACTCTAGCAAATGTTAAAAGGCTTGACTTTTTGACTTGAAAAAGATGATGATTAAAAACCAGTTTATATATTTTCCAAGATGAGGTCTCCAATTTAGCTCTGTGCTCTGAGGATAGTCAAAATCGCATTGCAGAGCTCTCTAGGAAGCTTTGTGGTCGAACTCAACAACATTTTAAGTTGCGAAAACTATAAAGAGCAATATATATACATTTTTAAAAGCAATCCTTCTGAAGGGCATCCCTTTATGAATTGTGATCAAAGAAACCTGGGCTGGGAGTTAGGAGACCTAGATTCTGATCTCTCTGTCATTACCTATCACTGTGGCCTTAATCAAGGTCCATAACCTCTTGGGGTCTCAGTTTCTTCATTCATAAAATGAGGGAGACAGATTAGTGGCTCCAAAATGCTGGTCAGTAGAGGAGATGCATTCAAACGCCTGAGAAACTCTGAAAATTTTCTAGTCAGAATTCTCAAAGATTTTGATTTGTAAACCTGGGGTATATGTTAGTAATCTTTAGTTTATAAAAAGCACCCCTGAGAATTCAGGTATGTCACTAAGATTGGGAAGCATGATGGAGGTGATTTTGAGTTTGCTTTGCTCTTTTATTGTTGAAATTTTTATTTTGAAAAAAAATTTCAAGCCTGAAAGAGTTCCAAAGGAGCAAAAGGAATCTGTACATATTCTTCATCTGGGCTCGTTAATTGTGCTCTCACTCTCCCTTTCTCTTTCCACACACACACACATATTATATATGTGAATGTGTATGCATTTTTTTCTGAAACATGTGAGATTAAACTGTATACATCATAATACTTCACCTCAAAACATGTCAGTATGCATCTCCTTAGAATAAGGATATTCTCTTTTATAATTGCAGTACAAAGATCAAATTCAGGAAACTTAACATGGTTACAATGTTAATGTCTAGTATATTGTTTCCCACAAAGACTGTCCTACATAAACATAGTGTAAGCATCAAATAGAGAAAATTAATATTGATAATACATTACCAGTATTTAATCTTCTGACTCCATTCAAGTTTTGTCAATTGCCTCAATAATATCCTTTATAGAGAATCATCCAGTTCAGAATTATGTGTTTTATCTAGTTGTCATATCTCTTTAGTCTCTCTCGGTTTGGAAGAGTTTCTCAGACTTTCCTTGACTTTCATGACCTCGATATTTTTGAAGATTGCAGGCCATTTATTTTGTAGAATGTCCTTCAGTCTCGGTTTGTTTGATATTTTCTCATGATACAGTTTAGACATGTTTGTCAGGTACATTGCCGCAGCCCTATATTGAGACAGGTCTCCAAATGGTTCCAGTTTATTTTTATTTTTATTTATTTTTTGTAAGGAATGGTACTCAGGGACCCAGATATGGGCAACAGGCATACTTGTTGCTGTTGGCATATACCTCCCAGCCTTACGGAATGTGTATGTGTATGTGTATGTATATGTGTTATGTGTGCGTATATATGTATTGTATATAATATATATTCACAGATACCATCTCATTGACCCCCCCCACATATTCAAATGCATATTTACATTATATTTATTTCTTTTTTCTCTATATATATTGAAAAACATGGGTTCACATGGATACTACCAGTTCTCCTTCAACATTACAAAGATCATTTTAGTTTTCTTCTTTTCCATATTTGAAACCCACTTCTCCAATAATGAGAAACCAGGAACCCATCATCCTTATCTATTTATTTACATATTTGATCACCCTTTGTATGTGACCAGTTTCCCATCTCCACTGCCATTTCCTTCACCTTCACCCTGGTTAGGCTCTGACACCTCAATACCACTTCCTCCCTCCTCCATTAGCTGAAAACCCTTATTATCCTACTCATACCCTCCTGATACCCTGTAAAAGGCCACCCCTGTGGATGCCCTCCTGCCCTTGCGAGGACTCTGACACTGCATATTACATACTTCTCAGGCTCTGACTCCACGTTTTGGGCTGTTCCTCCCCCTGCTAGAGCTCTGATATTCCACACAGGCTGCCCCCTCATGGGAACACTCTTTCACCCTGCTTGTGCTGTGACATCCTTGGGCCCTGGGAGCTATTCCTACTCTGGCATGGGTGCCTACTTGTTCTGCCAAAAAGGAAGGAGTGTACCCATTCCACTCTCTGCAGTTTAACATTAGAGAAGGTAAACTAGGAAGTACAGATTTTCTTTTTCATTCACCCCAAATCCAGGATTGTGGGGGAGCATTAGAGGCTGTTTAATTAAAAAGAAAAAAGAATCATAGAATATCAAATAACCTGGAGAAAGAAATGATTGATGGACAAAATTTCATTATATTTGAGCACTTAGTTTATTGTTACTCAGAAAAGGCCACCTCTGATTTAGGATTTTTAGAGAACACATTGCCAAACAGTGGTCTGGGAAACTTATTTGGGGCAGGAAGTATGGCACAATATCAGATTTCTTTAACAAGGACTTAAAATTTGGAAGTGTGAACTACTTTATACTAACAAAAAGAACTGTCTTTATCTTCCTTAAAGATTTACCTTCAGAAAGTGACTTTAGTGGTAAAAGAATGGATTTTATTATAAAACAGGAAGAAATTGTGACCTTAAGAGGAGTGACATTAGTATGAGTAACTATAGAAGGTGGAGATCGTCTGTGGAGACTTTTGAAAAGAGAGACAACTCAGAGGGATAATCTGGAGGCTGGATGAATCCTCTGGTGTTTTGTACCACTTACACCCATACCAGGTTGATGCTTATAAACAAAAAAGCTGGGTTGTTTTAAACACTGGAAGCCTTATACAGGTTCTCCTTTAGGTTATTTGCTGTATAGATAAATAATACACTTCGATAAAGACAGTAATTATAAAACCATGGTTACTGTAGTTGCAAGTTATTTATTTGCTTATTTATTTGTTTGTTTTTAAGGTATGATATTTTATTAGTCAGGGCACTATCAAATAACCTCAATGTATGTTTTAGTTTATAGAGAATCCATGTGATCCTGCCTTAGCTCCAATTACTAGTAACCAGGGCTGCCATTTATGGCCTCACAAATAGTGCCTGCGTAACTCCAGGGGGCACTGTTCACAGAGACTGTGATGTGAATGGCACCCCTTGGAGTTGCACAATGAAGCAGCTCTGAAAGTAATACATAATCTGCCATCACTGGTCTGCTTCCTGCATGCTTGAGTGGCAGAGGAAAAGGGCTTGGACCCAGAAAAGGAAGATCAATTATTGCCATTGGCTGTAGATGGTGCATATTGACTTGTTCCTTCTCAAGCCCAAATCTAGAGCTCTTTGAATAGATGCAGATGCACTGCTGCTGAATATGTATGTATGTGAGCACCCTGGCATTTAAGAACTTTGTACATCAATAAGAGGAACAAAAAAGAACCAGCTTTTTGCAGTGTAATTACATTTTACTGAATTAGCAAAGTAGCATGACCTTCGAGTTAGTCTTTGGGATACCAGGAGAATTGCATCTTTGCCAGCCAGCCCGCCTGCCCTGCTGATGCAGCATCTGTAGAACTCCGGGGAGTCCATTTTGAGCATGTTAAGGAGGAACTCTGCAAGATTAAATCCCTCCTTCCATTAACAATAATGGAAACACTTTCTGTAAAGCCAGTCTTAACCAGCAGAGGGGATTTGAAACATTTGGCAAGGTCACTTCTGGCAAATAGACTGAGTTTGAGTCTTGCCCTGTGGAGGCCATCGCTAACCACAGGCGATGGCTACCCTGGATTTCACAGGGGCACTGCTTTAGTTGGTCTATTTTAAATGGCATTATTAGTTCATTTTGAGTCTTGCATTTTGTACATAGGTTAAGAGAATTAAGTAACTAACATGTTTCTCTGTTTAGTGACAACTAGATATTGATAGTAAGACAGAAATGGTAACTAACATGTTTCTCTGTTTAGCGACAACTAGATATTGATAGTAAGACAGAAATGATAGCACTTGTTGAGTGCTTGTCATGTGGCATGCACTACTATCGGCTCTTTCATGCATGATCTTATTTACTCCTCACATCTACCCTCTGAGAGAGTTCTTCACATCTAAGAGTTTTCAATTGTAAGATGCACTGTTATTTAATACAATACAAAGAAAGAAACATCATTTAAGATAGGAGAACGTTCTATAAATCCAGGACAACAAAGGGCTATCTCTACCCTCAGGATAAGGGTAAATGAAAATAAATCCATCACCCAGAAGGGTAAAGCAAGAGCACTTGCATGGCTCAATCTTTGCACTGGATTCAGGAAGGGTAGAAAATTCTGGGCAGGAGCACAATAAAATCCTCTTTGGCGAAACCCAACTACAGGTTAGCCTGATCGCAATTGTTAAGACACATCCTGATTTCAGAAATGTTAAAATGTGAAAACTTTTGTCTTTAAATTTTTGAAATACGTATTTTTATAAGCTCCATTTTACAAAAAAGAAAAGTGAAGCATAGAGAGGTGAAGCCACTTATCTAAATTTACTAAGTGGGAGAGCTGGGATACAGAGCCTATGTACTTGAGCCCTATACTTTTCCACTTCTAGAAGATGACAATAGCCTAGTGTATAAATAACGTGTTATGAGGAAACAATTGTATATACTAGTTATGTGTGCCATAAAATAAAGGAAAGAACTTCATACATAAGGATGGAGAATTAGACTGGGTTTCTTAGGTGTAATATAAAATAAATGAGAATGGCCAGAAACTTGGCATCCTATATTTGGTCCCTCTCATCATGCTTTTGCCAGAGACAATTTCAAATTTTCCAGAATCATATTTTTCCCCTAAAAAAGAGAGTTTTTCTTTGATGCTATTGTGGCTGTTAATTAGAAAGTAAAGCACATAAATGGGAATAAATTTTTTCTCCACTTTTCTTTATTGCTGTTTGGCAAAGGACATTCTACATATTTCTTAGGCTGAAAATATTCACTCTGTCATATACTGTGACTTTGTGAAGAAGATCCTCAGTACTCAAGACTCATAGTTAGATAACACAGCACATGTTTTTCTCATAGGAAGTATTGGAAATGAAAATAATTAGGAGAATGGTTATTTTTAAAGGTGACATTTATCTCCTCAAGGTATTTTTCTTTCTTTCTCTTAAGATTTTTAAAATTATTTATTTTAAGTTGTGTCCGGAATTGGTGGGTTCTTGGTCTCACTGACTTCAAGAATGAAGCCGCGGACCCGCGGTGTGAGTGTTACAGTTCTTAAAGATGGTGTGTCTGGAATTTGTTCCTTCTGATGTTCGGAGGTGTTCGGAGGTGTTCGGAGGTGTTCGGAGTTTCTTCCTTCTGGTGGGTTCACGGTCTGGCTGGCTTCAGGAGTGAAGCTGCAGGCCTTCGCGGTGAGTGTTACAGCTCTTAAGGTGGCGCGTCTGGAGTTGTTCGTTCCTCCCATCCAGAGGACAGTCGGGGAGGCTCTGGCCCCGCGGGAGCCCACTGGTGGGGGTGGGGGAGAGCTCGGGCATGGCGGGCTGCAGGTCCCGAGCCCTGCCCCGCAGGGAGGCGGCTGGGGCCCTGCGAGAATTCGAGTGTGGCGCGGGCGGGCCGGCAGTGCTGGGGGACCCGGCGCCCCCTCGGCAGCTGCTGCCTCGGGTGCTAAGCCCCTCACTGCCTGGGGCAAGCGGCACCTGCTGGCCACTCCTGGTGCCGGGCCCGCCGAGCCTGTGTCCACCCGCAACTCGCGCTGGCCCACGAGCGCTGCGTCTCTCCTTCCACACCTCCCTGCAAGCAGAGGGAGCCGGCTCTGGCCTCGGCCAGCCAAGAGGGGCTCCCACAGTGCAGCGGCGGGCTGAAGGGCTCCTCAAGTGCAGCCAGAGTGGGTGCCGAGGCCGAGGAGGCACCAAGAGCAAGTGAGGTCTGCCAGCACCCTGTCACCTCTCACCGGTATACATGTGCAGAACCTGCAGATTTGTTACATAGATATATGTGTGCCATGGTGATTTGCTGCACCTATTGACTCATTGTCTGAGTTCCCTCCCCTTGCCCCCCACCCCTCAACGGCCCCTGGTGTGTGTTGTTCCCCTCTCTGTTTCCATGTGTTCTCACTGTTCAACTCCCACTTAGGAGTGAGAACATGCGGTGTTTGGTTTTCTGTTCCTGTGTTAGTTTGCTGAGGATGATGATTTCCAGCATCCATGTCCCTGCAAAGGACATGATTTCATTCCTTTTTATGGCTGCATAGTATTTCATGGTGTATGTCTACAACATTTTCTTTATCCAGTCAATCATCGATGGGCATTTGGGGTGATTCCTTGACTTTGCTATTGTAAATCATGCTGCAATAAACATATGTGTGCATGTGTCTTTATAGTAGAATGATTTACATTCCTTTGAGTATATACGCAGTAATGGGATTGCTGGGTCAAATGGTATTTCTGGTTCTTGATCCTTGAGGAATCACCACACTGTCTTTCACAATGGTTGAACTAATTTTCATTCCCACCAATGTGTAAAAGTGTTCCTGTTTCTCCACAGCCTCTCCAGCATCTATTGTTTCTTGACTTTTTAATAATCGCCATTTTAACTGGCGTGAGATGGTATCTCACTTTGGTTTTGATTTGCATTTCTCTAATGATCAGTGATGTTGAACTTTTTTCATATGTTTGTTGGCCATGTAAATGTCTTCTTTTGAGAAGTGTCTGTTCATATCCTTTACCAACTTTTTGATGGGGTTGTTTGCTTTTTTCTTGTAAATTTGTTTAAGTTCCTTGTAAATTCTGGATATTAGACCTTTGTCAGATGGGTAGATTGCAAACATTTTCTCCCATTCTGTAGGTTGCCTGTTCACTCTTTTTTTTTTTTTTTTTTTCTTTTTTTTTTTTTTTTTTTTTTTTTATTATACTCTAAGTTTTAGGGTACATGTGCACATTGTGCAGGTTAGTTACATATGTATACATGTGCCATGCTGGTGCGCTGCACCCACTAATGTGTCATCTAGCATTAGGTATATCTCCCAATGCTATCCCTCCCCCCTCCCCCGACCCCACCACAGTCCCCAGAGTGTGATATTCCCCTTCCTGTGTCCATGTGATCTCATTGTTCAATTCCCACCTATGAGTGAGAATATGCGGTGTTTGGTTTTTTGTTCTTGCGATAGTTTACTGAGAATGATGGTTTCCAATTTCATCCATGTCCCTACAAAGGATATGAACTCATCATTTTTTATGGCTGCATAGTATTCCATGGTGTATATGTGCCACATTTTCTTAATCCAGTCTATCATTGTTGGACATTTGGGTTGGTTCCAAGTCTTTGCTATTGTGAATAGTGCCGCAATAAACATACGTGTGCATGTGTCTTTATAGCAGCATGATTTATACTCATTTGGGTATATACCCAGTAATGGGATGGCTGGGTCAAATGGTATTTCTAGTTCTAGATCCCTGAGGAATCGCCACACTGACTTCCACAATGGTTGAACTAGTTTACAGTCCCACCAACAGTGTAAAAGTGTTCCTATTTCTCCGCATCCTCTCCAGCACCTGTTGTTTCCTGACTTTTTAATGATTGCCATTCTAACTGGTGTGAGATGATATCTCATAGTGGTTTTGATTTGCATTTCTCTGATGGCCAGTGATGATGAGCATTTCTTCATGTGTTTTTTGGCTGCATAAATGTCTTCTTTTGAGAAGTGTCTGTTCATGTCCTTCGCCCACTTTTTGATGGGGTTGTTTGTTTTTTTCTTGTAAATTTGTTTGAGTTCATTGTAGATTCTGGATATTAGCCCTTTGTCAGATGAGTAGGTTGCAAAAATTTTCTCCCATGTTGTAGGTTGCCTGTTCACTCTGATGGTAGTTTCTTTTGCTGTGCAGAAGCTCTTTAGTTTAATTAGATCCCATTTGTCAATTTTGTCTTTTGTTGCCATTGCTTTTGGTGTTTTGGACATGAAGTCCTTGCCCACGCCTATGTCCTGAATGGTAATGCCTAGGTTTTCTTCTAGGGTTTTTATGGTTTTAGGTTTAACGTTTAAATCTTTAATCCATCTTGAATTGATTTTTGTATAAGGTGTAAGGAAGGGATCCAGTTTCAGCTTTCTACATATGGCTAGCCAGTTTTCCCAGCACCATTTATTAAATAGGGAATCCTTTCCCCATTGCTTGTTTTTCTCAGGTTTGTCAAAGATCAGATAGTTGTAGATATGCGGCATTATTTCTGAGGGCTCTGTTCTGTTCCATTGATCTATATCTCTGTTTTGGTACCAGTACCATGCTGTTTTGGTTACTGTAGCCTTGTAGTATAGTTTGAAGTCAGGTAGTGTGATGCCTCCAGCTTTGTTCTTTTGGCTTAGGATTGACTTGGCAATGCGGGCTCTTTTTTGGTTCCATATGAACTTTAAAGTAGTTTTTTCCAATTCTGTGAAGAAAGTCATTGGTAGCTTGATGGGGATGGCATTGAATCTGTAAATTACCTTGGGCAGTATGGCCATTTTCACGATATTGATTCTTCCTACCCATGAGCATGGAATGTTCTTCCATTTGTTTGTCTCCTCTTTTATTTCCTTGAGCAGTGGTTTGTAGTTCTCCTTGAAGAGGTCCTTCACATCCCTTGTAAGTTGGATTCCTAGGTATTTTATTCTCTTTGAAGCAATTGTGAATGGGAGTTCACCCATGATCTGGCTCTCTGTTTGTCTGTTGTTGGTGTATAAGAATGCTTGTGATTTTTGTACATTGATTTTGTATCCTGAGACTTTGCTGAAGTTGCTTATCAGCTTAAGGAGATTTTGGGCTGAGACGATGGGGTTTTCTAGATAAACAATCATGTCATCTGCAAACAGGGACAATTTGACTTCCTCTTTTCCTAATTGAATACCCTTTATTTCCTTCTCCTGCCTGATTGCCCTGGCCAGAACTTCCAACACTATGTTGAATAGGAGCGGTGAGAGAGGGCATCCCTGTCTTGTGCCGGTTTTCAAAGGGAATGCTTCCAGTTTTTGCCCATTCAGTATGATATTGGCTGTGGGTTTGTCATAGATAGCTCTTATTATTTTGAAATACGTCCCATCAATACCTAATTTATTGAGAGTTTTTAGCATGAAGGGTTGTTGAATTTTGTCAAAGGCTTTTTCTGCATCTATTGAGATAATCATGTGGTTTTTGTCTTTGGCTCTGTTTATATGCTGGATTACATTTATTGATTTGCGTATATTGAACCAGCCTTGCATCCCAGGGATGAAGCCCACTTGATCATGGTGGATAAGCTTTTTGATGTGCTGCTGGATTCGGTTTGCCAGTATTTTATTGAGGATTTTTGCATCAATGTTCATCAAGGATATTGGTCTAAAATTCTCTTTTTTGGTTGTGTCTCTTCCCGGCTTTGGTATCAGAATGATGCTGGCCTCATAAAATGAGTTAGGGAGGATTCCCTCTTTTTCTATTGATTGGAATAGTTTCAGAAGGAATGGTACCAGTTCCTCCATGTACCTCTGGTAGAATTCGGCTGTGAATCCATCTGGTCCTGGACTCTTTTTGGTTGGTAAACTATTGATTATTGCCACAATTTCAGAGCCTGTTATTGGTCTATTCAGAGATTCAACTTCTTCCTGGTTTAGTCTTGGGAGAGTGTATGTGTCGAGGAATGTATCCATTTCTTCTAGATTTTCTAGTTTATTTGCGTAGAGGTGTTTGTAGTATTCTCTGATGGTAGTTTGTATTTCTGTGGGATCGGTGGTGATATCCCCTTTATCATTTTTTATTGTGTCTATTTGATTCTTCTCTCTCTTTTTCTTTATTAGTCTTGCTAGCGGTCTATCAATTTTGTTGATCCTTTCAAAAAACCAGCTCCTGGATTCATTGATTTTTTGAAGGGTTTTTTGTGTCTCTATTTCCTTCAGTTCTGCTCTGATTTTAGTTATTTCTTGCCTTCTGCTAGCTTTTGAATGTGTTTGCTCTTGCTTTTCTAGTTCTTTTAATTGTGATGTTAGGGTGTCAATTTTGGATCTTTCCTGCTTTCTCTTGTAGGCATTTAGTGCTATAAATTTCCCTCTACACACTGCTTTGAATGCGTCCCAGAGATTCTGGTATGTGGTGTCTTTGTTCTCGTTGGTTTCAAAGAACATCTTTATTTCTGCCTTCATTTCGTTATGTACCCAGTAGTCATTCAGGAGCAGGTTGTTCAGTTTCCATGTAGTTGAGCGGCTTTGAGTGAGATTCTTAATCCTGAGTTCTAGTTTGATTGCACTGTGGTCTGAGAGATAGTTTGTTATAATTTCTGTTCTTTTACATTTGCTGAGGAGAGCTTTACTTCCAACTATGTGGTCAATTTTGGAATAGGTGTGGTGTGGTGCTGAAAAAAATGTATATTCTGTTGATTTGGGGTGGAGAGTTCTGTAGATGTCTATTAGGTCTGCTTGGTGCAGAGCTGAGTTCAATTCCTGGGTATCCTTGTTGACTTTCTGTCTCGTTGATCTGTCTAATGTTGACAGTGGGTTGTTAAAGTCTCCCATTATTAATGTGTGGGAGTCTAAGTCTCTTTGTAGGTCACTGAGGACTTGCTTTATGAATCTGGGTGCTCCTGTATTGGGTGCATAAATATTTAGGATAGTTAGCTCCTCTTGTTGAATTGATCCCTTTACCATTATGTAATGGCCTTCTTTGTCTCTTTTGATCTTTGTTGGTTTAAAGTCTGTTTTATCAGAGACTAGGATTGCAACCCCTGCCTTTTTTTGTTTTCCATTGGCTTGGTAGATCTTCCTCCATCCTTTTATTTTGAGCCTATGTGTGTCTCTGCACGTGAGATGGGTTTCCTGAATACAGCACACTGATGGGTCTTGACTCTTTATCCAACTTGCCAGTCTGTGTCTTTTAATTGCAGAATTTAGTCCATTTATATTTAAAGTTAATATTGTTATGTGTGAATTTGATCCTGTCATTATGATGTTAGCTGGTGATTTTGCTCATTAGTTGATGCAGTTTCTTCCTAGTCTCGATGGTCTTTACATTTTGGCATGATTTTGCAGCGGCTGGTACCGGTTGTTCCTTTCCATGTTTAGCGCTTCCTTCAGGAGCTCTTTTAGGGCAGGCCTGGTGGTGACAAAATCTCTCAACATTTGCTTGTCTATAAAGTATTTTATTTCTCCTTCACTTATGAAGCTTAGTTTGGCTGGATATGAAATTCTGGGTTGAAAATTCTTTTCTTTAAGAATGTTGAATATTGGGTTGCCTGTTCACTCTGATGATAATTTTTTTTTTTTTTTTTTGCTGTGCAAAAGCTCTTTAGTTTAATTAGATGCCATTTGTCAATTTTGGATTTTGTTGCAATTGCTTTTGGCATTTCCGTTATGAAGCCTTTGCCCACGCCTATGTACTGAATGGTATTGCCTAGGGTTTCTTCTAGGGTGTTTGTGGTTTTGGGTTTTACATTTAAGACTTTAATCCATCTAGAGTTAATTTTTGCATAAGGTGTAAGGCAAGGTTCCAGTTTCAATTTTCTGCATATGGCTAGCCAGTTTTCCCAGCATCATTTATTTAACAGGAGAGCCTTTCCCCATTGCTTGTTTTTGTCATGTTTGTTGAAGATCAGATGTCGTAGATGTGTGGTGTTATTTCTGAGGTCTCTGTTCTGTTCCCTTGTTTTATATGTCTGTTTTGGTACAGTACCATGCTGTTTTGGTTACTGTAGCCTTGTAGTACAGTTTGAAGTCAGGTAGTGTGATGCCTCCAGCTTTGTTCTTTTTGCTTAGGATTGTCTTGGCTATATGGGGTCTTCTTTGATTCCATATGAAATTTAAAGTAGTTTTTTCTAATTCTGTGAAGAGCGTCAGTGGTTGTTTGATGGGAACAGCATTGAATCTACAAATTACTTTGGGCAGTATGGCCATTCTCATGATACTGATTCTTCCTATCCATGAGCATGGAATGTTTTTCTATTTGTGTCCTCTCTTATTTCCTTGAGTTGTGGTTTGTAGTTCTCCTTGAAGAGGTCCTTCACATCCCTTGTAAGTTGTATTCCTAAGTATTTTATTCTCTTTGTAGCAATTGTGAATGGGAGTTCATTCATGATTTGGGTCTCTGCCTGTCTATTGCTGGGGTAAAGAAATGTTTGTGATTTTTGCCTGGGCGCAGTGGCTCACACCTGTAATCCCAGCACATTGGGAGGCTGAGGTGGGCAGATCACGAGGTCAGGAGTTTGAGACCAGCCTGGCCAATATGGTGAAACCCGTCTCTACTAAAAATAAAAAAAAATTAGCCGGATGTGGTGGCATGCACCTGCAGTCCCAGCTACTTGGGAGGCTGAGGCAGAAGAATGACTTGAACCCAGGAGGCGGAGCTTGCAGTGAGCCGAGATTGTGCCACTGCACTCCAGCCTGGGTGACAGAGCAAGACTCCATCTGGGAAAAAAAAAAAAAGAAATGTTTGTGATTTTTTGCACATCGATTTTGTATCCTGAGACTTTGCCGAAGTTGCTTATCAGCTTAAGGAGTTTTTGGGCTGAGATGATGAGGTTTTCTAACTTTAGAATCATATCATCTGCAAACAGAGACAATTTGACTTCCTCTCTTCCTATTTGAATACCCTTTATTTCTTTCTCTGGCCTGACTGCCCCGGCCAGAACTTCCAATACTATGTTGAATAGGAATAGTGAGAGAGGTCATCCTTGTCTTGTACCGTTTTCAAAGGGAATGCTTCCAGCTTTTGCCCATTCAGTATGATATTAGCTATGGGTTTGTCATAAATAGCTCTTATTATTTTGAGATATATTCCATCAATACCTAGTTTACTGAGAGTTTTTAACATGAAGGGATGTTGAATTTTATTAAAGGCCTTTTGTGCATTTATTGAGATAATCATGTGGTTTTTGTCTTTGGTTCTGTTTATGTGATGGATTACATTTATTGATTTGCATATGTTGAACCAGCCTTGCATCCCAGGGATGAAGCTGGTTTGATCATGGTGGATGTTTTTTGATGTGGTGCTGGATTCAGTTTGCCAGTACTTTATTGAGGATTTTTGCATCAATGTTCATCAGGGATATTGGCCTGAAGTTTTTTTGTTGTTGTTGTTTCTCTGCCAGGTTCTGGTATCAGGATGATGCTGGCTACATAAAATGAGTTAGAGAAGAGTCCCTTCTTTTCAATTGTTTGGAATAGTTTCAAAAGGAATGGTACCACTCCTGTTTGTACCTCTGGTAGAATTCGGCTGTGAATCTGTCTGGTCCTAGGTTTTTTTTTTTTTTGATTGGTAGGCTATTCATTACTGCCTCAATTTCAGAACTTGTTATTGGTCTATTCAGGGATTCAACTTCTTCCTGGTTTAGAGTTGGAAGGGTGTATGTGTCCAGGAATTTATACTTTTCTTCTCAATTTTCTAGTTTATTTGTGTAGAAGCGTTTATAGTATTTTCCGATGGTAGTTTGTATTTCTGTGGTGTCAGTGGTGATATCCCTTTTATCACTTTTTATTGTGTCTATTTTATTTTTCTCTCTTTTTTATTACTCTAGCTAGTGGCCTATTTTGTTAATTTTTTCAGAAAACAAGCTCCTGGATTCATTGATTTTTTTGGAGGCTTTTTCATGTTTCTATCTCCTTCGATTCTGCTCTGTCTTCTGCTAGCTTTTGGATTAGTTTGCTCTTGCTTCTCTAACTCCTTTAGTTGTGATGTTAGGGTGTCAGTTTGAGATCTTTCTGGCATTCTGATGTGGGCATTTAGTGCTATAAATTTCCCTCTTAACACTGCTTTAGCTGTGTCTCAGAGATACTGGTACGTTGTCTCTTTGTTCTCATTGATTTCAAAGAACTTGATTTCTGCCTTAATTTCATTATTTACCTAGGATTCATTCAGGAGCAGGTTGTTCAATTTTCATGTAATTGTGTGGTTTTGAGTGAGTTTCTTAATCTTGAGTTCTAATTTGATTGCACTGTGGTCTGTGAGACTGTTTGTTATGATTTCACTTCTTTTGCTTTTGCTGAGCAGTGTTTTACTTCCAATTATGTGGTCAATTTTAGAATAAGTGACATGTGGCACTGAGAAGAATGTATATTCTGTTGATTTGTCATGCAGAGTTCTGTAGATGTCTATTAGGTTCACTTGATCCAGAGCTGAGTTCATGTCCTGAATATCCTTGTTAATTTTCTGTCTTGTTGATCTGTCTAATATTGACAGTGGGATGTTAAAGTCTCCCGCTATTATTGTGTGGGAGTCTGAATCTCTTTGTAGGTCTCTAAGAACCTGTTTTAGGAATCTGGGTGCTCCTGTATTGGGTACATATATATTTAGAATAGTTAGCTCTTCTTGTTGCATTGATCCCTTTACCATTATGTAATGCCCTTCTTTGTCTTTTTTGCCGTTTGTTGGTTTAAAGCCTGTTTTATCAGAGACTAGGATTGCAACCCCTGCTTTTTTTTTTTTCTTTCTATTTGCTTGGTAAATTTTCCTCCATCCCTTTATTTTGAGCCTACGTGTGTCTTTGCATGTGAGATGGGTCTCCTGAATACAGCACATCGATATGTCTTGACTCTTTATCCAATTTGCCAGCCTGTGTCTTTTAATTGGGGCGTATAACCCATTTACATTTAAGGTTAATATGTTATGTGTAAATTTGATCCTGTCATCATGATGCTCTCTGGTTATTTTGCACACTAGTTGATGCAGTTTCTTCATAACATCATTAATCTTTATATTTTGGTGTGGTTTTTGCAGTGGTTGCTACTGTTTTTTTTCTTTCCATATTTAGTGCTTTCCTCAGGAGCTCTTGCGATGTAAGCATGGTGGTGATGAGTTCCCTCAGTATTTATTTGTCTGTAAAGGATTTTATTTCTCCTTCATTTATGAAGCTTAGTTTGGCTGGATATGAAATTCTGGGTTGAAAATTCTTTTCTTTAGGAATGTTGAATATTGGCCCTCTTTTCTGGCGTGTAGGGTTTCTGCTGAGAGGTGTACTGTTAGTCTGATAGGCTTCCCTTGTAGGTGACCTGGCTTTTCTCTCTGGTTCCCTTTAACGTTTTTCCTTCATTTCAACCTTTGAGAATCTGATAATTTTGTGTCTTGGGGTTGATCTTCTCATGGACTATCTTAGTGGTGTTCTCTGTATTTCCTGAATTTGCATGTTGTCTTATCTTGCTAGGTTGGGGAAATTCTCCTGGATAACATCCTGAAGTGTGTTTTCCAGCTTGTTTTCATTATCCCTGTCTCCTTCATGTACTGCAATCAATTTTAAGTTTGGTCTTTTTATGTAGTCCCATATTTCTTGGAGGCTTTGTTAGTTCTGTTTCATTATTTTTTCTCTAATCTTGTCTGCATGCCTTATTTCAGCAAGGTGGTCTTCAAACTCTGATATCCTTTCTTTCACTTGGTTGATTCGGCTATTGATACTTGTGTATGCGTCTCGAAGTTCTTGTGCTGTGTTTTTCAGCTCCACCAGGTCATTTATGTTCCTCTCCAAACTGGTTATTCTAGTTAGCAACTCCCCTAACCTTTTATCAAGGTTCTTAGCTTCTTTGCATTGGGTTAAAACATGTTCCTTTAGCTAAGAGGAGTTTCTTATTACTCATCACCTGAAGCCTACTTCTGTCAATTTGCCCATCTTATCCTCCGTTCAGTTCTTCACCCTTGCTGCAGAGACATTGCAATCATTTGGAGGAGAAGAGACACTCTGGCCTTACGGGTTTCAGCATATTTTCATTGATTCTTTCTCATCTTCATGAGTTTGTCCAGGTTTGATCTTTGAGGCTGCTAACCCTTGGATGGGGTTTTTGTGGGGACTTTTTTGTTGTTGTTGATGCTGTTGTTGTTGCTTTCTGTTTGTTTGTTTTTCTTTCAAAGGTCAGGTCCCTCTTCTGTAGGGCTGCTGTGGTTTGCTTGGGGTTCAATACAGGCTCTATTCATCTGGTTTGCTCCCGTGCCTGGAGATGCCACTGAAAGAGGCTGGAGAATAACAAAGATGGGTGTCTTCTCCTTCTTCTGGGATCTCTGACCTCAAGGGGCACAAACCTGATGCCAGTAGGATCAATTCTGTATAGGGTGTCTGACAACCCCTGTTGAAGGGTCTTGCCTATTTGGGTGGCATGGGGAACAGGACCCGTTTAACAAAGCACTTTGACTGTCCCTCGATGGAGGTGGTGTGCTTTGCTTGGGGGATACTCACTCATCTGGGCTGCCTTGATTCCTCAGAACTACCAGGAGGAAAGGGTAAGTCTGCTGGTCCACAGAGACTGTGGTGACCCCACCCCCTAGGGGCTCAGGCCCAGGGAGCTCAGGTTTCTGTCCCTGAGCCTCTGGCTAGAGTTGTTGGCCTTCCTGCAGGGAGGCCCTGCCCAATGAGGAAGGATGAGTCAGGGTCAGGCCTGAAGAGGTGCTCTGGCTGCAGTCTGCCACAGCTGGTATGTTGGGCTGTGGGGCACACCTCTTGGAACCAAGCTGTCCAGTCTCCCTGGCTCCAGCAGGGGAAAAGCATGGATTGGATCTATAGAGATGGATGCTGTCCTTCCCCCACCCAGGGAGCTTAGCATGTTAGACAGTTATGAGTCTCAGTGCTGGCTGTTGCCCCTCCCACAAGGAGCTTAAAAGGCTTAGACATCAGGCAGCCACAACTCTGGTGCTGATCCCCCTCCCCCAGAAAACTCAGCAGGCTTAAGCAGATTCTAGCTGAGAGACTGTTGAGAATCTGCATGCCTCCAAGTTTGGGACCCTAGGCCTCAGTTGCATGGATTCACCAGTGGGATCTTCCGATCTATGGGTTGCATGGTTCCATGGGAAAAGCATGTTTTCCCTGGCTGGGTAGCATGCTTACTCACCACCTCCCTTGGCTAAGGGGTGGGGGCTCCCCTGCTCCATGTGGCTCTCAGGTGGGCCACTGCACCACACTGCTCTTCCTTCCTTTCCGTGGATCATGCCGGCTGCCTAGTCAGTTCTGATGAGAGAACCTGGATACCTTGGTTGCAGTACAGGATTCACAACTATTATGGTTCTTTTCTATGGGAGCCTCTGATCGCCACTGCTTCTAGTCAGCCATCTTGGCCCTGGCCCACTGAAGGTATTTTTCTAGACCCTAATTTTATTTCTTAATTTTTTTTTTACGTGAAAATATAATAAAATTATATCATTTTTGGTTTGCTTCGGGATGCTCTCATATTAGTATTTAAGCAAAATTTTCAGAAAAATAATATGATTATGGGACTATATGAGGAAATTGGACTATGTAAAGACTGAGATGCCGCTCAGTCATTCAAATTAATAGCATTATTGCTTCTGGTTGAGATAAACAGAATTCATTAACTCCTGCCAAATAGGAGCAATTTCTGTAGTTTTATTTTTAAACTTCTCAAAGGCGAGTGACCTAATGGTTTCACATGTTTGTGTTATTACGCTTTTATTATAGGAAACATTTTTACATTTACGTTATTAATAGAATTTTTGTCTAATTATGAAGGCATATTAGTGGGTCTTAAATGTTTCCTAAAATGTCTCTAATTTTAGGCATAACCTAGTGATTATTTTTTGTTTCCTTGTTTATTCAGTGTCAAGTACTTACTTAAATGGGCACTGGATATGTAGTGCCAACTAACTAAATACTTCTAGGATTCCATATATATTTTATTTGTGAACACTTATTACATGCCAGTCACTGCTCTCTGGCAGTAGAGACATAATCGTAGAGAAGGTGTAGTTGTTTCTTATTAGGATGTTACTGTCTATGTGGCTTGCCCTGGACAGAGTGACAGAGTACTAAATGACACCCTACTACTCTTCTCACTAGAAGAATGTAAAAATATCCTGCATTCTAGGGTAGAGACATATGTAAATGATTATCATAAATATGAAATGCACTAAACTAGGGTTTATATAAATTTATACATTGCTTGCAGGATGGAAAATGACCTGTGGTTTAAGTAGGGTTGATAGAAGTTATTTGAGCAAGGCTGTCACAGAAGAGTAGACATTTACCCAGTAGAGTGGCAGACCCAAGTGTGAACAGCTATAGTGTGTCTTTGTGAGGATGCATAGCCAGCAGGGGATGCAGTGCATAGGCTGGGATATGGGGACCGCTGGTGGTGAGTGTGCAAGGCAAGGATCAGATTAGCAGGAACTTCATATCCTATACCAAATATGATGGTAATTGTAATTTCAGTAAATCTTTCCAGCCTTTTTAGAATTGTTTTCGTTTCTATTTACCTTATCTCAGTTTTGTGAGTTTTTGAGTTTTTGCTAATGTTGTTGCTTTGTGAAAGAAAACCCCCATAGAGAGGAATTTTCTAGTGAAGGGTTTATATGCCCTGGGGCAAGCTGGAGTGGGCAAAGCTCATTGAGCTTATGGTTTTCAAAACACACACATGATTTAATAGTTAGGAAATGTGCCCAGGAACAGGAAGCACTAAAATACTGAGGGATGGATGCTGAAGTTTCTGCCTGTACTTGCAGGACATTTGGTATCTTGGGAAGGGGGAGAAAGTACTAATGAAGGATGCTGGTGGAATTCTCTGTTTCAGACTGTCATCCTGAGGAGTGTAATGAAGCATACAATCAAGTTGTTAGAGTTTGAAAAGGTTAAAGCAGCTTCAGGGATCACTATTTGTGCTTCTTGGGTACTGGAACGTCATGCCAGTAATAAGCGATATGCAAGCCAAAGACAAAGAAGCAATTAGTTCTCTGCATTGGTGAAAGGCTGCCCAGCTACAGAGTGGATGGGGAAGGCCGTGAATTCTTTTCCTTTGAGGCTGAACTGAGTCACAAAGACTCAAGCCAGTGGTGAGTAAATCTTGTCAGCCTGTCAGTAGCATTTATTGGGTTTCCACCATTTGCTTATCATATAATTAGGTCTAAACAAGTCCTCAAAAGTTTAGAATACATGTTCTATGATGTCAGTAAGTAGCTTGGAGTCAGTAGCCTAACCAAAGTGTACTATGCTTTTGTCAAGACTTAGATTTGGAGTAGACTATATATCTTACAAAACAATACTTTTGACTTGATCAGTAGCAATGAAACTACGAGGGTAGGTAATTTCATGTTGACCATACATTTCTTTCAAGTTGTTGAAATGTTTAAATATTTCACCAATGATTTTGGTGCTTCTAGGATTCCAATTGCATTTTATTTGCGAACAGCTATTATATGCCAGTCACTGCTTTCTAGCAGTAGAGATATAATGGTAGAGAAGAGTTAGTTAGTTCTCTTCAGAATGTTACTGTCTATGGGTCTTGCCCTGGACAGAGTGACAGAATGCTAAATGATACCCTGGTACTCTTCCCACTAGAGAAAACACAGGAGAAATATCTCTGGCAGATCCACCACCGAATCTGTAGAGAACAATCTCTTAAGGCATGGCAGACTCAGAATCCTAGGAGTAGTGGGGCTAGATGGGGGCTCCTCACTACAGTCATTGACCTTGTAAAACCTTCTACTTCTCTAACTTTAAAGTGTACATAAATCACTGTGGGATCTTGTGAAAATGAAGATTCTTATTCTGCAGATCTGGGATGAATCCTGAGATTGTGCATTTCTTCTAGGTGATACTGATGTTTCTGCTCTGTAGACCAAACTCAAAAAATTCCCATTGCATGGAAATATCCTTAGACAAACACTTGACTATGCTATAAATGACTTCAAATCAGTTTTTTTAATTAATAATACATAATGTGGTAAAGTAATAAGGAAAAAATATCCTGGCAAGGTAGAAAGATGTAGTCTCAGAAATACAGTAGTGTGGAAGTGACCTTTCTGAGAAAATAAATCTTGGGGAGGAAACTACAATGAAAGAAGCAAGAAATATTATCAATCAACATTAAAATATGAATGCAGATGAGGCATGTAGCCTGAAGATGACAGTAGATAAATAGCATTTTTTACTCTGGAATTATAAATTATCTTTCATGCCAGCAAACGTCTGTGTTTTCCTGGGTTTCTTGGTTAGTATAGCTTACTGAAAGGGAAACAGAACGTGTAAGCTTTTAAAAGGTAGCAGAAATCATGAGAGCTGCAAAGTCTTCACTAGTATTTGTGCTACTCAGCAAATTTATTATTTGATTCACCTATCCCAAGTTGACACCCTTGGGGGAGGGGAAAGTAGAATTTTTGCAGAGGTAAGTTTCCTAATGACTTTAAAAAATAGATTTACCTTTGGGACTGTTAGACCTAATTGTAAATAAATTCTTGCTGCATTCACATCAGCAGTCCTGGATTAGTTAAGAGCTTTGCTTGTGTGTGCCAAAAACATTTTTCAAAAATGGCTGAAACTATGTAATCAGCAACTTTGAGTTTGATAGAAAATTACACAGAAATCAGGACCCATTTCTCCTTGTCCTAGCACCCTGCACTCAACTACATGATGACTCTTCCTCCTAAGGAAATATTCATTATATCTTCTAAATGCTTACAGATTATTACCATGCTTGCATTTGGCACACTGAACACATTTTGCTCCTTTTCTCTTGTAATCCTTTTTTTGTTTTTTGCATTTTAAATCAGATATCAATACTTCTAGTTCCTGTGATTTTTTTTTTCCCCTTCGAAGTTACAGCAGCTACTCTTTATGAAGACAAAGTACAAGAAACTTTTCCCTTTTGAATGAAGTCTGGAACTTGCTGAAAATACGTCCTTGTACAATGATTTCAACTTGGCTGACTACAACACTGGTGTCCACTGAGGGTTGATGCTTTTAGAACTGAATAGGAACTCAACTCCCTAAACACATCTGAGAAAGGTCTAAAACCAAATCTTCCTTTAAAATATAGATCGTATCTCTGTGTAGTTGTGTTTCTGTACCTTTTAAAAACATTTCCTTTAGGAGTAGACATCAGTAAACAACAGTGAATAGAACAACAAAAAAGTTAAAATATTCTTCAGACCCCTAGGGCAAACACATGTCATTGAAAAAAATCACAATACAGAGAACATGGGTCTAAAAAACATATTATTATCCTATTTTTTCCAACTTTCATAAGGGCAAGATCCTCTTGTAAATACAGGAAGTTTATATTATTACTTCACTCTACAGTGATGTTTCTCAAAGTGTGGTACACTAACTTGGAATGTTTGTTAAAACTGCTGATTCTTGGGCCTCACCCCAGACCTTCGGAATGAAAGTCATTGGATTCTGTATTTTCCATAATCATCCCTAAGTAAATCTTATGTAACTGAAGTTTGAAAACTATTAGCAAACTAGGTAAGAAAGAAAAGTCTACTTGAAGCTTTCCCTGGGAATAGCAAGGAAGCTCTTTAAAGAAGTCTAGGTATTAATTAGCTAAAAGTGCCATATATCTACTCATCTCACCCTAAATTTTTTTTCCTTTTATTTTTTAGTTGACATGTAATAATTTTGTATATTTATGGCATACAGTGCATACAATGTGTAAGGATCAAATCAGGGTAATTATATCCATCACTTAGAACATTGATCATTTGTTTGAGTTGTGAACATTCAATATTCTCTCTTCTAGCTTTTTGAAAATATACACTAAATTATTGTTAACCATATTCACTCTAGAGTGTTAAATAACACTAGAACTTATTCCTCCCATATAGCTGTAACTTTGTATATTTTAACTAGTCTCTCCCTATCTTCCTCTCCTGCCACCCTTCTCATCCTCTAATGATAATAGAGGATAATAATACTATAATAATAAATATAGCTCATAATACTTCTATGAGCTATATTTTTTAGCTCCCATACGTGAGTGAGAACACATGGTATTTATCTTTTTGTGTCTTTCTTATTTCACTTAACATAATGTCCTCCAGGCTCAACTTTGTTGCCACAAATGACAGGATTTCATTATTTTAATGGTTGAATAGTCTTCTATTGTGAATATATACCACATTTTCTTTATCCATTCATCCACTGATGGACATTTAGATTGATTCCATATCTTTGCTATTGTGAATAGTGCTGCAATAAACATGGAGGTACAGGTATCCCTTTGACACATTGATTTCCTTTTCTTTGATAAATACCCAGTAGTGGGATTGCTAGATCATATGGTATTTTTAGTTTTTGGAGAAACCTACATACCATTGTCCATAATGGCTGTAGTGGTTTAATTGGCGCCAATAGTGTTTAAGAGTTCTCTTTTTTCTGCATCCTTACCAGCAATTCTTATTTTTTGCCTTTTTGATAATAGCTTGTCTACCTGGGGTGATGTGATGTTATTTGTATATATGTTTAGATATAAATATATTGGTAAATGTAAGTAAAGTGTTTCCCTGAGTTTTGTGAGCTACTCTAGCAAATTAATCAAACCCAAAGAGGGGATCATGGGAACCCCAACTTAAACCCAGTTCAAGAGAAGTTCTGGAGGACAAATATATTTGTCCATGGTTTTTGGCTTATAACTCCCATATCCCTTGTTACCATTTTTTGTTGTAATGAAGCAGAATCTTAGGACTGTATTTAATTGTGGGTGATAAGACCCTCATTTAAGACAGGGTCCTGCCCCAAACGCTGGAGTAAGAAATGCTGCTCAGAGAGGCCAAGAAGAATCTGTAAAGACAGGCTTTGCTGGGTTTAGAACATACCTTTTACGTCCAGTCACATTTCTACGTGGTTGTCAATCATGCCTATCCAATGACATCTCCATAAAAGGTAAAAGAAGACAGGATTTGGGGAGCTTTCTGATAACTGAACACATGAAGATTACCACAGAGTGGTGTATCCAGGAAAGGCATGGGATCTCCATGCTTCTTCACACATACCTTGCCTTATAATATCTGTATTAGTCTGTTCTTGCACTGCTATAAAGACATACCTGAGACTGGGTAATTTTAAAGGAAAGAGGTTTAATTGGCCCATGGTTCCATGGGCTCATACAGGCTTCTGCTTCTGGGGAGGTCTCAGAAAACTTACAATCATGGCGGAAGATGAAGGGGAAGCAGACACATCTTCACATGGGCAGCAGGAGAGAGAGAGAACAAAGCGGGAAGTGCTACACACTTTCAAACAAACAGATCTCATGAGAACTCTATTATGAGAACAGCAAGGAGGGAGTCTGCCCCCATGATTCAATCACCTCCCACAAGGCCTTTCTTCAAACACTGGGAATTACAATTTGACATGAGATTTGGGTGGGGACACAGAGCCAAACCGTATCAATTTCCTTTATAATAAACTGTTAAATGTAAGTAAATGTTTCCCTGAATTTTGTGAGCTACTCTAGAAAATTAATCAAACCCAAATAGGGGGTCATGGGAACCCCAACCTAAATCCCATTCATCAGAAGTTCTGGAGGCCTGGAGTTGCAACTGGTTTCTGAAGGAGGCAGGACAGTTTTTGGGACTGAGCCCACAACCTGTGGGATATGACATTATGTCCAGTAGATAGTGTTGGAATTGAATTGTAGGACACCCATCTGATGTCTGCACAGAACTGATTGTGCACTTGGTGAATTGCTCCCCTCCCCACTCCCCACACATTTTGTCACAGAAGTCTTCGTCTGTGTTATGATTGTTGTGGTGTGAAAGCAGAGGAAAACTGTTTTTTTTTTCCAAAGAGATGAGATGGTATCTCACTGTGGTTTTGACTTGCATTTCCCTGATGATTAGTAATGTTGAGCTTTTAAAAATATATTCTGGATATTTGTTCCTTGTTAAAGAAATAGTTTGCAGATATTTTCTCGCATTCTAAAGATTGTGTCTTTGCTTTTTTGTTTTCTTTTCCTGTGCAGAAGCTTTTTAGTTTGTTATAGTCCCATTGGTTTATTTCTGATTTTGTTGCCTGTGCTTTTGAGGTCTTAGCCATAAAATCTTTGCCTAGACCAATGTCCTGAAGTGTTTACATATGCTTTTTTTCTACTGGTTTTATAGTTTTGGGTCTTATATTTAAGCCTTTAATCCATTTTGATGGTGAGGAATAGGGATCTAGTTTTCTTCTTCTGCATATGGATACTCTATTTTCCCAACACCGTTTATTGAAGAGAATGTCCCAATGTATGCTCTTGGAATCTTTGTAAAAAATTAGCTGACTGTAAACACATAAATTTATGTCTGGTGTAACTATACTGTTTCGTTGGTCTATATGTCTGCTTTTACATGTTTTGTCATGCTATTTTGGTTGATATGACTTTGTAAGGTAATTTCACACTTTGTCAGGTAGTATAATGTCTTCAGTTTTGTTCTTTTTGTTTAGCATTCCTTTGTCTATTCATGTTTTTTTTTCTTGTGGTTCTATACAAACATTAGGAATGCTTTTTCTATTTCTGACACTGATGTTTTGATAGAAATTGCACTAAATTTGTAGATTGCTGTGGGTAGTGTAATCATTTTAACAATATTAATTATTTCAATTCATGAGTATGGAATGTCTTTACATTTTTGTGTGTGTCCTCTTTAATTTCTTAAATTAGTGTAGTTTTCATTGTAGATATCTTTTACCTCTTTGGTTACATTTATTCCCAGGTATATTAATTTTTGTAGCTATTATAAATGGAATCACTTTCTTGATTTCTGTTTCAGCTAGTTCATTATTGGTGTATAAAAATGCGACTGACTTTTGTATGTTGTTTTTGTATTCTACAACCTCACTGAATTTGCTTATTAGTTTTAAGAATTTTTTCATGAAGTCTTTAGGTTTTTCTGCATATAAGATCATGTTGTGTGCAAAGAACAGTTTGAGTCCGTTTTTATCAATTTGGATTCCCTTAATTTTATTCTCTTGCCTAATTGCTTTGGTTAAAACTTCCAGTATTCTGTTGAATAAAAGTGGTGAAAGTGGACATCCCTTGTTTTGTTCCAGTTCTTAGAGAAGAGTCTTTCAGCTTTTCCCCATTCGGTATGATGTTATTTCTGGGTTTGTCATATATGGTCTTTATTGTGTTGAGGTGTATTTCTTCTATGCTTAATTTGTTGAGAGTTTTTATCATGAAAGCATGTTGAATTTTATCAAGTGCTTTTTCTTCATTTATTAAGATGATTATATGGTTTATTTCCATTCCATTAATGTAATGTATCACATTTACTGATTTGCATATGTTGAACTATCCTTGCATTACTGGGATAAATCTCACTTGATTGGGTGTATTATGTTTTTGATGTGCTGTTGGATTTGGCTTGCTAGTATCTATTGAAGAGCTTTGAAACTATATTCATGAGGGATATTGTTCTGTTTTCTTTTTTTATTGTGTTTTTGTCTGATTTTTTTATCAGGTTAATGCTGGCCTCATAGGATGAGTTAGTAAGAATTCCTTTATCTTCAATTTTTTGGAATAGTTTGAGGAGAATTGGTATTAGTTCACCATTAAAAATTTGTTAGAATTTCACAGTAATGTCATCTGATCATGGGCTTTCTTTTGCTGGAGGATTTATTATAACTAATTCAATCTCATTATTCATTATTGGTCCATTCATGTTTTGTATTTCTCCCTGGTTCAATCTTGGTAGGTTATGTGTGTCAAGGAATTTATCCATTTTCTCAGGTTTTCTACTTGGTTGGTGTATAGTTGTTCATAATAGTCTCAATGATCCTTTGTGTTTCTCTACTATCAGTTATAAAGTTTCCTTTTTTGTTTCTGATTTTATTTATTTGGGTCTCCTCTCTTTTTTTTCTGAGTTTCATTAATGATTTGTTGATTGTGTTTATCTTTTCAAGAAACCAACTTTTCATTTCATTGACCTTTTGTGCTGTTTTTAAAGTCTCTGTTCTGCTTAGTTTTGTGCTGGTCTTTATTATTTATTTTCCTCTACTAATTTGGGGTTTGAGTTCTTATTGTTCCAGTTTTTTGAGGTACAGTGCATCATTAGGTTGTTTATTTGAAATGTTTCTACTTTTTTGATGTGGGCATTTATTACTATAAACTTCCCTGTTAGTAATGTTTTTAATTCCATAGCTTTTGGTATGAGCTGTTTCCATTTTTGTCTGTTCCAAAATGTTTTTTTCTTCATTGATCCAAAGATCATTCAGGAGCATATTGTTTAATTTTTATGTATTTGTATGGTTTCCAGTGTTCCTTTTGTTATTGATTTCTAGTTTTATTCCACTGTGGTCTGAGAAAATACTTGATGTGATTTCAAATTTTGTATTTGTTGAAATTTGTTTTGTGGGATAACATATCCTGGAGAATGTTCCATGTACTGATGCGAAGTATGTGTATTCTGCAGCTGTTGGATGAAATTTTTTGTAAATGGCTGTTAGGTCCATTTGGTCTATAGCACAGTTTGAGTCCAATGTTTCTTTGTTGTTTTTTTCTCTAGGTGATCTGTTCAATGCTGAAAATGAGATATTGAAGGCCTCAGCTATTATCGTACTGGAGTTTATCTCATTCTTAAGCTCTAATAATATTTGATATTTGGGCAGTATTGGGAGCATATATATTTGCTATTGTTTTATCATCTTGCTGAATAGATCTCTTTATCACAGAATGGCTTTCTTTGTTTCTTTTTATGTTTTTGACTTAAAGTCTATTTTATGTGATATATGCTTGCTTTTCTTCATACTTTTGTGTTTTTTTTTCACATGGAATATCATTTTCCATCCTTTCCCTTTCAGTTTGTTTATCTACAGATCAAATGAGTTTCTTGTAGGTAGCAGACAGATGGATCTTGTTTTTTTTTTTCTTTTTTTTAATTCATTCAGTCAGTCTATACCTTTTAATTGGGGAATTCAAATCATTTACCTTCAAGGTTGTCATTTTGTGTGAGGAATTAGTCCTGCTATTTTGTTAGATGGTTTCTGGTTGTCTTGCATATAATTTTTTCCTTTCCTCCTCACTTACAGTCTTTGCAATTTGGTGGTTTTCTGTGCTAATAATGTTTGATTCTTTTTTATTTCTTATTTGTGCATCTGCCCTATCAGGAAGTTTTATACTTTTGTGTGTTTTAGTGATGATAGATGGTTGATTGTCCTTTTGCTTCCAGAGGTAGAATTCCTTTAAGTATTTCTTGTAGTACTAGTCTAGTTGTGATGAATTCTCTCAGTTTTGGCCTATCTGGGAAACACTTTATTTCTCCTTCATTTCTGTGGGACAGCTCTGCTGGATATAGTATTTTTGGCTCACAATTATTTTTTCAGCACTTTGAATATATTATCTCCTTCTCTCCTGGTATGTAAAGTTTCTAATAAGAAATCTGCTGTTAGTCTGATGGAGATTCCCTCATATGTGACTTGGTGATATTTCTTTTGCTGTTTTTAGAATTCTGTCTTTGTCTTTGACTTGTGACAGTTTTCCTATAATGTGCCTCAGAGAGGACCTTTTTGGGTTGAATCTGTTTAAAGACCTTTGAGCTTTCTGTATCTAAATGTCTATATGTCTTACAAGACTTGGGACGTTTTCAGCTATTATTTTACTAAATAGGTTTTCCATGTCTTTTCTCATCTCTTCTGCTGGATTCCCAAAATTCAAATATTTGTTTTCCTGATGGTGCCCCATATGTCACACTGAATTTTCATTCTTTTAAGTTATTTTTTTCTTTGTCTGACTGAGTTATTTCAAAAGACTTGTCTTCAAGTTCAGAAATTATTTGTTCTGCTTGATCTATTATATTGTTGAAGCTTGCAATTATATTTTTATGTCATTCATTGTTTTCTTCAGTTCCAGAATTTGTGTTTGGTTCTTTTTTATGATATTTATCTTGTTGTTAAATTTCTCATTCAGATCATGATTTGTTTTTCTAATTTCTTCGTATTATGTATCTGTATTATCTTGTATCTCGCTGAGATTTCCTAAGATTATTATTTTGAATTCTTTTTAGGCATTGCATAGATTTCCTGTTATTTAGGATCTTTTACTGAAGAATTATTGTGTCCCATTGGGGTGTTGTGTTTCCTTACTTTTTCATGTTTCTTGTGTTTTCATGTCAATATATACACATCTGGTGTAACAGTCACTGATTACATTTTTTTAAAAATTATACTTTACGTTCTGGGGTACATGTATGGAACGTTCAGGTTTGTTACATAGGTATACACGTGCCATGGTGGATTGCTGCACCCATCAACCCGTCACCTACATTAGGTATTCCTCCTAATGCTATCCCTCCCCTAGTCCCCCACCCCCTGACAGGCCCTGGTGTGTGATGTTTCCCTCCCTGTGTCTACGTGTTTTCATTGTTCAACTCCCACTTGTGAGTGAGAACATGTGGTGTTTGGTTTTCTGTTCTTGTGTTAGTTTGCTGAGAATGATGGCTTCCAGCTTCATCCATGTCCCTGCAAAGGACATGAACTCATTCTTTTTTATGGCTGCATAGTATTCCATGGTGTATTTGTGCCACATTTTCTTTATCCAGTCTATCATTGATGAGCATTTGGGTTGGTTCCAAGTCTTTGCTATTGTGAACAGTGGCACAATAAACATACATGTGCATGTATGTTTTTTTAGTAGAATGATTTATAATCCTTTGGGTAGATACCCAGCAATGGGATTGCTGGGTCAAATGGTATTTCTAGTTCTAGATCTTTTAGGAATTACCACACTGTTTTCCACAGTGGTTGAACTAATTTACACTCCCACCAACAGTGTAAAAGTGTTCCTGTTTCTCCACATCCTCTCCAGCATCTGTTGTTTCCTGACTTTTTAATGGTCACCGATTTCATTTTTAAAGAGTAGCTTTTATAGGGAAACATCTTTTCCTGTAGATGTATCTATAGTGTCAGTTGGGTAGGGTATTTTGGCTTTGGTTCTGGATGGGTCCTGCAGTGTAGTCTCTGTGTTATTATTTTTTTTCTACTGTAATCAATGTCATCGGTTTCTGGAAGTTCCTCAGTGAGTTAGGTTGCAATTGTTTCTGGAGGCTGTGGTGAGGATCTGCTGGGGAATGGATCACTGGGTGGGCCAGACCTTAGGCCCCTGGGTGGCATGGTTGGGTACTGGCTGTGGTGGTCGTGGGCCCTGGATGAGATCCCTAAGCCACTTCTTGTTGTATATAGGCATGTGCAGTGGTGGTAGAAGCCCCAAATGCACAGTCTTCAGGTTCCCGGGAAATGCATGCAGGCATTGGTGGTAGCAGCAGCAGGCCTTGGGCAGATGTGTCCAGGGGCTCCAGCTGGGCCATATGGTTGTAGTGGTAGCAATGGGCCATGTGGACCCCTTTTTGGGCTCTTGGGTGATATGGACAGGTGCCATTGACAATGGGCTGAGTGATGACAATGGGCTGAGTGCACTGGTCCATGGGACTCTGGGTGGTTTATGTGGGTTCCTGTGGTGGTGTCAATGGCTTGGATGGGATGGGTTTTATACCCCTGGGTGGCATGCATGGGTGTGTGGTGGCCTTGTTGCTGGAGGCGGCAGGGTCAGTATCAGTGGCAGTGGCCCCAGTCAGGTTATGTTCAGGTTCTGGGGATTTCATGCTTACCTATTCCCTGTGGCAGCCTCCCTGGGGTACTGGACCATTTGCTCCCTGGGGTGTAGGGAGCTGTGTGGGTTCAGATGCTAGGGATACAGTCACACTGCTGGGTTTAGTACATAACACAACACTGAAGCCCTCTGAATGGATGTTGAGGGGGGATGTCATCATGGCCCACCAGGATTGTGGGGGAATGCAGGAGCTGTTGGACCCCAGAGCAGAAAGTAGTCTGTTGTTGGCTCAGACCTCAAAATGGTGTCATTATACAGCTTCTTGGGTCTCAGAGGATGTGGGTGGGACGTAGAATGAATTCTCTTTCTGAGACAGTGTAGTGGTGTAGACTAAGAAGTTCCCTGTACCAGCTTAGGGCAAGTGAGGGCTGAGGTGTTGTCCTGTAGCTAATATTGCAGGCATTGGTGGTGGAAATGTGAACTGTTGGGGATCTCTTGCTTTTCTTTTCCTTGCACTAGAGAGTCACTCCTGGCTCTGAGCCAATCCTTGCCCTGGCTTTTCTTTCCTCTTTATACTGTCATTTTGAGTTTTTATATGTCAGAGGGTTCCTGTCACTTTCCTGCTGAATTCTAGCATTCTCCTTTGGCACTCTATTCAATGTATTGTTATCTTCTTGTTGTTTTGGTCCTTCTTTGTGGGGGAGACAAATGTTGGGTGCCTTTAGTCAGCCATCTTGATGGCATCTCTCCCACCCTAAATTTTCAGAAACTTTCCCCATATTCAGGTACCCCATGAAAGTTTGTTTCTAAATTCATCAGTTGTTTAAACAGGTAAATAAAAGCGCTGAAACTTCTTTTCAAGCACATTACTATCTTGAATCTTGACTTATATTTTGAAAAACATAGTAGAATTTAGTTGAATAATACTATTATAATAAACACATATATTTTATAATTATGTGTTTATATATGTATATATGTTTATATACGTATATATCTATATAAAACACATATATTTTATAATAAATGTTTACCAAACTGGTTTTCATAGCTTTATTTATTTGTTTTTCAATTGTGTAATAGAACTAACTATTCTCAAACAAAACCTCACATGGAAATTAAATATGTAAAAGAGATAAATATAGATTTTCCTTGGTTGAAGTATGTGTATGTGTGTGTGTGTATGTGTGGCGTATTGGGGATGATGAGGTCCAGAGCCTATTCACTCAGTTACCATTTCATTATTCTAGAGACTGTTGGCAAACAATAGCCAGTGGACCAAGCCCTAGCACTTCCTGTTTTTATAAACAAAGTTTTATTGAACACAACCATGGCCACTTATCTGTGTATTTATATATATAGCTGCTTTCATGCTAAAACATTGAAGTTGAATATTTGAGACAGAGAGCGATTTAGAACAAACTTAAATAAAATATTAACTGTTCCTTTACAAAAAATGTTTGCTGACCACTTTTCTAGGGAGAATGGTTTTGAAATGCACACTTCATTGGCCTTGGGGTTTCTTGAACCCTTGCAGGTCATTTGTGTGCACAGTAAGTATTTACTACTCTTTCCAGATTTATTAATTTCTATGTGTTCCATGCCTTGGAAATATAAGAAAACCCTTCATTAGGAGAATGATTCAGCTACTGTAGAGCTGGCCTTGCATCACCTAGTATATTAAGTGATAATAAATGATGCAATGCCTTATGGGGGATACTTGGGAATTTTTCTTTCCAGAATTTTTCAGTTTGGTTTGGTTTTATATTTTCTCAAACAAAGATTTTGGTTTGGTTGATTTTTCTCCATTGAAGATTTTACTGACTATATTTTATGCTAAAATAACATCAATGTTTTCCTTTTTTTTTGTCTTTAGCTACTTGGAGGTGGGTTCTCTCCTTCCATCTCCAACCAGTGACTAGAGTAATCTGAGATTTGGAGATAAAGATGATAGAAAACTCATCTCTCTTTCATGTTTATTTTCCTATGTTAAGAACAGGCGACGAAAATACGTGAATGGTTTCATCAGTAATGGGTCCTAGTGACAAGAAACTACAACTTAGTCATTTATATCTCAGAAGTTTTGTTTTAACCAATCCACATTATATTTCTTTCTTTTTAAAAATTTCAGCTTTTACTTTTGATACAAGGGGTACGTGTGCAGGATTGTTACATGGGTATATTGCACCTAGGTACTAAGTATAGTACCCAATAGGTAGCTTTTCAACACATCCCCTTTTAATAGTCCACAGGGTCTATTGTTCCCATGTTTATCCATGTATGCTCAATGTGTAGGTCCTACTTATAAGTGAGAACATAAAGTATTTGGTTTTCTGTTCCTGCATAAATTCACTTAGGATTGCGGCTCCCTCTTTGTTGCTGCAAAGGACATGATTTCATTCTTTTTTATGGCTGTGCAGTATTCTAAGGCATAGATGTATCATGTTTTTTTAAATTCAGTCCACCATTGATAGGTACCTAGGTTGAGTCCATGTCTTTCCTATTGTGAGTAGTGTGCAATGAACATGAGTACATGTGTCTTTTTGATATAATGATCTATTTTCCTTTGGGTATACACCCAGTAATGGGATTACTAGGTCCCATGGTAGTTCTGTTTTAAGTTCTTCAAGAAATCTACAAACAGCTTTCCACAGTGACTGAACTAGTTTGCATATCCCCCAATCATGTATAAGCATTTCCCTTTCTCTGCAGTCTCACCAACATCTGTTGTTTTTTGACTTTTAAATAATAGCCATTCTGACTGGTATAAGATGATATCTCATTGTGGTTTTGACTTGCATCTTTCTAATGATTAGTGACAATGAGTATTTTTTATATGTTTCTTGGCTGCTTGTGTATGTTATCTTTTGACAAGTGTCTGTTCATGTCCTTTGCCCATTGTTAAAATGCGGTTATTTGCTTTTTGCTTGTTGATTTGTTTAAATTCCTTATAGATTCTGGATACTAGACCTCTGTTGGATGCATAGTTTCAAATATTTTCTTCCATTGTGTAGGTTGACTGTTTACTCTGTTGATGGTTTCTTTTGCTGTGCAGAAGCTCTTTAGTTTAATTAGGCCCCACTTGTCAATTTTCATTTTTGTTGTAATTGTTTTTAGGGACTTAGCCAAAAATTCTTTGCCAAAGCCAATGTCAAGAAGGGTATTTCCTAGGTTTTCTTTTAGAATTTGTATAGTTTGAGGTCTTACATTTAAATATTTAATCTTTCTTGGTTAATTTTTGTATATGGTGAAAAGTAAGTGTCTGGTTATATTCTTCTGCATATGCCTAATAAATTTTCCCAGCACCATTTTTTGAATAGGGAGTCCTTTCCCCATTCCTTTTTTTTGTTGGTCTTGTAGAAGATCAGATGGTTATAGGTGTGCGGTTGTATTTCTGAGTTTTCTATTTTGTTCCATATGTCTGTTTATGTACCAGTACTATGCTGTTTTGATTACTGTAGCCTTATACTATACTTTGAATTCAGGTAGTTTGATGCCCCTGGCATTGTTCTTTTTGCTTAGAATTTCTTTGGCTATTTAGGCTTTTTTGGTTCCAAAATAATTTGAAATAATTTTAGAATAGTTTTTTTTTTTCTAACTCTGTGAAGAATGATGTTGGTGATTTAATAGGAATGGTACTGAGTCTGTAAATTGCTTTGGGCAGTATAATCATTTTTATGATATCAATTCTTCCAATTTTCCATTTATTTGTATCATCTCTAATTTCTTTCAGCAATGTTTTGTAGTTTCCCTGGCAGAGATCTTTCACCTCCTTACTTAGCTATATACCTAGGTATTTCATTTTCTTTGTGGCCATTGTGAATGGGATTGTGTCCTTGATTTGATTCTCAGCCTTGATGTTATTGGTGTACAGAAATGCAACTGATTTTTGTAAATGGATTTTGTATTGTGAAACCTCACTAAAGTCATTTATCAGTTTTAGTCACCTTTAGGTGGGGTCTTTAGTGTTTTCAAGGTATGGAATCATATCATCTATGAAGAGACATAGTTTGACTTCTTCTTTTCCTATTTGGATGCCTTTATTTCTTTCTCTTCCTGATTGCTCTGCCCAGCACCCCCAGTACTATATTGAAGAGGAATGGTGAGAATGGGCATCTTTGTCTTGTTCAGTTTCTCAAGAGGAATGCTTCCAGCTTTTATCCTTTCAGTATGATACTGGCTGTGGGTTTGTCATACATTGCTCTTATTATTTGGAGGTATGTTCCTTCAGTGCCTAAGCTGTTGAGGGTTTTTATCATGAAATGATGTTGGATTTTATCAAAAGCTTTTTCTGCATCTCTTGAGATGATCATATGGTTTTTGTTTTTAATTCTGTTTATGTGGTGAATCACATTTATTGATTTCTGTATGTTGAACCAACCTTGCATGCCAAGAATACAGCTTACTTGATTTTAGTGAATTAATATTTTGATGTGGTACTAGATTTGGTTTGCTAGTATTTTGTTGAGATTTTTGTGTCAACGTTAATCAGGGATATTAGCCTGATGTTTTCTTTCTTTGTCATGTCTCTTTCAGATTTGTTAGATTTGGTATTAGGCTGATGCTGGCTTCATAGAATGAATTAGAGAGGAATCCCTCCTCCTCAACTTTTTGGAATAGTTTTAGTAGGACTGGTACTAGTTTTTCTTTGTACATTTGGTAGAATTTGGCTGTGAATCCATCTGGTCCAGGGCTTTTTTTTAGTTGGTAGGTTTTTTACTACTGATTCAATTGCAGAGTTCAATATTGGTCTATTCAGAGTTTTAATCTCTTCCTGATTAAATCTTGAGATATTGTGTGTTTCCTGGATTTATCCATTTCCTCTATATTTTCTAATATGTGTGCACAGAGTTGTTCATAGTATTCTCTGAAGATCTTTTGTATATTTTGTATTTCTGTAGGATGAGTGGTAATGTCATCTTTGTAATTTTTGAGAGTACTTATTTGTATCTTCTCTTTTTTATTTGTTAATCTGGCTAGCAGTTTATTGATCTTGTTTATTTTTTCAAGAAACCAACTCTTGGTTTCACTGATCTTTTGTATGGATTTTTGCATCTTAATTTCATTAAGCTCCTCTCTAATTTTAGTTGTTTGTTTTCTTCTGCTAGCTTTGGGATTTGTTTGTTCATTTTTTTCCTAGTTACTTTAGGACAAAATGTTGATAGTTAATTTGAAATCTTTCTAACTTACTTCTTGATACCAGTGTTTAGGGCTATAAACTTTCCTGTTAACATGCTTTATCTGGATCCCATGTGCAGATGAGAAGAATGAATTTTCTGTGGTTGTTGAATGGAGTGTTCTGTAGATTTCTCTTAGGTCCAGTTGCTCAAGTGTCAAGTTTAAGTCCAGGGTCTTTTGGTTAGTTTTCTGGCTTGATGATCTGTCTAATGTTGTCAATTGGGTGTTGAAGTATCCCACTATTATTGTGTGCTTGTCTAAGTCTTTTCATAGGTTAGGAAGAAATTGTTTTATGAACTGGGTGCCCCAGTGTTGGGTGTGTATATATTTAGAATAGTTAAGTTTCTTGTTGGATTGTACCCTTTATCATTATGTGATGTCCTTCATTGCTTTTCTTAATTTTTATTGGTTTAATGACTGTTTTATCTGATATAAGAATAGCGACTCCTGCTCTTTTTTTTTTTTGTTTGTTTGCATGGTAGCTCTTTTTCCATCCTTTTACTTTGAGCCTGTAGGTGTCACTGCATGGGAGATGGGTGTCTTAAAGACAACAGATTGTTGGGTCTTGTCTTTTTATGCAGTTTGCCGCTCTGTGACTTTTAAGTGGTTTGTTTAATCCATTTACATTCATGGTTAGTAGTGATATGTGTGATTTTGATCAGGTCATTGCATTGTTAGCTGGTTGTTATATAGACTTGATTGTATAGGTGCTTTATACTGCCTGTGAGCTATGTGCTTAAGCGTGTTTTTGTGGTAACAAGTGTCATTCTTTTGATTCCATATTTAGCAATCCCTTAAGGATCTTTTTGTAAGGCTGGTCTAGGTAAAATGTATTCCCTCTGAATTTGCTCATCTGAGAAGGATTTTACTTCTCCTTCACTTATGAAGTTTAGGAGAAATTCTTGATTGGAATTTCTTTCCTTTAAGGATGCTGAAAATAGGCCCTCAATCTCTTCTGACTTATACAAGTTCTGCTTAGATGTCTGCTGCTAGCCTGATGAGGTTATCTCTTTATGTGACTTGACCCTTCTGTCTAGATGCCTTTAAGCTTTTTTCTTTTGTATTGACCTTGGTGAATCTTGTGAACACGTGCCTTAGGGCTGGCCATCTTGTATAGTATCTAGCTGGGGTTCTCTGCATTTCTTGGATTTGCCTGTCAATGTGCCTAGTGAGATTAAGGAAGTTTTCATGGACTATATCCTCAAATATAGTTTCCAAGTTGCTTATTCTTTCTTCTCTCTCAGGAATGCTAATGAATTGTAGATTTGTTCTCTTTACGTAATCCCATATTTCTCAGAGGTTTTATTCATTTTTAAAAAATTCTTTTTTCTTTATTTTCATCTGACTGAATTGATTTAAAGAACCAGTCTTCAGGCTCTGGGATTCTTACCTCAGCTTGGTCTATTCCACTGGTAATACTTTTAATTGTATTATGAAATTCTTGCAGTGAGGTTTTCAAACCTCAAAAATAGCTATTTTAAGAAAGAACCAAAGTAAACTAAAAGTTTTTTTTCTTTCAGCTCTTGGATCATTTTACTGGATTCCTTGGATTGGGTTTTAACTGTCTCCTGAATTTTGATGGGCTTCCTTGCCATCGAATCTGAACTTTATGTCAATCATTCTAGTCATTTTAGACTGGTTAAGAACTATTGCTGGGGAGCTAGTGTACTTATTTGGAAGTAAGGGGACATTTTGGCTTTTTGAATTGCCAGAACTCTTTTCTTCTCATCTGGTGGTCGGGGGGGTGGGGTTGGTGTTCTTTTAATTGTGGTGAAAGTTGAGTATAGTCAGTTGGCTTCATTTATGAATGCTTTTAGAGGGCCAGGGCTCTGTACAGTATCTTTATGTGTGGGTGAATTCTTGAACTTGGTTTCACAGGTGTATGTATTAGCAGGATAATTTTTGTTGTTGTAGTTTGGACTGTGATCCAGTAGATGGCAGTTAAGTGTAATGGCTGGTAGCTAGGTTAATACCCAGCCATGGGGCTCTTTTGTATTTCCTTGTCTTTGCAGTGATGCTCTGTTGTTGTTGTGGTGGAGGGAGAGATGGTCCCTCGTCAGATCCACTCCTGGGCCTTGGTGGATCTCCCTCTGAAGACTTGCACTGCATGTGCACTTCTTTTGTTAGGTCTCCTGGGCTGTGGGGCCCTGTCAGGTAGAAGCTGCAGCAGGGAGATATGCCATAACCTTTCTAAACTGGCCCTATGGAGGACACACACCCTACTCTGCCCTGGCCTGAGAACCTGCACATCTCTCCCCTCTCAGTGGTCTGAGGGTGCAGCCTCCTCCACAGCTCTAGTGCTGGCCACAGATCTTGGCTTCATACTTCCAAGCTGTGCACCACAGTCCTGGGGCACCAGGATGCCTTGTGGCTCGCAGTCAGGTTCTAGCTGCACTAGGGGATCCATTGTGCTCCTGGGTCACTGGGAAAGTACTCAGGTGCAGCACTGCACTCAGGCTGGGCTTTAGGGGCTGTGCTGTGCACTCACTTCTACAGGGCAGCTAGGCATGGGCCCTGGGAGGAGCTGCCAGGCAGAAGACGTCACCGAGCAGATGTCCCAGTCCCCCAGCGAAGCTGGCTCCACTCTCTCCTGGCTTGGAGGACAGTTAGGTCATGTGCCTACTGGAGGGGGATGAGGAGCCCTGGGTGATGGGTGTCTATGGCCACTCTCTGCTGGAGCTGCCCAATGCACAAAAGCTCCCAGGCCCCACACTGTCTGAAGACCTATTTCTGCCTGTACCCCAGGGAGATTTCCCCTGCCAGCTCATACATCCATGGGGGATGTGGGGTCCCCTTATAGCTAGGATCCCAGAGGTCCACGGTAAAAGTGAGCAGTCCCCCAGTTCCCTCACTCACCCCTTTCCCAGAAGCCATTCTGGGCCAGAAACTTGCCCTGGTGTTCAGGTACCCCATGCAGGGTTCACAGCTTCCTCCGACTTCAGCCTCAGCTTCACCATTGCCTCTCCATCCACTCTTGGCATTTTCTCTCCAAAGATCTGCTAAAATATGGTGGTTTATTTGATAATTTGGATTCTTTTGGTTGGAGCAAGACTTCCTGGCTGTGTCTAGTCAGGTATCTTGTCTGTCACCCTCACCCCAGCAGCACTTTTTCTTTTTTTTTAGAGACAGGGTCTCACTCCGTCACCCAGGTTGGAGTGCAGTCGCACAATTATAGCTCACTGCAACCTCAAATTTTTGGGCACAAGTAATCCTGGGCCTCAGCCTCTTAAGTAGCTGTAATTACAGAAATGGCTATCATATAATATGTTTCTTTTAGTCTCCATGATATACATTTGTTTAATCAGTGATATTACATGACTTAATTATGATTCTCCACTATGTCTTGTATATGACAGCAAACCTGCCTTTGAAAACTTGTTCCTCAAAGGTAACAATTTTGATCACTCTTGCAGTAGATGGAAGGCAAAGTATATATATTTTCTAATTGAATGTATCATTTCTCCATAACAAAGTCACACAAAGCATGGTCATACGATGGAAAATACACTAAACTGTAGGTTTTTTAAAAAATGTTTTATTTATTTATTTTTCAGTAGAGATGGGGTTTTACCATGTTGCCCAGGGTGGTCTTGAACTCTTGGGCTCAAGCGATATGCCTACCTTGGCCTCCCAAAATGTTGGAATTACAGGCATGAGCCACCACATCTAGCTAATTTTTAGATTCTTCAAGAGGATCTATTTAGTTCCATTCCATTTTATTTAACAAGTACTTTTGAATTAACAACTATAAAATACTAGGCTTGTTGATATAAGTAAAATAAAGTCATATATGACTGTTATCCACGGTCCAAAATAACATTATGGCATAAGATTAGGTGGTTCCTGGCTGGTAGTACATTAGGCTTAGTCAAAATCTTTCTAGTATAAGCTATAAGAGACACTATGGAAGTCTTCATGTACAATACTTTTAACAAACCCAATTCAAGTCTTAATTCTAAGTGCTATTCCCTAGTACTGATGTCCTGAATGTCATAGCCTGTTGCTGTTCATAATTGCTTTTGATGGAGCTTAAGACAGCATGACCTTTTCCTCCCTGGGTCTTATCACCACAGTTTTACCCTTAAATCTTGTTCTGGATTCATAAGAAGACCCAGGTTAGTAGCAGAAATAGCCCACGACAGTGCCTCAACTATCAGGACAGAAAATGGAATTAATTACTCCTGATAGTACTTACACTTCTGAAACAGAGACTTATTTACTTATTGGGCATATGAAGGACCAAGATTGAAGTAGAGGTACCAACCACTTATTCCCTTAATATTCACCTCTAGACTCAAGGTAAAATAAGTTTGCTGTCTAGGTATCCTTCTTTAATGAAACTGGCTACCAATAGGTGCCATATCCGTCAAGCCTTTTGGACTGCAACTTATCTGTTGCTGGGCTTCTATTCAGAAACCAAAGAGTTGACTTAGTTTTCAAAGCATCATCCGAAGGAGAGAAGTGTGCTAGTCAGAGGCCAGTTTCTGGTTCTCCCAGTGATTTCTCAGTCCCTTTTTACCAGAGGAGAGAGGCTGATCCTCACTAATCCACTTCATCAAACTGGTCACATCAGAAAAAAACTACCTCCTAACCAGCTTGTTTCTTCTGCTTGAGAATGTTCTAGAAACAGAGATACTTCTTATTGAATCCTTTGCCTTTTTTAGCAGAGCAAAATATAGTAAATCTAAAATAAAAATAGAAAAGATCTGTTGCTATTCATTTTCTTCTCTCAAATAAATATAAACCTAAATATTTTCAAAAATTTCAGGTACTTATTTTCCTTTTTCCTTAGGTATGATAGTCAAAACAGTACATTTAAAGAAATCCCTTTGTTCTTTAGCAGTTTATAGTCTGTTAAGGGAGATAATACTGCAATAATACATGCTAGATGAATGGTACTGTCAGGAAATGACAAGTATTCCACCAGTTGACAGCTTCTCTTACGGGGATAATAGGATGTTTCCTCTTCCACAGAGATGCACAATCTCAGCCAAGAGGAGATGTTTGGGGTCTCTCAGTGGACACAAGATACTAGGAAGGGTTAAAACATATCAAGTAGTTATTAATTTCCACATTTCATTAAAACGGAATTTCACTGGGAAATAAAGAGGAATGAAAACTGTAATTGTAGCAGATTTTTATCAAAATAGAAAAATAAAAGTTTCTTTTCAGTCAATCAGAAATTTCCCAGCTCGCCTTCTACTTTTCACAATACACCCTCTCCTTCACTGATGAATTTACTTCCCTTAGCCACTGTTACTCATGTAGCAATTTACAAAAAAGGCTTTCATAGTTAAACAGAGTATTTTTCTATTAAAAAAAATCCTACAGCATTGAAGTAGGAGCATCTTTCCCTTCTCCTTCTTCAAACCTTTCTCCATCCTCGATGGTAATTTTCTAATTGCACCCATTCTTTATATGTCCCTCTGTGCCTTCTTAGCAGTTCTCCAGGTGGTTAGAAATGTTATTTGAAAGACACAGATACAGATGCATGTTATGCAATTAATAGGCCTTCACTAAGTGGAACCAATAGACCATTACAATGAATCTATGCTGTCCACACTATCTCTCTTCATCTTTCTCTCTCCAGCAATAACCTGACCAAATGGCTAAAGAGATATGAAAACCTGTCTCTTTATCCCACTCTGTTTTAAGTGCCAAAGAAGAATAGGGCACAGATAATGAATTTGTACTTTCAGCAACAAATGTACAAATTCTTCCATTCCAAGTATGCCTCCTGTCGAGGCTGCTGAATCAGGAGTTGCACCATTTACAATAGGAAATGGAATAATTTCCCTACTTCAACCCAGGGAGAGGCCGTATCCTGCAATAAATGGTCTGGCCGTATAAATAATAAAGTAAAAATGGGCCTAAAGCTGCCTGGATTTTTGTTTGCAGGAAATAGGATAACTCTAAGCAATTTATGGTACTGCTTCCCAGCTAGAGTCCAAGGGCTATTTAGTTAGTAATGGCAATAACAGGAATGGCTTCATGTCAAGATAGAGCCACAAGTACTAGGCAGAAAGGGAGCAACAAATATTAAAAGAAGTCAACTGCCAGCACGAGTTGATTGCAACTTGTGGCACTGGGGAAAATGGAGCATGCCAGGAGCATTAGCAGTGAGAACCAGCCATCGAAAAACCTCGGAGGCCAATAACAACTCAAATCCCTTGAACCCTGACTTGCTGAGGAAAGAGACAAAGAATAATTTATGAGCACTGGAGGCCTGATCTGTTAACACATTATTATTTTTGTCAGTCAGAGTAATTACTGACCTGAAAATACTACGGATATGCATTAAGAACAACATTCCTGGAGTGACTGCATGAAGTACAAATGCAGCAACAAATCCTCAATATTCCCTAATATCAGATTCCATTCTCAATATTATTTAGTAGCTCCCACTTACTGAGCACTTACTATGTGTGGGTGTTACAAAAGATTTGCATGTTTTATCTCATTCAGTGCTCACCATGACCTTATGAGGTAGGCACTGTTATTAGCTTCATTTTACAGATGAGTAAGTAAAATAAGCACAAGAGACTATGCCACTTAGCCAAGGAAACAAACAAAATTGGTAAATGTAGATTCAGGAGTCAGACCCAATTCTGTCTGACTTCGGAGCTTGAGCCTGAATAACTATCTCATATTGTCTCATGTAATAAAAAAAAAAAACAAATAATTATAGCATCCTCAGCTGACATGTTTTACATGCTTAATATACACTAAACATTGGGCTAAATGTTTGTTTGTTTTTTGTTTTTGAGATGGAGTCTTGCTTTGTCACCCAGGCTGGAGTGCAGTGGCACCATCTCGGCTCACTGTAACCTCTGCCTCCTGGTTCAAGTGATTCTCCTACCTCAGCCTCCTGAGTAGCTGGGTTTATAGGCACCTGCCACAACACTTGGCTAATTTTTGTATTTTAGGTAGAGAAGGGGTTTCACCATGTTGGCCAGTCTAGTCTCAAACTCCTGACTTCAAATGATCCACCTGCCTTGGCCTCCCAAAGTGCCAGGATTACAGGTGTGAGCCACCGTGCCTTGCTTGGGCTAAATGTTTGAATAAACTGGGATAGGATAACCCCTGTAACAAACAACCCCAAATCCTTTGTGTATTTTAATATAATACAAGTTTTTTTTCTTTTTTCTTTGTTTTGCTACCACATGTCACAGGCCAATGAGGCAAGCAGAAGGTAGGTGTGGGTGGTTCCATGCAGTCATTCAGAGAACCAGGCTTCTTCCTAGTGAATATTCAACATGTGTACTCCAAAGTTACCATAAAAAGAAAGAGTGAGAGATTATGAGAAAGGCACACCTAATCTTAACTGCCTTAGCCCAAAACTGACCCAACCCTTGGGGTCATGTCTTATTGTTGATAACTAGTTACTTGGCTCACCTAGATATATGGTTGCTGCAAAACAGAGTTTGTGCCCAAGAGGAGTAACACATTTGGTGAGTGTCTAGCTAGTTCCTGGCACAGTATTTTACCTGCATTAGTTCATACTTCACACAACTTTATGAAGTTATTCTTTTCATGATAAAAATGAGGAAACAGATACAGAGAGGTTTCATTTTCTCAAGATCAAACAAGTAGTTGTTAGAGGTGGGATTATGGTGGAGGGGGAATGAAAAAGAGATTCTCACACATGACAAAAATAAACATTTGTAAGCATTCTTTATCTTGTATCTGTTGATAATTTCATGGAATTATCACCAACAATTTCCTCTGTAGTTATTTCCTATATCCAAAAAGTAGTTCTCTAGCTCTGCTCACTTATTGCAATTCCCTGAAATAACTTTTTCTTTGTTATCTCAGGGCTTTTGTATAACCTGCTGTTCTATTGTTTTTTGACTTGAGCCACTTTGACGCATCCTTTAGGTCAGAGCTTAGATAGCACTTCTTTAGAAAGTCCCCTTTGATTTCAATGCCTGAGTTAGGGATTTTGCTATGAGCTCCCTTAGCATCCTGGGTTTCCCTGGTCATCATACTTGTCACACTGTACTTTAACTTTTGAGTAATGGATCTGTCTTTCTTGCTATAGGCTAAGTTATTCCATAGCAGAGATTTGGTCTAGCTCATATATCTCTGCATCCTAGCATCTAAGGTGTCTGGTACACAGTGAGAGCCAAATGAATATTTGTTAAATAAGTGAATGAATGAATTAATTCCTGTATATTTTCCCACAATACTCTGAAGTCATACTCACCCCTCCATGGCTTTAATCTCAATAATTCACTATTCCTTCTCTTAGCTTCTGAATCTAAATCATCCAAGTACTCAGGTAAGCCTGAGTACTTAAATATGCTGGATATTGTAGTAAGCCCTGGGAAGATTCAAAGGAGAAAATTAATCCTCTTGTGCTGTCAAGGAGCTCACAATCTAGGGAAGGATAGAGGCTCTATTCTATCAGGGTTCAGGATGTAACCCTGAATTATGATGCAATCTGGTAAGGACCACTACAGAGGAATGTGGAAACCAGACGTTGTGAGGGCCCAGAGAAAGTAGTCACTGGGGAGGTAGGGAAAAGCCTCCAGTGAGAAGGAGACCTATGAGCCGGACTTTAAAAAATATGTCAGATAGAGACAGAGTGGATGGTCATCAAACACACAGGAAATCACATAAAACAAGTGAGGAATATGTAAATATTTCATTTTTGAAGGATATATATAAGAAGACAACCCAATAAAAATAGGCAAATTATTTGAAAGGCTATTTTATGAAAGAAGATAAAAGAATGACCAAAAATGATACATGAAAAGTTGCTCAACATCATTAGACATGAGAAAAACTCAAGTTAAAACTGTAGTGAGATGCCTCTGTATATACCCACTTGAATGGCTAAAATTAAAGAGACCTAAATATCAAGTACTGACTGGCAAGGAAGTAGAGCAACTGGAACCCTCATACAATGCTGGTGGGAATATAAAATAGTATAGCCATTTTGGAAAACTGTTTGGCAGTTTCTTATAGGGTTAATTATACACTTTCCTGAAGACCAAGCCATTCCACTCCTAGATATTTACCCAAGAGAAATGAAAATATATCCACACAAAGATTTGTACATATGTTTTCCTAGAAGCTTTATTCATAATAGACAAAAACTACAAATAACTCAAATGTCCCTCAGTAGGAAAATGGATAAACAAATCATGGTATATCCATAAAATGGAATATTCCTCATGAATAAAAGGAAACAAACAAATGATATACCCAACAGCATGGGTGAATCTCGGAAACATTAGGCTGAGTGAAAGACACCAGACACAAGAATACATGCTGTATGGTCCCATTTATATAAAATTCAAGAATGGACAAAATCAATGAACAGAAAGGTGATCTGTGGTGACCTAGGGCCAGAGGTTGGAGAGTGAATGACTGCAAATGGACATGAGTAAGCATTTTGGGGTGATGGAAGTATTCTATATCTGGATTGTGACTGCCTGTGTTTGTTAAAACTTACCACGTTGTATACTTAAAATGGGTACATTTTATTGTGTATAATTTTTTTCCTCAATAAAATTTATTTAAAAAGTAAAACAAAACAAGGAGATATAGAAATGTACCTTTGAGACATGGCAAGAGGTCCAATGCAGTCATTATGCAGACTTTGTTTGGATCACTATCTTGAAAGGCATGCTGAGGTGAAGAGATATGCTGAGGTAATTGGACTCTACTCCATAGGCCAATGGATTTCAATTTGTTTACCGTGACCACAGTAAGACATTTTATATTGTGACCCAGTCTCTCTCTCTCTCGTTCACACATACATGCAATTTCATGTGCATGCACACACCAACCTGAAAGAAAGTGTTCCATCAAACTATTCTAGTCAACCACATGTGCCACACTCTGATATCTTTTCTCTTCAAGTAGACTATATGGTGGCTAGACAAAGTAAATTAATTCCACAATTTGCCAATGTATTGTGTCTGTGTAGCTTGAAGAAACAAACTAGAAGAACCATCAACATTTTTTATTCAGATAAGTGACATATTTACAGAACTCTGGAAATCATTTAGAGGATAAAAAATAATGAGGGTTTGGAGGAAGAGAGATTAATTAGAAGATTATCAGAATAAGAATAATAGTACTTATGGTTGCTTACTCTGTGTCACATGCTCTTCTAAGCTTTTTACATATAATTTTACATAATCCTAATTGCAACACTGTCAGGTAGGAATAACTACTATCCCCATTTTACAGAAGAGCAAACTGAGGTTAGAGATATTAAGGAACTTGTTAAAGATCCTGGAATTAATAAGGACCAAAGTAGGAATGTGAATCCTAATTTATCTGACAGCAGAGATTAAATTCTTAATCTCCAGACTCAGAGGCCTCTGGGGAGACGTGAAGGCAGGAGTGTAGGGATGGAGAGGGAGAATGGAAAGTTATTACTAAGATGGACTCCTCAGGGGTTGGCGATCCAGACTAATGTAGAATTTACAGAGCAGGAGGAATTGTGGTTGACTCTCAACTTTTTAATTTGGATAACTGGGTGTATGGTAACACCATTGATAAGTGTGGAGAACACAAAATAATTTGTTTTGGTGGATAGGTAAGGGAATTATAATGGGGAGATAAAGAGTTTGCTTTGGGACACATTGAGTTTGAAATGCCCTTGAAGCATCCATGCCAGACACACCTATCTGCAGTTACAGTAGAAGGATCTGACCTCTCTCTTGCCATCTCTTGGTCTGCTTCATTGTTGGTCCCATTATCATTACAAAATGATTGCCAGCAGATCCGGGAGTCACAGACTTCCTTGTTCATTAGCAGAAGACAATAGCAATGGTCTTGTCTATTAGCTCTAATAATGCTGATTGGGCAGATTAAGCTACCTACCCACTCCTCCATCAGTCATTGCAATTAAGTGTACTATGAAAATCTCATTTCTCTCTTTGGAGCAAAATAGGGTCACTCAGACCCTATGGACCACTGAAGGGAGAAGGATGGTGAGAAAAATATGGCTGTTCCTAGAAGCTAAATAAATGAATCCTGGATAGCAGTAACAACAGAAGTCCATTACATGAGGCTATTCTTGACTCAAGCACAGTGGACTACTTATTGACCCCAAAACATCATGTGCTTTCTTGCATTAGGATCTTTGATAATGTTGTGTCCATTGCCAGGAATGCCCAGCCCTTTGCTGGATGAAGTGCTACCGACCTCTCATTGCATTCAATGATGCCAATCTATCTAATTAAATGATCTTGAATTGTTCTGCCTCTGAACCTTGTAACAATGTTTATCTTTCTTTCAGGCCTTTATCTTATTCTGCCTTTGTGTTACAGTTATTTGTAACCCTTTGTGCCCCTTACTTGTCTTGTTTTCCAATGATCTATAAGCTGCCTGAGGGCACGTGCTGTGTACCTCCAAGAGCACATTGTCCAACAATACACATTAGAGTGGGTGTTCATTACAGGTTTGCTGACAGGAATTAATTTCAAGGAATTGTTTTATAGATCTGACCTGAGAGACATATGAAATAACTTGTTTTCACATGGAGACACATTTGAAAGAGACCCTATATTTTTCACTGTTGTTATTACCAGCTGTTCACAATGGAATGAGAAGTATTTGCTCTTTGATTAGATTTTAAAATTGAAACAGCTGCATGTGAGTTGAGCTCAGAAGAATATATGACAGTTTTATAGAGACATTTGGCAGTTGGATCATGAAATGAAAGTGTTGCCACTGTAAAACTATTATTTGTCCTGGGGAAGTTCTACAACAAAGGAAAAATAATTTTGCTTTTGTAAAGCATAAAGGCTGATAGATGGTAATTATTTTCTGCTTGGCTGCAATTATGACTTCCTAACATAATATAGTATATTAATGACTGTGCTGTGTTAATTAGAGAAACAGGTATATTACAAATATGAGATTTTAACACTGGCAAGGTATTTGAATCCTTAACTTTATGGAAAATGGTGTGAAACATTATTTTTCACTGTTGTGGCTTTGGACTCACAAAGCCAAAAAATTTGAGGAATGAATGTATAGCCTTATCAACACAGAGGATCAACTAATTGACATAGTTTTGCACAATTTGTTCCAAGAAATGCTAAATCTGAGATGGGAAAGATGCAAATTCTATAACCTATGGTTATAGAGGGGAAAAAAAAATCTAATCCTATTGCTCTCTTCAAGTGACCCCTGGCCATTTTTCTCTTGGTTGTAAGGTTGTTTGTTTTTCTGTGTACTAATTAGATGTAGATGCAGACCTAAATTTTGGAGTGTACGGTTTAAGTCTGGTTAAAACAAGACTTCTGTAGGGATTATCAGGCCTTTGTGCTGTTCTCAGGATCTTGTGTCTTTCTCAGGTGTGTTTAGAGACAGCATCACATTATACCCCTTGGGAGCAGATAAGAGTAACTGGAGAGCACAGTTAATGATTGCTCTCCTACCTACTCTCTTTCACAGATTATGCTCACTTTTTCCCACTGATATACTGGCGACGGTTCTGAGGGAATAGTCATGATGAAAATAGCCAACATTTATTGAGTCCCAATGACATGCTAAACACTTTACATACAATCCTATTAGTTAGGTATGATTATCATCCCCGTTTTACAGGTGAGCAAATTGAGACTAGACTTGGGTTAAGTAAATTTGCCCAAGGTTATATAATTAGAAAATGTTGGGATTTGAACCGTAAATATTTGCTTATTTTTTGGTCACTTTTACAAATATACTCTTTCATTGCTGTGACCTTCATTTCTAAAATGAGATGATAAAAAGCTGAATGTCTTATCAAAATTAATCAAACAGTATTTATAAACATATGCCTTGATCTGAATAGCTGTGTGCTCAGGGTGGGCAAAGTGAATCCAAGTATGGCCGAAGTGGCAACAGTGGCACTGCTCTTTTTTTCTGCCTTGAAATTAAAGTTTGAGGCTACATAAATATACAAATATAATCAATTTATTTGCCCTTTTAGTCTTTGAGGTTGAAAACCTAGTTTTAACAAAAATCTGTCAGTGCATAGTTAATAGATTCAATGTATATGCATCCATCTCCAGAATATATAAGGTTATGATTTTACATATTTGTCATAAATGGCTGCAGCATCCATATATTATTAGACTGAGCTTTTCTAATAGGGATAAACGTGCTGCACTGTGGACTCTCAAGATGGCAAGATACACAACTCATGCTCAGTGAAGCAGGGGGAAATATATTATCCCTCTGCCATGCTGTGACATGCATATATTCCATTCAAGCTTCATGAGGGCATTAAATCCAGAGAGAGATTAAAAAAAAATACAGAGACAGACTTCCATGCTGGCTTTTACGAAAGTTTCTGTTGGCTCAGTATTATTTGTGTAGTGTGCAAAAAGAGAAATTTTGTTAAAACACTATATTTTATAAGTTTTTTCTCCTGCAAGTTACATTTCTCTAAATTGCCTGAAAATCCAGGGAGACTTTTAATAAATGATAGGGAAAGGGTTCTAGTTCAGCAATGTGGAAAACATTTTTACACCGTTACTTACAAATTATCAAAATAATGTAAGTTCAATATTTTATTTCCTAAAGATCATAGGTTTTACCAAACTTGTTTTGAATAATTGTTTTCATCTGGCATGTTTCCTTTTGTACTTTTTGTGATAGCATTTTAGAACTAAAAATAAAGGCATCCTTCCTTAGTTAATAAACTTTATGGCAGATACTGATCATTTTATTCAGAATGGCTAAAGAAAGGATGATTTGGTAGTAAATTTTCACAAGAGGTATTATTTTCCATTTTTGTTTTTTACATAGGACAATACGCGAGTCAAACTAGTGGAACTGTTCGGCGGAGGGTGTTCCAGTAGCTCATAGAAAATACCCCACAATGCCTGTTTGCGCTAAATGTCAAACCAAGTCTAGAGTCAGAACTGTGTTGCTGAACCTCAGAGATCAAACATTATGATCATTAACTCTGTGGAGATGTACACGTGAAGAGAGGACTTAAAACTCTGGGTATCACCTTCCTTGGCAACACTAAATAGATTTCAGGAGGGCATTAAACATACAATTGAAGCTAGATTCCACTTTGATCTCTGAAACAGAAATGGCATTGTAAATGATAATTTTACATTTGCACAGAAAACTTGACGATAGCTTTAGTTTAAGGAAGGGAAAACTAAGACTTGAGACTAAGCATATCAATCATGATTCAGTTCAGTTGGCTTGATAGAGATAGCATTCTCTCTCACATTATTGAAGGGTGGAGGTTTGTATTCCAGGGTTGATGTGGCTTCTAAAAAACTGTTAGTGACTCATACTCTATCTAGCTAACTGTTTTGCCATTTTTAGGACGGTCCAGGATGATGACTAGAACTCTAGCCACTGTGTGGAGGAAGATATTAAAGGGTAGATAAGGAGAACCTGTCACGTTCTTAAAGGAAGTTTTCTAGAAGCTGTCTCATACCATTTTTCTTTATGTCTCATTGGTCCAAATTTAGTTCCATGGGCGCACCTAGCTGCAAAAGAAGTTGGGAAATGTAGTCTTGATTCTTGGAGCCATCTGCTCAGCTAAGGAGTTGAGAGTTCTTTCTAAGAGAAAGGCAAACAAGACATTGAGGTGCTAACCTACTATCTCTGCTGCAGTGAGATTAAATAATTGCTTAGGATCTTACAGTTTTCTAGTGGCAGAGATTAGAAGTATATCCCTTGATGGTACAGTACTCTTTAAATCAAAGAAAATGGCCCTCTAATCTTATATGGGGCAAATTTATGTATAGAGGGAAATGAGAATAAAGATCATTATTATTATTTTAAAGTTAGGTTACAAAGTTTGGTTTTAAGCATCCTTCCATTCGTGCATAGTTGCCTATGATAACATGATTTCTATTCTATTTTTATCCCCCTCAGTTTAAAATAAACTTAAAAAGCCTTCTTAGAATATAAAGATTATATCCAAATTTTCCATCCATTAACATTGCTGAAACAATGATAGTCAGAGGATCATCTAGCTTCTGACCATAAATCTCAAGTGGGCAGTTTGCCCTGCCCGGACAGCTGTTAGTGTTCCCTGGTCAGCTCAGTCCAGCACCCTCTGGGACACTGCTTCACATCTTCTCTTGCTCCTCCAGCATCTGACACCCTTTCCCTTCACATTTAATTGATGGTCTTGTTTCATTTCACTGAGAGAATAAAGACAAACACAAGATAATTTCTGTTATTTCCTACCACTATGAGTCCACCTGTGCCTGTATCCATATACTTGGCCTTTTCTTTTGTTATAATGCATGAAAAACCCTGTTTCTTTTGAAGCCCAATTCCGCATTTATATGCTGGATCCCATCCTTCTTGCCTGCTCAAGGACTTTGCTCCTGCAATTATGTTCTCTTTCTCTGACATTATTTTCTCCTTCCCTATCCAATCATTTCTACCAACATCCAAAGACATTCTAAAATCTTCCTTGACAAAATCCTTTACTCCAGACCTGATGTCACATCCCCTTTCAGGTGGGATTTCCTTGAAAGAATGATTTAATAGTCATTCCTTGGCCCATTCTACTATGGCTTTCATCCTCAACACACCACTGAAATCCTTCTTATCAAAGTTACCAATGATTCTCCTTTTGCCAAATCTTGTGGACATTTCTCGGTCTTAATCTTCCTTGAAGTATCAGTAGCACTGAACCCTGTTGTACGTTTCCACCCTCTGGAAGCATATTTGTTTTACTGGCTTGGGTAATTCTATTGGCCCCTTGTTTTATTCCTACAGCAATTGTGCCTTTCCATTCTTTTTTTGCTGGCTCCTCTTCTCCCTGATCTAAAGATTTTGGGGTGCTTTCTCTTCTTTTTCTATGTTTTCTTCCTAGGGAAGTTCGTTCAGTACCATAGCTTTAAATATCATCTATTTTTTGGTGGTTCTGGAATTTATAGCTCCCGCCCTTTCTTTTCATCTGGACTCCAGATTTTTATGCCAAACTCTCTCCTCAACATATCCACTTGGTGTCTAAAGAGGATGTTCAAATTTAACATGTTCAAATTAGAGCTCTTGATTCCCTTTTCCTAACCATTTCTTCTTTACATTTTAGAGAAAGACATTCTCTGCTTCTGATGGTACCCACAAGACTTTTCCTCCAAGTTGAGAGTTACAGAGTTAGCTGAGTAAAATGTAAACCAGATTATGTAAGTCATTTTTCTATTCAAAATCCTGCAGCAGCTCACTCAGAACAAAAACACAGCTTCTTACTATGGCTTTTCAGAATCCATTAGATCTGGCCTCTTTCTGTTCACAAGATTTCATTTCCTACTACTCTCGCTTTAGGCTCTATCACACTGGCTCTTCGTGTTTCTCAAAAATACTAATTTTCCATTTCCATTAGGACTTTTGGACATGTTATTTCCTCTGTAAGGACCACTTCTCTGATTCATATAGGTCTTTATTCTAGATTACCTTCTCAAATGAACCTACTGTGGGTGTGCACAGTCCCTTCATCTTGATCCCTTTACCCAGGCTTTTTTTTCCACAATACTCATGACGACACAAGACTGCATGACAGGTATACAGACAATTTTGGTTTCTTTATTGTCTATCTCCCCTACAGTGTAGGTTCCATGAAGTTGTAGGCTTTGTCTTGCTTACTCTTTTATCCCCTAGATATGCCTAGAGAAGTTCAAAGTGATATATATGCATGTGATATTAATATGTGAGTGAATGATTCTGCAGCCTTAGAGAGGCTTCAGTTAGTTACCTAAAGAAAAACAGAATTTAAGAAATGTTCTCATTTAATCTCTGCTGGATCGTTTAGCCCTCATGCCTTTGCTCTTTCTGGAAGAACATATCAGTATGAAGCAAGATCAAGAGTAGCAGGGAAGCAAAGGTCAGTCTGATGCATACTCTGCAAGGTTTGCATTCCAAAGATGGCATTATGGTCAGAAACAGATCCATTAGCTGCTTGAGTACATGTTGTACTTCAAACACAGAAAAACCGGGAGGATATTCTTCTGAATCAAGCAATAGCCTAGAAAATCCTGGTTGCCAGAATGCCTCTTCTCCTCCAAAGGATCACAACTCCTCACTAGCAAGGGAACAAAACTGGATGGAGAAGGAGATGACGAATTGACAGAAGTAGGCTTCAGAAGGTGGGTAGTAACAAACACCTCTGAGCTAAAGGAGCACGTTTTAATGCAAGGCAAGGAAGTGAAGAACCTTGATAAAAGGTTACAGGAACTGCTAACTATAATAACCAGTTTAGAGAAGAACATAAATGACCTGATGGAGCTGAAAAACACAGTACAAGAACTTCGTGAAGCATACACAAGTATCAACAGCCAAATTGATTGAGCAGAAGAAAGGCTATCAGAGATTGAAGATCAACTTACTGAAATAAAATGTGAAGACATGATTAGAGAAAAAAGAAAGAAAAGGAACAAACAAAGCCTCCAAGAAATATGGGACTATGTGAAATGACCAAACCTACGTTTGATTGGTGTACCTGTAAGTGCTGGGGAGAATGGAACCAAGTTGGAAAACATACTTCAGGATATTATCCAGGAGAACTTCCCCAACCTAGCAAGACAGGCCAACATTCAAATTCAGGAAATACAGAGAACACCGCAAAGATACTACTTGAGAAGATCAACCTAAGACACATAATTGTCAGATTCACCAAGGTTGAAATGAAAGAAAAAATGTTAAGGGCAGCCAGAGAGAAAGGTCCAGTTACCCACAAAGGAAGCCCATCAGACTAACAGCTGATCTCTCGGCAGAAACCCTACAAGCCAGAAGAGAGTGGGGGGCCAATATTCAACATTCTTAAAAGAATTTTCAACCCAGAATTTCACATCCAGCCAAACTAAGCTTCATAAGTGAAGAAGAAATAAAATCTTTTACAGACAAGAAAATGCTGGGGATTTTGTCACCACCAGGCCTGCCTTACAAGAGCTCCTGAAGGAAGCACTAAACATGAAAAGGAACAACCAGTACCAGCCACTGCAAAAACAAACCAAATTGTAAAGAACATCAATACTATGAAGAAACTGAATTAACTAACAGGCAAAACAACCAGCTAGCATCATAACGACAGGATCAAATTTAAACATAACAATATTAACCTTAAATGTAAATGGGCTAAATGCCCCAGTTAAAAGACACAGAATGGCAAATTGGATAAAGAGTCAAGACCCATCAGTGTGCTGTATTCAGGAGACCCATCTCACATGCAAAGACACACATAGGCTCAAAATAAAGGGATGGAGGAAGATTTACCAAGCAAATGGAAAGCAAAAAAAAAAAAAAAAAAAAAAAAATTCAGGGGTTGCCATCCTAGTCTCTGATACAACAGACTTTAAACCAACAAAGAGCAAAAAAAGACAAAGAAGGGCATTACATAATGGTAAAGGGATCAATGCAACAAGAAGAGCTAACTATCTTAAATATATATATCCAATACTGGGGGACCCAGATTCATAAAACAAGTTCTTAGAGACCTACAAAGAGACTTAGACTCCCACACAATAATAGTGGGAGACTTTAACACCCCACTGTCAGTATTAGATAGATCAACAACACAGAAAATTAACAAGCATATTCAGGACTTGAACTCAGCTCTGGACCAAGCAGACATAATAGACATCTACAGAACTCCCCACCCCAAATCAACAGAATATACATTCTTCTCAGCACCACATCACAGTTATTCTAAAACGGATAACATAATTGGAAGTAAAACACTCCTCAGCAAATACAAAAGAATGGAAATAATAACAAACAGTCTCTCAGACCACAGTGCAATCAAATTAGAACTCAGGACTAAGAAACTCACTGAAAACTGCACAACTGCATGGAAACTGAACAACCTGCTCCTGAATGACTACTGAGTAAATAACAAAATTAAGGCAGAAATAAATAAGTTCTTTGAAACCAATGAGAACAAAGACACAACATACCAGAATCTCTGAGACACAGCTAAAGGAGTGTTTAGAGGGAAATTTATAGCACTAAATACTCACAGGAGAAAGCAGGAAAGATCTAAAATTGACACGCTAACATCACAATTAAAATAACTAGAGAAGCAAGAGCAAACAAATTCAAAAGCTAGCAGAAGGCAAGAAATAACTAAGATCAGAGCAGAACTGAAGGAGATAGGGACAGAAAAAAACCCTTCAAAAAATCAATCAATCCAGGAGTTGTTTTTTTTTTTTTTGAAAAGATTAACAAAATAAATAGACCGCTAGCCAGACTAATGAAGAAAAGAGAGAAGAATCAAATAGATACAATAAAAAATGATAAAGGGGATATCACCACTGATCCCACAGAAATACAAACTACTGTCAGAGAATGCTATAAAAACCTCTAGGGAAATAAACTAGAAAATCTAGAAGAAACACACACCCTTCCAAGACTAAACCAGGAAGAAGTCAAATCCCTGAATAGACCAGTAACAAGTTCTGAAATTGAGGCAGTAATTGATAGCCTCAACCAAAAAAAAAACAAAAAAACAAAAAAAACCCAGGACCAGACGGATTCACAGCTGAATTCTATCAGAGGTACAAAGAGGAGCTGGTACCATTCCCTCTGAAACTATTCCAAACAGTAGAAAAAGAGGGACTCCTCCCTAACTCATTTTATGAGGCCAGTATCATCCTGATACCAAAACCTGGCAGAGACACAACAAATAAAGAAAATGTTAGGCCAATATCCCTGATGAATATCGATGCAAAAATTCTCAATAAAATACTGGCAAACCAAATCCAGCAGCACACTAAAAAGCTTATTCACCACGATCAAGTTGGCTACATCCCTGGGGTACAAGGCTGGTTTAACATATGCAAATCAATAAACATAATCCATCACATAAACGGAACCAATGACAAAAACCACATGATTACTTTAATACATGAAGAGAAGGCCTTTGATAAAATTCAACACCCCTTCATGCTAAAAACTCTCAATAAACTAGGTATTAATGGAATATATCTCAAAATAATAAGAGCAATTTATGACAGACCCACAGCTGATATCATATTGAATGAGCAAAAGCTGGAAGCATTCCCTTTGAAAACTGGCACAAGAGAAGGATGCCCTCTCTCACCAGTCCTATTCAACATAATATTGGAAGTTCTGGCCACAGCAATCAGGCAAGAGAAAGAAATAAAGGGCATTCAAATAGGAAGAGAGGAAGTCAAATTGTCTCTGTTTGCAGATGACATAATTGGATATTTAGAAAACCCTATTGTCTCAGCCCAAAATCTCCTTAAGCTGATAAGCAACTTTAGCAAAGTCTCAGGATAAAAAATTAATGTGCAAAAAATCGGCCAGGTGCGGTGGCTCATGCCTGTAATCCCAGCACTTTGGGAGGCCAAGGCAGGCAGATCACGAGGTCAGGAGATCGAGACCATCCTGGCTAACATGGTGAAACCCCGTCTTTACTAAAAATATAAAAAATTAGCCAGGCGTGGTGGTGGGCACCTGTAGTCCTGGCTACTTGGGAGGCTGAGACAGGAGAATGGCGTGAACCCGGGGGGCGGAGCCTGCAGTGAGCCGAGATCGCACCACTGCACTCCAGCCTGGGCGACAGCGAGACTCCGTCTCAAAAAAATAAAAATAAAAAAATCAGTGTGCAAAAATCACAAGCATTCCTATACAGAGAGCCAAATCATGAGTGAACTCCCATTCACAATTGTTACAAAGAGAATAAAATACCTAGGAATACAACTTATAAGGGATGTGAAGGACCTCTTCAAGCAGAACTACAAACCACCGCTCAAGGAAATAAAAGAGGTTACAAACAAATGGAAAAACATTCCATAGTCATGGATAGGAAGAATCAATATCATGAAAATGGCCATACTGCCCAAAGTAGTTTATAGATTCATGCTATCCCCATGAAGCTACCATTGACTTTCTTCACAGAATTAGAAAAAAACACTTTAAATTTCATATGGAACCCAAAAAGAGCCCACATAGCGAAGACAATCCTAAGCAAAAAGAAACAAAGCTCGAGGCATCGTGCTACCTGACTTCAAACTATACTACAAAGCTACAGTAACCAAAACAGCATGGTACTCCTACCAAAACAGATATATAGGCCAATGGAACAGAACAGAGTTCTCAGAAATAACACCACACATCTACAACCATCTTATCTTTGACAAATTTGACAAAAACAAGCAATGAGGAAAGGATTCCTTATTTAATAAATGGTGTTGGGAAAACTGGCTAGCCATATGCAGAAAACTGAAACTGGGCTCCTTCCTTACACCTTATACAAAATTAACTCAAGATGGATTAAAGATTTAAAGACTGTAAGACCTAAAACCATAAAAACCCTAGAAGAAAACCTAGGCAATACCATTCAGAGCATAGGCAAGGGCAAAGACTTCATGACTAAAACACTAAAAGCAATGGCAACAAAAGCCAAAATAGACAAATGGAATCTAATTAAACTAAAGAGATTCTGCACAGCAAAACAAACTATCATCAGAGTAAACAGGCAACCTTCAGAATGGGAGAAAATTTTTGCAATCTATCCATCTGACAAAGAGCTAATATCCAGAATCTACAAGGAACTTAAACAAATTTACAAGAATAAAACAACCCCATCTAAAAGTGGGTGAAGGATATGAACAGACACTTTTCAAAAGAAGACATTTATGTGGCCAATAAACATATGAAACAAAGCTCATCGTCACTGGTCATTAGAGAAACGCAAATCAAAACTGCAATGATATACCATCTCACACCAGTTAGAATCGCGATCATTAAAAAGTCAGGAAACAACAGATGCTGGAGAGGATGTGGAGAAATAGAAATGCTTTTACACTGTTGGTAGGAGTGTAAATTAGTTCAACCATTGTGGAAGACAGTGTGGTGATTCCTCAAGGATCTAGAACCAGAAATACCATTTGACCCAGCAATCCCATTACTGGGTATGTAAATTATTCTACTGTAAAGACAAATGCACACATATGCTTATTGCAGCACTATTCACAATAGCAAAGACTTGGAACCAACCCAAATGCCCAATAATGATAGACTGGATAAAGAAAATGTGGCACATATACACCATGGAATACTATGCAGCCATAAAAAAGAATGAGTTCATGTCCTTTCCAAGGACATGGATGAAGCTGGAAACCATCATTCTCAGGAAACTAACAGAAGAACAGAAAACCAAACCCACATGTTCTCACTCATAAGTAGGAGTCAAACAGTAAGAACACATGGACACAGGGAGGGGAATATTACACACTGGGGCCTGTCAGGGGGTAGGGGGCAAGGGGAGGGATAGCATTAGGAGAAATACCTAATGTAGATGACGGGTTGATGAGTGCAGCAAACCACCATGGCACATGTATACCTATGTAATAACCTGCACGTTCTGCACATGTATCTCAGAACTTAAAGTATAATAAAAAAAATTAAGAACTATAAAAAAGAAATGAAATAAAGAAAGTAAAATCAAAGAAAAGAAAAGAATGTTAAGCTCCTACCTTCCCATGGAGACAGGTAGGCATGGGCCCTATTTTTCTTGATCATTACATTACAAAGGGATGGCTTCCAAGTTGTTGAGAAAGACAGTCCTGGGTCGTGGAAGGTACATCTTAAAAGAAGAGAGAAAAAATTTACAATTGCAAGTTTTCTAAAGTACATGCTGTAAGGAAAGGGACTCAGGGCTTATAGTCAGGTTTTGGCCTGAACAAACAGTAAATTCATTTGGCAGCAGTGAACTGTCTCAGGAAGGCATTTTAAGGGGAGCTGGGATTGTCATCCTAGGGAAATGGCCTTTTGGCAGCATTGAACTGTCTCAGGAAGGCATTTTAAGAGGGCTGGAATTGTCAATTGTCATACTAGGGAAATGGCCTTGAGCGAATAAAAACTATGCTAGGGTTTGTTCAAGTCTCTTTGTGTGTGTGTGTGTGTGTGTGTGTGTGTGTGTGTCTGTGTGTGTGTGTCTGGGGGTCAGGTGGATGAAACTGTGCTGAAATTTGCAGTTCTTATAGGCCAAAGTTGAGGCCTAATTGAGAAGTGGGCTCAGAGAAGCCTGAATAAAGTTTGGTCATGAAGAGGGTCTTTGTCAATGGTGATCAGCTAAAACCCACCATACATCACTGCTTTTTCCTATACCATCCTTTTGTCAAGGGGCAACTTTTGATGATTAAAGACAAAGTTGGAGCTCCAAAAAAAAAAAAAAAAAAGAAAGAAAACCCTGGTTGCAAAGAAACATGCAAATTTCATCTTTTCTTTCAAGCTCATCTCTCTGTTTCACAGAGGCATTCATTCCACAATTGTAGAAATGTATTAGGTTTGAAAATCATTATCAGGATGTTCAGAGTCACCTCAAGGACACCTGAGGGGGGATCAATGTAGTTAAGTAGAAAAAGGAGATGCAGAGGACCAGGAGAATTTGTCTCTGGCATCTCTTCAAAGTCTTTTTGATGTGACAGCATTACCTGTGGCACCCATTCCCTCACACTTTTACTATCCATTTCCATAAAAAGCAACATGTGTACTTTTCTGCTTCAAGTTACTCCTGACAGAGTTTGACTAGATCACTTGAACAGGGGTGAGTCAAAGCCATTTGTTATGTGGAGGTGGAAGCAGCTGTTTACTACCAGAAATGCTATCCTGCTAGAGGAAGAAAACGTGTCTCCTAAGTGAATATAAATAATCCAGGTTATGAAGAGCTTTATTTCCTGTCTATTTGGAATACCTCAACTATAGTGTACAAAATCCAATAAGGTTGTTTTACCCAAATTGTGTCAAACAATTAATCTCAGTTATTGTATTTCTAATTTAAAAGAGCCACTATATGTATTTAGCTTGGTTTAGCTTGAGGTATGGGGCACCAGCTGTGGCCTGTTGCTCATGTTCTGTGATTGCTGTGATTGCCATTGTAGGCAAAAATTTAAAGAATATTGCCTTTGGTAAAGGTCTGATTCTGTATTCAAGCACCAGATATCTGAGTACTCTTATAATCACCCCTAGATGGATTGCTAATCAGCCCTGCATTGACTCTGGACTTTCTTTTGCTCCTCTCCTTACTTTTTTCATAACAGAAATACTTATTAGAGTAAGGATTAAGATGGCGGATAGGCAGTTGGACTAGCTTGCAGCTCCCACTCAGATGGACAGAGCACGTGTGGAAACTCACATCGTGAACTTTTGCTCCAAGAACTACTGCAGGAACACGTTAGGAAAGCCGAAAGAATCTACAGACCCTTTGAAGGAACTGGATCGCCACTGTGGGCTCCTTGAGATGCCGAAAACCTGTGAGTCAGCTTGCTTTCTTAGTGGAGAGGCTCGTATTCTGAGGCAAGTTCTCAGCCCTGGCCACCAGGCACCTGGAAATAGATTCAGTGCTGTTGTGGGGGGCATGGTGGGAGTGAGACCGGTCTTTAGAATTGCAGGCTGTATGGGAGCTGGGTAAGACCTGTGACTGCTGGCTTTCCCCAACTTCCCTGGCAACTTGTGTGACTCAGCAGAGGCAGCCATAATCTCCCTGGGAATATAATTCCATTGGAATGGGAACTACACCTTCATCCTCCACAGCAGCCACAGCAAGCCCTGCCCGAGGAGAGGCTGAGCTCAGACACACCTATCTCTGCCCCAACCTGGTGGTCTTTCTCTACTTGCCCTGGTAGCCAAAGACAAAGGTCTCTTGGGAGCTCCATGACACTGCCCACTGCGTGAGAAATCTGAATACTTAACCAGGTGTCCCTAGGGCAAGTTTCCATCCTACCTATAGTACCACAGCTGATGTGCTCTTGAAAGCGCCACCTCCTGGCTGGAGGCCAACTGAAACAAAACCAGTGCAGAAACAAAAACACAACCAAGAACCCTCACAGAGTCCACTTCACTCCCCTGCTACCTCCACCAGAGCAGGTGCTGGTATCCAGGGCTACAAGATGTGAAGATGGATCACATCACAGGACTCTTTGCAGAAACTTCTCAGCCTGGAGCCTGATAGCTCCACTAGATGGCTAGACCCAGAAGAGCAAAAACAATCACTGCAGTTTGCCTCTTAGGAAGCCTCATTCCTAGGGGAATGGGGAGAACACCACATGAAGGGAGCACCTCATGGGATAAAAGAATCTGAACAGCAGCCTTTGAGCTGCAGATCTTCCCTCTGACATAGTCTCCCCAAATGAGAAGAAACCAGAAAAACAATCCTGGTAATATGACAAAACAAGTTTCTTTAACACCCTTAAAAGATCATGCCAGCGAACCAGCAGTGGATCCACACCAAGACAAAATCTCCAAATTGCCAGAAAAAGAATTTAGGCCAGTTGTTAAGCTAATCAAGGAGGCACCAGAGAAAGGTAAAGTCCAACTTAAAGAAATGAAAAACATGATACAGGATATGAATGAAAAATTCTTCAGTGAAAAAGATAGCATTAAAAAAAATCACAACTTCTGGAAAAAAAAGGACACACTTAGAGAAATGCAAAGTGCACTAGAAAGTCTCAGCAATAGAATTGAACAAGCAGAAGAAAGAACCTCAGAGCTTGAAGACAAGGCTTTTGAATTAACCTAATCCATCAATGACAAAGAAAAAAGAATTTAAAAAAATGAACAAAGCCTTCAAGAAGTTTGGGACTATGTTAAACATGCAAACCTAAGAATAATTGGTGTTCCTAAGGAAGAAGAGAAATCTAAAAGTTTAGAAAACATATTTGAGGGAATAATCAAGGAAAGTTCCCCTGCCTTGCTAGAGATCTAGACATCCAAACACAAGAAGCTCAAAGAACACCTGGGAAATTCATTGCAAAAAGATCATTGCCTAGGCACATAGTCATCAGGTTATCTAAAGTCAAAACAGAAAAGAATCTTAAGAGCTGTGAGGCAAAAGCATCAGGTAACCTATAAAGGAAAACCTTCAGATTAACAGCAGATTTCTCAGCAAAAACCCTACAAGCTAGAAGGGATTAGGGTCCTATTTTAGCCTCCTTAAACAAAACAATTTCAGCCAAGAATGTTGTATCCAGCGAAACTAAGCTTCATAAATGAAGGAAAGATACAGTCTTTTCCAGACAAACAAATGCAGAGAGAATTCACCACTATGAAGCCAGCACTACAAGAACTGCCAAAAGGAGCTCTAAATCTTGAAACAAATCCTCCAAATACACCAAAATAGAACCTTCTTAAGGCATAAATCTCACAGGACCTATATAACAATAACACAATGAAAAAAATCCAAGGTATTCAGACAACAAATTACATGATGAATAGAATAGTACCTCACATCTCAATACTAACATTGAATATAAATGGCCTAAATGCTCCACTTAAAAGATACAGAATGGCAAAATGAATAAGAATTCACCAACCAAGTTTCTGCTGTCTTCAAGAGATTCACCTAGCAAATAAGGACTCACATAAACTTACAGTAAAGAGGTGGAAAAAGATATTCCACGCACATGGACACCAAAAGCAAGCAGGAGCAGCTTGTGAAATGACCACACTGCCTAAAGCAATCTACAAATTCAATGCAATTCCCATCAAAATACCACTCTCATTCTTCATAGAATTAGAAAAAAAAAAATCCTAAAATTCATATGGATCCGAAAAAGAGCTTGCATAGCCAAAGCAAGACTAAGCAAAAAGAACAAATCTGGAGGCATCACATTACCTGAGTTCAAACTATACCATAAGGCCATAGTCACCAAAACAGCATGGTACTGGCAGGAAAATAGGCACAGAGACCAATGGAACACAACAGAGAACCCAGAAATAAAGCCAAGTATGTATAGCCAACTGATCTTCAATAAAGTAAACAAAAACATAAAGCAAGGAAAGGACACCCTTCCTATTCAACAAATGGTGCTGGAATAATTGGCAAGCCACATGTGGAAGAATGAAAACTGGATGTTCATCTCTCACCTTATACAAAAATCAACTCAGGATGGATCAAGGGCTTAAATCTAAGACCTGAAACCATAAAGATTCTAGAAGATAACATCGGAAAAACCCTTCTAGACATTGGCTTAGGCAAAGACTTCATGACCAAGAAGCCAAAAGCAAATGCAACAGAAACAAAGATAAAAAGATGGGACTTAATTAAACTAAAAAGGTTCTGCACAGCAAAAGAAACAATTAGCAGATTTAACAGACAAGACACAGAGTGAGAGAAAATCTTCACAATCTATACATCTGACAAAAGACTAATATCCAGTATCTACAAGGAACTCAAACAAATCAGCAAGTAAAAAACAAACAATCCCATCAAAAAGAGGGCAGAAGACATGAATAGGCAATTCTCAAAAGAAAATATACAAATGGCCAACAAACATATGAGAAAATACTCAACATCACTAATTATCAGGGAAATGCAAATCAAAACCGCAATGTGATACCACCTCACTCCTGCAAGGATAGTCATAATCAAAAATTAATAGATGTTGGTGAGGATGCAGTGAAAAGGAAACAATGTTACAGTGTTGGTGGGAATGTAAACTAATACAACCACTATGAAAAACAGTGTGGCAATTCCTAAAAAACTAAAAGTAGACCTACCGTTTGATCCAGTGAATCCCACTGCTAGGTATCTACCCAAAGGAAAAGAAGTCATTATACAGAAAAGATACTTGCACACGCATGTTTATAGCAGCACAATTTGCAATTGCAGAAATACGGAACAAGCCCAAATGCCCACCAATCAATGAGTGGATAAAGAAAATGTGATACATAATACCATGGAATACTACTCAGACATACAGTGGAATGAAACAATGGTATTCACAACAACCTGGAGGTAATTGGAAACTATTATTCTAAATGAAGTAACTCAGGAATGGAAAACGAGACATTGCATGTTCTCACTCCTATGTGGGAGCTCAAAGGCATAAGAATGATACATTGGACTTTGGGGACTTGGGGGAATGGGTGGGGGGTGGCAAGGGATAAAAGACTACACATTGGGTACAGTGTACACTGCTGGGGTGGTGGGTGCACCAAAATCTCAGAAATCCCCACTAAAGACCTTATTCATATAACAAAACACCACTTGTTCCCCTCAAAACTTTTTTTTTTTTTTTTGAGACGGAGTCTCCCTCTGTTGCCCAGGCTGGAGTGCAGTGGCATAATCTCAGCTCACTGCAAGCTCCACCTCCTGGGTTCACACCATTCTCCTGCCTCAGCCTCCCGAGTAGCTGGGACTACAGGTGCCCGCCACCACGCCCAGATAATTTTTTTTTGTATTTTTAGTAGAGACGGGGTTTCACCTTGTTAGCCAGGATGGTCGTTCCACCCAAAACCTATTAAAAAATGTGTCTACGGCTAGATAATGCAAAGAGGCTCTAATAACAAACCAATGAAATATATTAAGGATTCAAGAGAATTTATGGTGTTACTTCTCCCATGGATATATTAATAGGAATAGGGTGTCTAATTTGGAATTTTAGGCAAAAGATGCTTTTGGACTGGGATAGAGGAAGATTCGCTACAACCCTTTTATTTCATGTAGGTGGCTACCTACTCAGCCCACCAATTAGATTGTCCCTGCTTTGGGTGTAATATTATAAGTCAGGCCAGGTTCTGTTTGGCTGTTCTCCTTCTAATCAGGCTCCAACTCAAATCTCTACCACTGTAGATTTGGTGCTCTCATAACTGGCTTTTAAACAATTGTGTCTAATTTCTTTTTCATTTTTACGTATACTCTTGATATATATCTTTGGCAAGTCAGTGAAAAATGTTTCTTTGTAAATTTGGCCAAAGTCTCTGCCTCAACTAAAGGGAATTGTTAGTCTAAAAAGACTTCTTATTTTTTTGATGGTGATCCCTTTTGGACAGAGCAGGTAACTCACCTGGAAGAATTTCAGAAAGATCAATGGAGCATATGCTAAAGGAACAAATCTATTGAAGCATACATCTACTATTTTTTTTTAGTTTTGGATTTGAAATCTCTCTTTTTCTAACTCTTTTCCCATGATCTCTGTTAAAACAGCTAGCTCTTCAAATCATTAGGAAACTTCATATTGGACTTTTATCTCAATGCTCAAGGCTAGAAGCTGCTGAAGGCTAGAAGCTGCTGAAGGCTAGAAGACAGTGTGTTTTATTTTAAGTTTATCTACATGGCCAATAGCAGGATGCTTTCTAACTGAACTAAATCCCTTTTGTCATTTATTTTTATGATAATAGTAAGATCTGTGAACATTTTGGAGTCTTTGGGATAAAAGAAAATATCATTTTTAACTTTCACTACACTTACCACTCGGGACCATGTATTGTTCATTTTCTCTTAAGAAATCACCCAAATAGATCAACTGCTCCATATGGCTTTGGAGAAATGGAAAATACTGATGGAAAAGGTGCTGGTGACCACAGCAATACACTTGCAATTGCCATTTAGATTATCCCTTTGTAATCCTCTGTTCCACCTCGCTGAGGCTGGTAATGTGAAAACCAAACCAAGTGCCCCCAGTGCATAGCAGAGGGATTGCTGAGCTCCTTGCACCAACCCCATTGCCTCACTCAATCCTTCTCATGTGGATGTGATCTTTTTATGGGCACAGAGTGCCACTCGGGGGCTCCTCATCCCTTCTTTATTTTCTGAGGCAGTGCAGATGTGGCATCAGCATTTGCTCTCGTCTTTCTTGTTGGAAAGACATTTGCTGTTGTAGGATACTGTGCTTAGTTCCTGCTAGTAAGTGGCCTAAACACTTGCTACTCAAAGCGAGGTCCCTAGATGAGCAGAATCAGTATCACCTGGAGGCTAGTCAGAAATGCAGAATACCAGACTCTATCCCAGACCCAGGGAATCAGAATCTGTATTTTAATAAGATCCCTGGTAATTGATACTCACATTAAAGTTTAAGTTGGAGAAGCACAGCTTTATGTTGCTTCATTTATTCAGCTTCGGTTGCCAGAGAAGACTCACAGAGAAGTGCCACAGACATTACATTTCTGATTTGTTCCCTGGCCCTTGTGTCCTCAGGTAGGAAAGTGCGGTGGTCTACGTTCTGTCCTAGTTTGACAAGGTAAACCTTTCGATTTTGTGTTTAGGTGTTCTTTCATGCTTAATAGTTGATCTTTGGGAAAAGAAATCAATATTTGCCCACAAGTCATTCATTTTTGGGCCTGTTTCAAAAGAAGAAAAGGGTTGATGAATATTCTTAGCATCTGCCACAGCTTTTATAAAGCTGCAAATCTTTTAGGTCAGCAGAGACTCTGTGATGACTACTAAAGTGTACAAATACTGTTTGAAAAGGCACTGCAAAAAATTTTTACCTAAGGCATGCTGCTTTTTCCTTCAGTGAAGCAGCCAACACAAAGACCACTGGGGCAAGTCTTCAAAGGGGGAGCTTCTCTGCAGAAAGTGGCTCAGTGGGATTTACAACAAAGGACTTCTCAAGATCAACAGCACTTTGCTGACATTGGAGTGGATTGGAGGATTGAAAATAGGATTAAAACAAAATTAAGACACAATAGCAATAGTGGAGAGATCCCGTGGGGCCTGTAATGGGGTCCTGTGGAAGAAGAGGAATAATCGAGCAGTTTTCCTGAGATTCTAATAGGAAGCTGTTGAAGTTGATAAACTGAAGTAGTGTTTCTTTCTTGCATGCTTGAAAATAATTATGATTTCCCCCCATAGATACCAGTACATATAATGTCTGTATGTGACATATTTCTAAGACGTTTTAAAATAGTTGAATTGATTAGCTGTTATTATATGCTTGAGTAAATATAGTTCCTTAAATTCAACTATTTTTGCAGCTCTCCAGTTCAGTTAATATAATTTACATATGTAGACCCAGACACTGACTCTTTAAGCAAATGAAATGACAACATGAGATGGCTCATTTAAGACTGGTTTTTATAATGCTTCTCATGTCAGTATGACAACATTCTCTACTTCCAATTTGGAGAAGAACTTAAGGTATTACAATTTTGAAGCTATTTGGGAAACAAAAATCAAAGTAAGACTGCATATTAAGACTCAGCATCAGAATAGAAATACAAGTGATGGCAGATTTCCCATAAAAACATTAGGGCCTCAGCATATGGTCATACACATTGTGCACTGCACAACTTTAGGGGGTGACATTTACATGGTCTCCATGGATGCCATTCCAGAGTTATAAATGTGGCATCTGTGAATATTGTCATGATCCCAGTGTGTTCTTCATAAATTTTCAGTCTTACTCGTTTTTGGTAAAATTTTAAATTCTCTAATTAGTTTAGAGTCATGTAAAGTTTATAAAATAGCTCCAAAACACTCTTTACATATTTTTCCATTTAATGTATGAAATCTTATGAAGTGAAAAGCCAGCGGTTTTTTTCAAAAATGGAGGAACATGCTGGAATACTGTTTTGGAAACTCTTTCTCGGAATTACAGTCGTACACTGGCATTTATACAAAGATACAAGCTCAAGTGGCATTATATAATAAAATATTTTATCAGTGTTACTCACTGTTGTATGTTGATTGAGAGTGTGTGGTGTGGAGTCCATGCCTGAAATGGAATCTACCCTCTTTCACTAACGAGTTCTGTGTTCTTCTTAACCTTCTTTATCTGGAACACGAGGATGGTGATAGTATCTACCTACTTCATGTAAGTTGCTATGAAGATTATATGTGATGATCCACATAAGCCACTATGAATAGCATCTGGCATAGACTGTAAATAAACATTAGGAACTATCCATTTTAATCTAATAGACGCAAGTTCTGAATCCAGCCAAGTTCACATTTAGCTTTATCATGGAAACAAAAGAGGAAGAAAAGATCATTTAAACCCTACATTTACAGGTAGAATATACTATGAGGGAAATGGTAACTTTTACTCTGTTCATCCTCTTCTTCCTGGTGTGCATTATAAAGAAATAGGATGAATGTCATTGAAAAGACTTTGGGTATTTTCTGGGCCGATTGTTAAAACTTCTGCTTTCTTACTTCTTTCCTTTATCACAAGGTGAGTAGGAGCTGTCCACCAAATATATCTGGTTATCCCTAGCTCACGGAGGAATTGTACTTCCCTGCCCACATGAACTTGGGTGATGCCATGTGGCTTGCTTTGACCAATGAAGTGTGAGAACAAGTGATGTTTATGACTTTTAGGAAGACTCTTTACTGCTTGATTAATTAAGCTTTCTCCCACTTCTTCAGTGATTGTTTAAACACAAGCAAGTTGGATCCCTGAGAGGCTGTGAGAGCAGAGGCCTATGATGGACACATAGCATGAGGCAGATATAAAACTGCTGTGGTTTCAAACTGCTGAGATCTCGAGGGTTGCTTGTTATTGCAGCATAACTTGCCCAATGTAACTTCCTTAGGGAAACTTGTGAGGGCATTACACAGTGTTGGTTCTCAGACATGCTGTGAGTGAAAGTGGCAGATTATGTTCTGGAGATGGTCAGTGTGTGGCATTCCTTGTATATATTAATCTTCTGAGTTTTTTAACATTAGAAAATCTAGGAATTATGTTAATAAATTATATAGTAAGCCTTGAGTAATTAATATTACATATTAAAACATAATTCCATGTCTTAAAATTAAACATTGGACCTCTAATAAATTAATCTTGCCTAGTTAAGTCTAACTTTTTTTTTCTTGAGTTGAGAACAGAATAGAGTCCAACAGACTCTAGTTAGGTTGAATATTGAATACATTTCAATATGTTTGAGGTTGAATATGTTTCCGTATATGACCCTTAATCTCTTGTATTTCTGAAGAATTCCAAGTAAAACTGATTGAGGATAAAAGACTGCAAAACTACTAATTTTCTCAAGAGAAAATAGGAGAATATTAGAATACACACAAAGCAATTCTTTTTTGTAACATGGCATTGAGCCAGCAATCAGATATAAAATCATCATTGATTCTTATATATTATTCATGGTATTGTGAGAATGTGATATACATGCAATGCAGCAATGATTGCTATATTCTGAAGTGTTTTAAACCCACTCTAAAGAAAATAGAAAAGTGTCTCACAAAAAATCCTTTGAAAACTGTGGAATTAAAAACATTACTAAAAGTCTAACAGGATTAGAAAAATATTAAAGGGTTTAGAAAACAAAGTATTGTGCATTTATTTCTAGAATAGAAAATTTGTATTTTATACACTTAAAATGTTATTCTATAGCTGATTGAAAGACATAAATAGACAAAACCATGGATTCATAAGCAGTAATTTCTCTGATAAACAAATTTCATTAGGAAAATAGACATAAATAATATGAAAAACTAATGTTTTCAAAAGCTTAACTAAAAATATGAAAAGGAAGACAGGCAACTGACTTATCCAAAATTAAATTCTGTATTTCATAGGACATTTTAAAGTTCTGTATTCACCAATCATATCCATTTTGCTGTATTTTAAATAAAATTGTCTTAAGTTCCAATGTTGTTTTAAAAATTAATCTTAGCTGGGCGTGGTGGCTCATGCCTGTAATCCCAGCACTTTGGGAGGCTGAGGTGGGCTGATCTTGGCCACCTCAGGCCACTGCCTGTACTGGTCACTGTACAGACAGTCTGGCCACTGTCTCTACTGAAAAAAAAAAAAAAAAAAAAAAAACTACAAAAATTAGCCAGGAGCAGTGGAAGGTGCCTGTAATCCCAGCTACTCAGGAGGCTGAGGCAGGAGAATTGCTTGAACCCAGGCGGCAGAGGTTGTAGTGAGCTGAGACCGCGCCACTGCACTCCAGCCTGGGCGACAAAGTGAGACTCCATCTCAAAAAAATATAATAATAATAAAATAAAAATAAAAATTATTCTTGATTATTCTGTTATCTTAGCGATAGGTGATAGATGTATCTAGGGTTAGATGAATTTTTACTCTCACCAGTATACGCAGTTTTAGTTACCTATTAAGAATGACACTAGCTTGTTTATTCAGTAACTCACATTGAAGATTTTTCTATGTCCCTGCTTAATAGTATGTTATTTATTTATTTTTTGAGACAGAGTCTTGCTCTGTCACCCAGGCTGGAGTGCAGTGGCACGATCTCGGCTCACTGCAACCTCTGCCTCCCGGGTTCAAGTGATTCTCCTGCCTCAGCCTCCCGAGTAGCTGGGATTATAGGTATGCACCACCACGCCTGGCTAATTTTTGTATTTTGAGTAGAGACGGGGTTTTACCATGTTAGTGAGGCTGGTCTCGAACTCCTGACCTCTGGTGAACTGCCCGCTTTGGCCTCCCAAAGTGCTGGGATTACAGGCGTGAGCTACTGCACCCGGCCAATAGTATGTTATTTTTACAAAGGTTATTTCATGTAATCGTCCTTCCTCATTATAGAGGTGAGAAAACTGAACCTCAGAGAGAGTAAAGGAGTCACTGAAGGGCATTGGTACAGAGAAACTTCTGTGGGCCATCTTCAAAAATGTGTAGCCTATTGCAGATCTTACTAGCCCACATATGTGATTTCACTGGATTACGTGTGGATGTATAAAAAAAAGAGACAGACAGAGAAATGGCACCAATCACCTAGTTCCCTGTTCTCCCATCCTTTGCCTCTGAGTAGATTAATGCATCTGGTCTTCCGTACTCTTTGGGTGGAACTGTAGTATGGCAGACATTATGTTAACGGCTTCTTTGGACTTCAGTCAGGGCTCAGAACCCTGTCTTTCCCACCCTAGAGAGACAAGAGCTGGAATACTGGGTCCCAGGATAGCCTTCCAATAGAAGGCTCCATTGTCAATTATGGCAGTCCAGCACCTGTGCCTCTCTTGGTACAGAGACTTTTAAAAATTCAATTTCCATACAATCCACCTTTTTATTACATTATACTCTCACCCTTCTTAATTGCCTTTCACTATTAAATTTGGACTCTCTTATGTCAGCTGACAAAAATTCAAGCTGTTGCATAGTGGAGCTGTGGGCTAGGTGACGATTCATTTTCAGCAGTATTGACTTTTGTATGGTTGTTTGTCCAATGATTTGAATATTTGATTGCATTTTATTTCATTATTTAAAAAAAAAGGAAAATGGAAACCTGAAAGTGTTTAGCATAATTATAATGAAGCTGAGATAGAAATTCTTTCACCTGCTGAAAGTGGTAAATGTTAAATACTTATTGGCACTAAGATGGTTTCTGTGTAACAACCCATAAATATGAAAAAATTAAAAAATGTACGTTTCATAAATATAATCATACTCTACTTAAAGGAGCCATGTTATTTAAGTGTGGGAAAAGGTGCTGTGGCCCAGATAGATTTCTACCTCTCTTCCTCACGATAGCTGGTATGAATGTAGAGTAAATTCCAGTGGAATTGTCTATACAAAATAAATTTTAAGAAATACTAAGCAAAGTGGCTGATCTTGATCATTTACAATTATTGAATGTAGCTTCATATATATATTTATTTTGCATTTCTTCCTAATGAGAAAATAAATTCGATAGGAGTAGAGATGTTGTCTTGTTTGTAGCTATAACCACAGCACATAGAACAGATACTAGCCCAGAGTAGGTATTCAGTAGACACTTGTGGAACTCATGAGTGAGGAATTACTGTTTTACATAGCCATCCTCATTATATGTGTCTTTGTGTACACCCATAACTCCCTTATGTTTTTTTAGAAAAATATTATCCTCTAGCTTTAAAATAATTCTTTGCTTATTTTGCCATTTTTTTTTTACTCTGTGTTTTTAGGCACAATTACAGTGACTAGGAATTTATTGAACTTAAAAATGTACTAGATATTTGATGGCTGTGGTATACTGCCTTGCAATCTACTTTTTTGCACAGCCTTTCATATACTTTATAAAATTCATCCTGACGTGTGTGAGAATTTTTTTTTTTAAACAATTCCCTAGGTTTTGCTTCTGAATCTTTTTCTGAGTATTGTTATATCTGATGACTAAGCATTTCCTGGGTGAGTTCAGAGAGCGTCCTGTCAGTTGGCTTTTGATTTTCAGTAAAATTCAAGTTCTCACAGTTAGTTTTCTTCCTGTCCAAGGGCTTGTGGACCAGTATAATTTCCATGGCCATTAACTGCTGTGCGGCTTCAGCAGTGCAATGTCATTGAGTGACAGTGCAAAAATGAGGTTTTATCACCTGTTCTAAGTTCTTTACCGCTCTAGTTTCTCAGGAACATTGCATTTCATGGACAAGCAGCAAATTAAAAAAGCACACCAAAATAGGCCTCTGTGTATCTGTGCAGATGGGGAAAGGTTATACACATCGCATAAAAAAGAACAATACAGCCCACACATTGAAATCTCACTGGCTTTCTATTAATTTGCCATGGAACTGTGGAGCAGCTAAAGAAAAATATGAAAATAATGTTCTCAAATTTGAACCAGGTAGTTTAGATGCTCCAAAGTTGCTTTTTTGGTCCCATGAATCATTTTCAGAATTACACAGCATTGAATTGGCTACCTGAAATTGTTGGAATTAGATGAGGAAATATTATAGATCAGGGTATCATGGATTCTGAAGTTCAGCCTGACTTTTTCTTATTTCTCTCATTTGAATTCCTTTTATGAAACAGAATTTTTTTTTTCATGTAAAACTACAGAAATCTTAACTGTACCCTTCCTGGACAATCTGTATGCCTGTTTTCCCTGTGTCTCATTTTATCTTTGTTTCTCCTTTTTTCTTCCCTTTTCCATTCAAGGCAGCCCATGTATGGCTGCTATTTTGCTGGGAAGATCATTGCATTGTCTATTCTCTTTTAACATTCAAACGCTCAACTTGAATTCCTGTCTGTTTAGACATCATGTGAGAATGGTACGCATTGGAGTCTGAAGACATAATTTCTTTTCTCCTCTTTCCACTCCTTTTCTCTGGCAGCCCTGCAGAATAGCTCATTGCTTTGCATTTCTAAGCATTCAAGTGTTTACAGACTCTAACGATCCTGATCTCTCACTTACTTCTTATAAGCAGAAAATGATAGCTGAGCATGGCACAGTTCCTGGTGAACCTGCTTGGAAAGCAGCAGACAAGCAATGCCAGGGTATGGAAAATAGCCATAGGTATGCACTTTGAAAGGAGCTGTCCCGTCAACTGAATTGCCACATTTAATGGTATGAGGACTGTTCAACTTTATTTTCAAGGAGAAAAGAAATTTGAAAGATGTATTTGAAAATTTTCCTGATCAGTCTCTTTTTGAAATTCAGCCTAACAGCTCATAGGAAAAAAAAAAAAAAAAGTAATACCTAATGAATTAAACAGCTGGGGCCAAATGGGAAGGGAGGGTTACTGTAGTAGGATAATTGTTCATAGAGAAACAAAGCTAAATGTCCATAGTAATTAGTACCGTATTTTTCTGTATACATTAACCCACAGAAACAGGCTCTTAAGAAGTAGTGCTGTGGTAAGAAGAATGGATTAAAATCTACAAGATACCAATTAGCATTAGACTTGTATTTCATTAGGGTACAGGCTTACATTAGCTATATCATCCCTGGGATTCCTAGACGGGAAAATGTCAATGAATATAGCTGTACTTGAAAAGGGTCCGAACTTGGAATGACTTGGGTGCAGTGGCTAGACACATGGATTAGATTCAGGATTGAAGATTATAAAATCCAAATAAACACAGGAAGTGTGGAATTGGGGTCACTGTTGGGGAGAGGAAAATCAGGCACAGGCATTGACGAAAGTACACATAATCAGGACAGTATTTACATGCCAGGCTGGATTTTAAGCACTAGGCATGAGTTGCCTCAATCCTCACACAACTCTTAGATGTGACGATTATCTCCAGTTTATAGATGAAGGAACATGCTTGGACAGTTTAGGTAACTTGCCAAGGTCACACAGAAAATCAGTGGCAGGGCCAGGGTTTGAGCCTATGCTCTTAACTCCTACAGTGTCCTTTAAGTAGGCAAATACTTTGGGAGCCCTTGTCTAGAGTTTAGAGAGTACCTCAGAGATTCATAGTGGAGGTGTATGAGTGAGGTCAGTTAGGAAACATTTGGAGGCCAGTAATGGCTTACAATTTAAACTTGTTTACTGCTTCAGTAACTGCAAGTTCAGCGCTATTGTGGGCATCATGGCTGAGTCCATGATGGCTACAGGTTCAATTCCTTGTGATCCTTTTGACTCTGCCCTCCTCTGAATGGTGGCTGGTGGGAATGTGCTGCAGCAGTTCCGGATCTTATATCAGCAAAGGAGACTGGCCAGATGAAAAGTAATGGTTGTTCCCTGGTGCTGTTCCAGAGGAGCAAGGTAAAACTTTTTTTTATGCTTAGAGCAGACCTCTACCACAATTCAGGACTCTGAATCCAATCACATTGCTAATGGCAAATAGCAATTAGTCCCATTGCTAATCCAGTTATTGACAAAGGGCATGGGATTACACCTGGACTATGAGGGGCTGGAGTGGGGCTAATCTTACCTGAGCCATATGAATTTGTGGAAGTGGGCAGAAAACTTAGATAAATTTGCAGATCCCTGAGGGAGAGGAAAGAGGAGTAGGAGTTGGGTGGCCACTCAATGGCTACTCCAGAGAGGCCAGATGTGGAACTACTGAGTATCACACAAACCCAGGGGCCCAGTTCTTAGAACTGGTGGATCTGCGTAGAGCTTGATTCAAAGTTCAGGTACTTCATTTGATACATAGCTCTAGAATGGAATAGAGTTTCTTCTCTCTCTTCTGCCTGGGGAAAATTGGTTTGAGGTAGTAACTTCCTATGACTACTAGAGCCAAGTTGATTATTACAAAAAGAGGCTGAATATTTAGCCTGTCAAGTTGGCAGGACTGGTATACTTTGGATATCACATATAAATCTCTCTTTTATTTACTATATTTCTCAAAATTTATTTTTAACTTTGGCTTCTTAGGCTTTATTTAGGGAGTGAAATTTTATCGATCAACTGATTTTTAGGGTTGTTCCTGAACATAACTGTGAAGTTGGGAAAATGTTCCTTTGGTCTCCTGTGTTGTGTTGTAGTGCAATAATGACAAATACAGTGTCCTGTATAGCCACTGCTGCCTTTGACTTCTGTGGCAGATGTCAATCATTTATCATGGTCCTGTTTCCTGCTAAGCATGGTTGTAGCTAGAAATTGTTCTCCATTCAGTGATCAAGGGAGCCACTGCATGGCTGGGACAAGAAGTGAAGATTATTTTCCATTATTGTTTGAGGATCTCTGTCTCTGGGAGGCGGCATAGGAGAGTAGGAATGTGATATTTGGCATCGAACAGGCTTGGGTTTGAATCCAGGGTTTGCCACTAACTAAGCTGGCAAATTAACTTACTTTTCTAAGCCTGTTTCCTCCTATGTAAAGTGAGATAAATAACACCAATTTTGTAGGCTGTTTTGTGATATTAAATGAGACGGAATATGTGCTATTCTTAACACATTTCATGGACCTTAAATGTTAGTTCATGTTGCCTTTCTACCAAAACTTAGACCAAGGAGAAATTATAATGAACAATTATTCTCAGCAGCATGCACGGTATTAGTGTTTAAAGGAGCGTCCCTTTAACGAAAGGAATAAACTGTCACAGTGTTTTATATATTACATTTAGAGGTTGAATATTTTGAGCAGGGGCTTCACTCACTGAAACCACTCAGACCACCACTGGTTCTGCCTAAGGACATGGCTTGATTTCAGTTTTCAAAATGACAAACTTGGCAGAGACTCATGTTTTAGGGAATTACAGAGGGAAGAGAATCCATAATTTTTACCCTTGAGGAAGTCAAAACCGAGGTACACAATGACAAATAAACATACTGTAGAATACAATTAACTAAAGCCTGGAAATAGACCCACATAGGCTAAATTATAGCTACATAAATGTATTCATTTCTAAAATATCTGCATAGGCAGGCAGATCAATGGAACAGAATAGAATCTTAAGTAGGTCCAAACACTTCAGGGAATCCAGTCTATGATAAAGGTGGCATTTTAAATCAGTGAAGAAAGATGGATTATTTAATAGATGGCATTGAGACGTTTTCAGTCATTTAGAAAAAAAATAGTTCTGTGTCTCACTCCTTGCATTAAAGTACATTCTAGATTTGCTATTTTGAATTTCTACCAAAGCTCTAAAGATAAAAAGCAAAACTAAAAAAATTTTATAAGGCATCATGAAGAAAATTTAAAGTAATCTTGGAGTGGGTAATATTTTCCTAAGTAAGAAAAAAAATCTAAGCAGATATTAGCAATAAAGGAGGTAGAGCAATAAATTTTACTATAAAATATTAAATTTATTTCATGGAAAACTACAGTAATTAAAGGCAAAAGGCAAAATTAAAAAAAAAACCTGGGCCGGATGCGGCAGCTCACGCCCGTAATCCCAGCACTTTGGGAGGCCGAGGCGGGCGGATCATGAGATCAGGAGTTCAAGACCAGCCTGGCCACCATGGTGAAACCCCGTCTCTACTAAAGATACAAAAAATTAGCTGGTGTGCTGGCGTGCGCCTGTATTCCTAGCTACTTAGGAGGCTGAGGCAGGAGAATCCCTTGAACCCGGGATGCAGAGGTTGCAGTGAGCCAAGGTCACACCATTACATTCCAGCCTGGGCGACAGGGAGAGACTCAGTCTCAAAAAACAAAACAAAACAAGAAAACCCTGTACTTTGTACACATGCATCTTCATCTCCAACTGCATTCCAGAGAGGTTGTACAAATTTTTACCACATCTGCACTGTATATGTACTATATCCCCTCTATATATGTATAAAACATTAGTATAGGCCAACAAGAAAAATATAAATGACCTCACAAAATAGGCAAAGGATATGTATGAAAGAGGAGTTCAGAAAGAAAAATACATTTTTACGCATATTAAAATATCTCAGTCTCATTCATAATTAAAGAAATACAAATTCAGACCATGAAACAATTTTTTGCCTATCATAGTGGCAATAGTTATAAAATACGGAAATTCACAGTGGCTAGGGGTGTAAGGATACAGGTACATATGCAATGCAGGTGTTGTAAAAATTGTTACACCCTCTTTGAAATGCAATTGGACAATATTATTAAAATTTAAAACATGCCAATCTTGTAAGGCCTGCTAGCAAATGTAGCAATTTGTCCTCTGATTTTAATTTCACCTGTACACAGAGAGGTCTGAAAAACAAAAGCCAGGAAACAGCCATATGTCCATCAACAGGAGACTGACTAAACAAATTTTGATGTGGTCATATAATAAATTGTTGTATTTAGTGTATCTACATATGCTGATATGGACAAATCTTCAAGATATATCATTAAGTTAAACAAAAGAAAGGTACTTAATAATGTCTATAGACGTATATTTACATGGAAAATTTCTGGAAGAGCATATGAGAAATGGTCGATGGCGTTTATCTACAGGGAGTGGGACTCAGGGACTGGGCTGAGAAGAAGACTTACTTTGCTTTGGATACCTTTTTGTGCTATTTTGAATTTCCAACTGAAAGCATGTGTTATTTTCATAATAAGTCGATGAACCAATAGAGACAGAGTGATGAGCAAACCATTGCTTAGGAATTTTTCTAAGCTAATTTCTTTTGTTCATGTTGCAATTAGTGTCTCCTTCATATCATCAAGTCAAAAACAAGAATGAATTCTTATCAGAGGGTGGGAAATATTGAAGCACTTCTGAAAAATAGGAAAGAGAGACATTCAAAGTGATACACCATGAGGGAAAAGTCTCCTGGGCAAGTTGAGCTATTTGCCAGTCCTCTCTCTCACAGTTAACAGACAGCAGGAGGGAAGAGGCCTTGGGACAATCACCAGGTACTATCTATTAGTTGCCGCAGCTGGGATGGTTGCCTCTTTCTGGACCCTTGCTTTTTTCTGAGAATGGGTCAATAATCATATGTGCTCATATTATGAGGTTACTGTGTGCACTGGATGTACAAATAAAGTCACTGTGTGTCCTGGCTCTGCAGAGGTAGAGAGGTGTCCTTGGTGGTTACTAAGATCAGGAGAATGAGGAATTCACTTCACAGAAGAGACTCTACCAATATGTCTCACTAGGTACTGCGTCTCACCATTCTTCCACAATAACCTTGGGCAGGATAGAGTAGCAAAGACATAGAACTGGCATTCTCAAAAACAAAGGTGCTTGGCCGGGCAAAGTGGCTCACACCTATAATCCCAGCACTTTGGGAGGCCAAGGCAGGCGGATCATTTGAGGTCAGGAGTTCAAAACCAGCCTGGCCAACACGGAGAAACCCTGTCTCTACTAAAAATGCAAAAATTAGCTGAGCATGGTGGCACATGCCTGTAATCCCTGCTACTGGGGAAGCGGAGGCAGGAGAATCAATTGGCCCTGGGAGATGGAGGCTGCAGTGAGCCAAGATCGTGCCACTGCACTCCAGCCTGTGTGACAAAGTGAGACTCTGTATCAAAAAAAAAAAAAAAAAAAAAAGGTGCTCAAATAACACTGACTCATTGAACACTTGAAAACAAGCAACTCCTTTCCCCACCGCCAAAGAGCGCCTTGCTCTTTGGCTCCCTGAGTTAGTCCAGTTGTTTGCGATCGCCGACGCTGTGGCTGTGAACCGAGGGGCTCACGCCGCCTGGGTTTCTACCTCATCCGTAGGTGTGGCCCGATGGTGCAGCAGGCTCTGAACTCCTAAAGCTCTGGAGCAAATTTAAAATTTTATTCATGTGCATGGCATAGAAGATGAATTCTTCCACCTCCACCATGAATGAAGAGTCTGATACTCTATCGGTAGTTAACCAGTTAGGGGATATAGCAGCAGATCCATTAAACAGAAGAGCTGTAGTCCAGGATCAGGGATGTCTGCCTTGCCTTATTTTATTTATGGACCACCCCAACCCTCCAGTCCATTTGGCTTTGCTCGCTCTTTGATACTTGGGAGAACACCGTGCAAACAGAGAAAAGATGAAAGGAGAACTGGGTATGATGTTGAGCCTACAAAATGTTATACAGAAAACTGCAACTCTGGGAGAAACAAAACTTCTGGCCTCTGAAATCTATGACATACTTCAGTCCTCCAATAAGGCAGATGGTGATAGTTTCAATGAAATGAATTCATATTGAAGGAAAGCTCAGTTTTTTCTGGGAACTGCAAACAAACGTGCCAAAACAGTGGTTTTGCATATAGACGGCCTTGATGATACGTCTTCGAGAAATCTATATGAAGAGGCTTTGTTAAAAATTAAAGGTGTTATTAGCTTTACTTTTCAAATGGCTGTTCAAAGGCTTGGTGTGAATCCGTTCAGATTTGAAAGCTGAGGCTTTCGCATCAGCGAGAGCATCAACCAAGGTTATGAAAGCTCCGTAAGTTGTGAAAAGTGAAAGTGGAGAAGAGATGCTGGTCCCATTCCAAGACCTTCCTGTGGTAGAACAGAACACAGAGCTACCTGACTACCTGTCTGAAGATGAGAGTCCCACAAATGAACAGTACAAGGTGGTGTCCTGGGTCTTCAGCTCACACCCAGTGGGTGGAACTAGCTGGCTGAGCACAGCTGCAAACTTTTTATCCAGATCGTTTTATTGGTGACTTCAATTTGGGGTTCAAGGACTGTGTGAACCAACCAGGGGCCAGTTTTCCATTGTTGTGGTGAACTGTCAAGTGCAATTTGCAATGGGTTATCATGAAAAGCTTTTAGATTACATGATTGCATATGCTGCATTTTACATTTTATTGGACATTTTACCCCACTGAGTGGTAAAAAGAACAGAGGCTGTGGATGGAGTTGCTTTGTTTATGAAAGTATTTTGTTTTTTCTCTTTCATTTAATTGCCTTATATTTTATAAACCATGGGTCCGCTGTTAAAACCAAACATGGGAGGAGGTTCCAAGATGGCCGAATAGGAACAGCTCCAGTCTACAGCTCCCAGTGTGAGCGACACGGAAGACGGGTGATTTCTGCATTTCCGACTGAAGTACCAGGTTCATCTCAATGGGGCTTGTCGGACAGTGGGTGCAGCCCACGGGGTGTGAGCCAAAGCAGGGCGGGGCATCACCTCACCCGGGAAGCGCAAGGGGTCAGGGCATTCCCTTTCCTAGCCAAGGGGAGCCATGACAGATGGTACCTGGAAAATTGGGACACTCCCTCCCTAATACTGTGCTTTTCCAACAGTCTTAGCAAATGGCACACCAGGAGATTATATCTCTGATGAACATCAGTGCAAAAATCCTCAATAAAATACTGGTAAACCAAATCCAGCAGCACATCAAAAAGCTTATCCACCATGATCAAGTTGGCTTCATCCCTGGGATGCAAGGCTGGTTCAACATACACAAATCAATAAACGTAATCCATCATGTAAACAGAACCAAAGACAAAAACCACATGATTATCTCAATAGATGCAGAAATCTCCTTTGATAAAATTCAACAGCCCTTCATGCTAAAAACTCTCAATAAACTAGGTATTGATGGGATGTACCTCAAAATAATAAGAGCTATTTATGACAGACCCACAGCCAATATCATACTGAATGGGCAAAAACTGGAAGCATTCCCTTTGAAAACTGGCACAAGACAGGGATGCCCTCTCTCACCACTCCTATTCAACATATTGTTGGAAGTTCTGGCCAGGGCAATCAGGCAGGAGAATGAAATAAAGGATATTCAATTAGGAAAAGAGGAAGTCAAATTGTCCCTGTTTGCAGATGACATGATTGTATATTTAGAAAACCTCATTGTCTCAGCCTAAAATCTCCTTAAGCTGATAAGCAACTTCAGCAAAGTCTCAGGATACAAAATCGATGTGCAAAAATCACAAGCATTCCTATACAGACAAACAGAGAGCCAAATCATGAGTGAACTCCCATTCACAATTGCTTCGAAGAGAATCAAATACCTAGGAATCCAACTTACAAGGGATGTAAAGGACCTCTTCAAGGAGAGCTACAAACCACTGCTCAACAAAATAAAAGAGGACACAAACAAATGGAAGAACATTCCATGCTTGTGGATAGGAAGAATCAATATTTTGAAAATGGCCATACTGGCTAAAGTAATCTGCAAAGAACTTAAACAAATTTACAAGAAAAAATCAAACAACCCCATCAAAAAGTGGGTGATGGATATGAACAGACACTTTTCAAAAGAAGACATTTATGCAGCCAACAGACACATGAAAAAATGCTCATCATCACTGGCCATCAGAGAAATGCAAATCAAAACCACAATGAGATACCATCTCACACCAGTTAGAATGGCAATCATTAAAAAGTCAGGAAACAACAGGTGCTGGAGAGGATGTGGAGAAATAGGAACACTTTTACACTGTTGGTGGGAGTGTAAACTAGTTCAACCATTGTGGAAGACAGTGTGGCGATTCCTCAAGGATCTAGAACTAGAAATACCATTTGACCCAGCCATCCCATTACTGGGTATATACCCAAAGATTACAAATCATGCTGCTACAAAGACACATGCACATGTATGTTTATTGTGGCACCATTCACAATAGCAAAGACTTGGAACCAACCCAAATGTCCAACAATGATAGAATGGATTAAGAAAATGTGGCACATATACACCATGGAATACTATGCAGCCATAAAAAGGATGAGTTCATGTCCTTTGCAGGGACATGGATGAAGCTGGAAATCATCATTCTGAGCAAACTATCACAAGGACAGAAAACCAAACACTGCATGTTCTCACTCATAGGTGGGAATTGAACAACGAGAACACTTGGACACAGGAAGGGGAACATCACACACCGCGGCCTGTCGTGGGGTTGGGGGAGGGGAGAAGGGGGAGGGATAGCATTAGGAGATACACCTAATGTAAATGACTAGTTAATGGGTGCAGCATACCAATATGGCACATGTATACGTATGTAATAAACCTGCACATTGTACACATGTACCCTACAACTTAAAACATAATAATAAAAAAAAACAAACAGATATGTACAGCTTTACATTTTATTTTACATGAAGTGCGTCATTAGGAAAACTCGTTCTCTCCTCAAGCCTCAGGACCTACCTGAAGAGAAGTTTTCTTGTAGCTCAATTTGTGCATCAATTACCGAATATTTTACTCTATGAAAGATACATGTTTTACTGTGAAAGGTACATGCTTTTGTACTCTTCACTGAAAGCTGAAAACATTTCTTGTTACCCTCTTTTGTGCCTTCTTATTTTGCCAACCATGTTTATAGAAAGGACATTACTAATGACATTTTGCAAATTAAAAACATTCATTTGAACATAGTAGTCCCCTAGAAAAAGAACTCTACAAAAATTTTGCAGGCTTATTCATTATAATTTTAATAAAATTAACACAAAATCTGTCAAGAAGGAGGAAACATGTATGTTAGCAAAGTGTTTTTGGAGACTATTCGAATGTGACCAAATGTGGTTCTAGTTGACTTCTTTTCACTTTGGTTTATATCAGCTCTTGAGAGTTAAGTCTGACCATGATATTGCAAACAACTGTAAATGGTCTCTAGGCCTTACTTTGTGATTATACATTATCTCCTGCTAGAAAAAAATAATGGTATAAAGAACTGACATACTGAAAAAAACAAAAATCAAATGCCTATAATACCATAACGCCATTTTGGTATAGAGTCTAACTTTAAAACATGAATTGCTTGACAGAAGCCTATTCAGTAGATGTTTCTTTGTATTGCCTTTTGTGAATTTATTATGAAAATGCTGCAGTTGTATTGAATGAAAAAGACCCAAATTATTGCTTATGAAGAAATAAAGCCAGCATTGATCACTTAATCCTGTTTTTTATGACTAGCCAGAAAAAAAGAACTTCAGTGAAGTTAAGATAAATAAATACATATACATATAATTTTTTTGGCAGATAAGTGCTAATTACATATATGTGATGCCTTATTAAATTTCTGAAATATTTGGTAACTAAAATTTTCCTTTTGGAAATTAATTAAATCCAGATATATGTTAATATGGTATGACTAAAAACAAATAGGAAGAAATTGAAATTCCTTTTCATCCACATGTAGAGCTACTATTTTACTATTTGGAGAATGTGATGTGAAAATTGGACCCTAAAGGGTTTTCTTGTGTTTTCATTGTAAAATACCATCACCAGTGAGAGCCTTGAGTTCACTAACATTGTGACCTTCTGGAGGGAGAGTTACTGGGGGTTATTGAGGATGATATTTTTTTCATGTGTCTTGTTTCTGATTCAAGTGACATGCACAAACTGAAAAAAAAAACTTTCAGGGCACCTATTGCTCTAAATGCATAATATAACTTGCTGCCAGAACCAGATGTGTTGAAAAAAAGAAAATAAAACCACCTTCTTTCTATAGCCACTAAAGCAAAGTTTGCTGTTGTAACGAATTTGTATTTTATTTTTCATTGCCACACATCTGCTTATTTAAAAACTATATCCCTTTGGTAGTAATTGTTCAGGACAAGTAGGTATTACAACTTGATGTTTGTGTGTTCTAATTCTAAGTGTTCTTTTATTCCAGATCATATAGAGCAGTAAAGGCAACTGTAACAGCATTTTTTGAAATACATATTTTGAAACTGTAAAATAATAAAAGGTAACATAATTAAAATTGAGTGGATATTAAAAAAAGAAGCATCTCTATATTTGAGACACTAAATACACTAGAAGAACTAGTATCTAAGAAAAACAGTTAAGATAGCAAACAGAAGTATTAGAGTAAACATAATTAATATCTTCAGGGCTATGCAATGGAATTTCAAGGATATTGCAACCATGAGCCATAAAGTACATTAAATTGAAATATATTTGTTGAAATAAAGTCATATGGTAAATTTTTCTTAGTTTTATGAGTAATTAATTTTTTCATTAATTCAACAAATACGTTGTCTATACTCATTGTTAGGCACAGCAATATCTTGTTATGTGTAATAATAGTATACTTTTCTATAAGTTTGCAAAGGATTTTTCTCATTAGCTCCTGATAACATCCCTGTAAAGTGAACAGGGCAGGGCAGGGCAGCTTTTATAGTTCATTTTACGCATCAGGGGATGTGGGTTGGAACAGAGTTAAATGTCTTGCTTACAATGAAACAATCAGTGACAAAGCTGAAATTCACATCCAGGATTTAAAATTTCAAATACATAGCTCTTCTAAATTACATGGCTACTGCAGGAAATGTAATGCCTATTCAACTTTATAGAGTGAAATAGCCACTATGACATTTTCTGAGGTCAGGGTACAATGGCACCGAGAAGATGTGCATGTGAAGAATTATTGGATTTTTGTTTTCTACTTGTATTTTTGAAACATCACCAAGCACAAGATTTCTAGAGGCAGCTTCTAGGTATACATAACAACTTGGATTTATGGTCTCAGGAAATAACACAGTAGAAAACTTAGGGACATGACTTTTTAAAAAGTTTTGTAGGCTGTCTGTTTCAGCCTGAAAGAAGTAGGTCATGAGGGTGGCCACAGATTTATCAAGGTATTTAAGATTTTTTTATTTCAGCTGAAACTCTGCTTATCCCCAGATTTTGCCAGTGATGGCATGAACTAGGACTAAGGAAAATCTCCTGATCCACCCGTGTTTGTGTGTTAGGACTTATTAGATGCCTGAAGCTCCAGTTTGCGAGGATACTGGGGTAGCAGTTCAACCTGATCGCAAATGTTCTTATCCCCATGGACATCTTCCAGGAGTAAAATAGTTTCCTCCAATTCTATCTGGATTCTGAGAGCTTGTAGATAGACCCAGCCTTTGCAGGTGATGCAGCACAATGGATGAGCTTGGTGCCATTGAACTGTAAAGTACCATGAAGAGTGTCTGAAAGTTGAAATTAACTTTTTATTAGCATGACACAGCTGTGGGCTGTTTCATCTTGTCAGCAGCAAATTTCTGGTTCTCTCACTTGCCTTTTCATAGACCTCACATTGGTTCACCTCCAGCTATTCCTGCCGTTCTAACAGGCACTGTCCTGCTCCTTGTCCGCTTTTTCTAGTCCTACCGCTTCTTTTTGTGCCTTTTTGATGTTTCAAAAGAAGCGTGGAATGTGATAGACCTTTCATTTTCAAATGTGCTTTTACTGGCTTTGATGCTGCATCAGAGCAATAGCCTGGAAAGATTGGGTGAAGGAGAAATGGGGGACCAGCTCTCCAAAGGGCTGAGTGAATAACCTCAGATATGCTATATTTTCCTATCTATGTCAAGAATGTGGGTTAAACAATAAGTCTTTGCTTCCCTACATTTTGCAAGCCACCTGTCAGGTTTGTTGTCTGGATACCTAACAAAATATAGGCCTCCACTGATCAGACTTGACCAGATTTGAAGTGGAATAATCCTTGATTTAGCAGCATAGCAATGCACACTTTCTTCTTTGTTTCTCTCTTCTGAATAATTAGGGTTAGGGAGGCAGTTCATGCTTTGTCTTCTATGTACCTTGTCTTTCTCCATTTGGCCACTCTAATAGGCATCTTGCTTTTGCCTGTGAGCATTTAAAGCCATAACCTTTTGAAAGAAATAAGCTGAAACAGCTGAGAATGTATGAATATTTGCTCTGCTACGCAGTTTTGATTTCTGGAACATCATGTTTCAAATTGCAGTGGAAACAAAAGGCCTCTTTATGACATCCAGTAATCACACATTTTGTTCTCAAAAGATTTGTTAAACTTAAGATGCTATAGAAGGTCATTTAATGATTAAGGTAGAACAACAAAAAAATTAAAAATTCATCATACATTATCAATATTTTTGGTTTAAAATATCCAGTTATTTGTCTTTTCTGTGATTTTAGCTATGTGGAAAAGAAAAGTATTGCACTCTGCCTTGTGGAGCCGGGTTAGTGAGAGTGAAAAAGTTCTTCTCTAAAGGATATAAAGATATCTGCATTGATACCATTTGAATTCCATTATTTGAACAACTATAATCTCACACAGTACATTCATCAAAAAGTTGAATTCACAATTAAAACTAGAGGCAAACCTCATAGGCCTAAATTACTCTAAGGATAGGAGAGTTTAGATTGTCTTGTATTTAGACTTCAACCATCACTTCATTAGGTTGTCCCAAGTTCATTGAGTATTCTTGTCACCTTAAAAACAATGGCTCATTTATCTCATAGGAATCTAGGAAGAATATACATCAGGCAAGTTAAATGAAAACACAGTCTAATTGCCTAAGGAAAATATACTCAATTTATTTAAATTACTGTTTTGTTCTCCACGCATTCTAAAGGAGAATATGACATAGAATTGAGATGAGGGTCTTTTAGTTCCTTTATTCCTTGTCGGAAATATCCTAGAACAGTTAATTTGGTGAATATGTGATTTTAAAAATATGTATTTAATAAACATAACAGAAATATGTTCTAGAACCAACTGTAAATTAGATAGAATAGGTTTGCTTGTGAGAAATGCAGCTCTTCAGAATATACCAGCACTGGAGCCCTTGATATCTTTATTTTTTTGTGTCATCTCACAAGGCAGAGATGATAAGGATTTGTAGATCTGAGTTTCTCAGGGTATGGACCCCTCCATCACCTAATGGCTTTTCCCTTACTGATTAAGGCTACCCAATTAAAAAAATCCCCTGAATAGTTGTATTGTTGACTATAAAGCAGAGATCTGGTTGTATATAGTGTTTTTGTTGAATATTTTTGTTAGCTTTAAATTCTGTTTAATATTTTAAGGACTGAGTTTCACATTTATGGCACATTATATAGCAGATATAATAGACATTAAAGAGTTAGGCACAGACATTTTATAACTGGAAGCCTGGTCATTCACCTTGTGGAGTTAGAGATACAGAATATGAAATAAAATACCGTAACTATGGAGAGGAATATCAATTGCAAACAATGTTCTGCTCCAAAAACTATGGAGACCAATTATGCATTTGGGCTTTTGGTTCAGATTATTCCATGTTTAACAAGTGAGCTAGCTTGTTTTCCCTAAGTGCTTCTAGGAATTCTCCTTAAAGAAAAGCACAAAATTGGGAATATAAGAGAGTATAAGGACTAGAGGTCAAATATTTAAAACTGAAAATTAGCTAACTTAAAAATGGTTCGATAAATTCCATTTAGAATGCTGCCCTTGAGATGTGGCTTATTCCATTTACTTTGAATATTTCAGATTATATGTTGAGAAGTGACATTGACTTTAAGTTCTAAAGGTGAATGCGTACTTTAGTTATGCTTGATTTTGAAGAATGTGCCTCATAATTTGAGAGCTTCTCATATATGTTTTTAGTTCTTTTAAAAAAATTACAATGAAGTCATACCTTGGAGATATTGCTGGTTTGGTACCAGGCCCCCACAATAAAGCAAATATTGCAGTAAAGTGAGTCACCTGAATATTTCGGTTTCCCGGTGCATATAAACATGTGTATAAATGATATGTTTACACTATATTGTCTATTAAGTGTGTAATAGCATTATATCTAAAAGACAATGTACATATCTCAATTAAAAGTACTTTATTACTAAAAAATGCTAACGTTCATCTGAGCTATCAGTGAGCCATAATAATTTTGCTGGTGGAAGGTATTCCCTTGATGTCAATGGCTACTGACTGATGAGAATGGTGGTTGCTGAAAGCTGGGGTGGCTGTGGCAATTTCTTAAAATAAGACAACAATTAAGGTTGCTGAATTGATTGACTTTTCCTTTTATGAAAGATTTCTCTGTTGCATGTGATGCTGTGTGATTGCATTTTACTCACAGAAGAACTTTCAAAATTAGTCATTGTTCTCAAACCTTGCCACTGCTTTATCAATTAAGTTTATATAATATTCTAAATACTTTGTTGTCATTTCAAGAATGTTCACAGTATCTTCATCAGGAGTAGGTTTCATCTCAAGAAACCATTCTTTGCTCACTCATTACAAGCATCTCCTTCTCCATTATTTTATCATGAGATTGCAGCAATTCAGTCACATCTTCAGGTTTCACTTCTAATTCTAGTTCTCTTGCAATTTCTACCACATCTGCAATAACTTATTCCACTGACGTCTTGAACCCTTCAAAGTCATCTATGTGAGTTGGAGTAAACTTCTTCCAAATTCCTGTCAATGTTGACATTTTGACCTCCTCCCATGAAGTACGAGTGTTCTTAATGGCATCCAGAATAGTGAATCCTTTCTAGAAGGTTTTCAGTTTACTCTTTCCAGATCCATCAGAGGAATCACCATCTGTGGCAGCTATAACCTGATAAATGTATTTCTTAAATAATTGAATCCCTGAATAGACCAATAACAAGTTCTGAAATTGAGGCAGTAATAAATAGCCTACCAACCAAAAAAATAAAAAAAAGCCCTAGGACCAGACAGATTCACAGCAGAATTTCCATCACAGGCACAAAGAAGAGCTGGTACCATTTCTGGTGAAATGATTTCAAAACATTGAAAAGGAGGGACTCCTCCCTAACTATTTCTATGAGGCCAGCATCATCCTGATACCAAGACCTGGCAGAGACACAACAACAAAAAAGAAAACTTCAGGCCAATATCCTTGATGAACGTCAATGCAAAAATCCTCAATAAAATACTGGCAAACCAAATTCAGAAGCACATCAAGAAGCTTATCCACCACAATCAAGTTGGCTTCATCACCAGGATGCAAGATTGGTTTAACATACACAAATCAATAAAAGTGATTCATCACATAAACAGAACTAACAACAAAAACCACATGATTATCTCAATAGATGCAGAAAAAGCCTTACATAAAATTCAACATCCCTTCATGTTAAAAACTCTCAATAAACTAGGTATTGAAGGAACATACCTCAAAATAATAAGAGCTATATATGACAAACCCACAACCAACATCATACTGAATGGGCAAAAGCTGGAAGTATTCCCCTTGAAAACCAGTACAAGACAAGGATGTCCTCTTTCACCACTCCTTTTCAACATAGTATTGGAAGTTCTGGCCAAGGCAATCAGGCAAGAGAAAGAAATAAAGCGTATCCAAATAGGAAGAGAGAAAGTCAAATTATCTTTGTTTGATGATGACGTGATCTTATATCTAGAAAACACCATTGTCTCAGCCCAAAAGCTTCTTAAACTGATAAGCAACTTTAGCAAAGTCTCAGGATATAAAATCAATGTGCAAAAATCGCTAGCATTCCTACACACCAACAGGCAAGTAGAGGGCCAAATCATGAAAGAACTCCCATTCATAAATGCTACCAAAATAAGATACCTAGGAACACAGCTGACAAGGGAAGTGAAGGACATCTTCAAGGAGAACTACAAAACACTGCTCAAAGAAATCAGAGAGGACACAAACAAATGGAGAAACATTCCATGCTCATGAATAGGAAGAATCAATATCATGAAAATGGCCATACTGCCCAAAGTAATTTATAGATTGAATGCTATTGCCATTATACTACTATTGATATTCCTCATAAAATCAGGAAAAACTGTTTTAAAATTCATGTGGAATTAAAAAAGAGTCCAAATAGCCAAGACAATTCTAAGCACAAAGAACAAAGCTGGAGGCATCATGCTACCTGACTTCAAATGATACTATAAGGCAATAGTAACCAAAACAGCATGGTGCTAGTACAAAAACAGAAATATAGACCAATAGAACAGAATACAGAACTCAGAAATAAGACAACACACCTACAACCATCTGATCTTTGACAAACTGGACAAAAACAAGCAATGGGGAAAGGATTCCCTATTTAATAAATGGTGCTGGGAGAGCTGGTTAGCCAAATGCAGAAGATTGAAACTGGACCCCTTCCTTATGCCATATACAAAAATTGACTCAAGATGGATTAAAGACTTAAGCCCAAAACCCTAAACTATAAAAACCCTAGAAGAAAATCTAGGCAATACCATTCAGGACATAGGCACAGGCAAAGATTTCAAGTGTAACAAAAGCAGAAATTAACAAATGGGATCTATTTAAACTACAGAGCTTCTGCACAGCAAAAGAAACAATCATCAGAGTGAACAGATGACCTACAGAATGGGAGAACATTTTTGCAATCTATCCATCAGACAAAGGTCTAATATTCAGAGTCTGTAAGGAACTTAAACAAATTTACAAGAGAGAAACAACCCCATTACAAAGTGGGCAGAGGCCATGAACAGACATTTCTCAAAAGAAGACATACATGTGGCCAACAAACATGAAAAAAAGCTCAACATTACTGATCATTAGAGAAATGCAAATCAAAACTACAATGAGATACCATCTCACACCAGTCAGGATGGCTATTATTAAAAAGTCAAAAAACAACAGATGCTGGCAAGGTTATGGAGAGACAAGAATGCTTTTACGCTGTTGGTGGGAGTGTGAATTAATGCAACCATTGTGGAGAAAATTCTTCAAAAACCTAGCGGCAGAAATACCATTTGCCCCAACAATGTTATTACTGGGTATATACCCTAAGGAATAGAAATCATTCTATTATAAAGATACATGCATAGTATGTTCATTACAGCACTATTCACAATAGCAAAGAAATGGGATCAACCTATATGCCCATCAGTGATAGACTGGATAAAGAAAATGGGGTACAAATATATCATGGAATACTATTCAGCCATAAAAAGGAAGGAGATCATGTCCTTTGTAGGGACATGAATGGAGTTGGAAGGCCTTATCCTCAACAAACTAATGCAGGAACAGAAAACGAAGCACTGCATGTTCTTACTTATAAGTGGGAGCTGAATGATGAGAACACATGGACACATGAGCAGGAACAACACACACTGGGGCCTGTTGGTGGGGTAGGGGTGGGAGATCATCAGGAAGAATAGCTAATGGATGCTGGGCTTAATACTTAGGTAATAAAATGATCTGTGCAGCAAACCACCATGGCACATATTTACTTGTGTAACAGACCTGCACATCCTGCACGTGTACCCCTGAACTTAAAAATAAAAGATGAGAAAAAAAAGAAAGTTAAAATAACTCCTTGATCCATGGGCTGCAGAATGCATGTTGTGTTAGCAGGTGTGAAAAAATTCTCCTTGTATATCTCCTTTAGTTTTTTTATGACCAGGTGCATTGCCAATGAGTAGTCATATTTTGAAAAACATTTCTTTAAGTAGTTGGTCTCAACAGTAGATTTAAAGTATTCAGTAAATATTAAAATATTAAGCCATGCTATAAAGAGATGTGTTATCAAACAGGCATTGTTGTTAGGTTTATAGAGCACAAGCAGAATAGATTTACCATAATTCTTAAGGGCCCTAGATTTTCAAAATGGTAAATGAGCATTGTCTTCAATTGTAAGTCATCAGGTGCATTAGCTCCTAAGAAGAGAATTACCCTGACCTTTGAAGCTTTGAAACCAAGCATTGACTTCTAGCTATGAAAGTCCTAGATGGCATCTTCTTCCAATAGAAGGCTATTTTGTCTACATTGAAAATCTCTTTTTTTTTTTTGAGATGGAGTTTCGTTCTGTCACCCAGGCTGAAGTGCAGTGGCGTGATCTCGGTTCACTGCAACCTCTGCCTCCCGGGTTCAAGCAGTTCTCCTGCGTCAGCCTCCCAAATAGCTGAGATTACAGGCACCCACCACGATGACTGGCTAATTTTTGTATTTCTTTAGTCAAGACGGGGTTTCACCATGTTGGCCAGGCTGGTCTTGAACTCCTGACCTTAAGTTATCCACCCACCTCGGCCTCCCAGAGTGCTGGGATTACATACATCAAAAATCTTTTGTTTAGCGTAGCCACCTCCATCAATTATCTTAGATAGATTTTCTGGATAATTTGCTGCAACTTCTGCATTAGCACTGCTGCTTCACCTTACACTTTTACATCATGAAGCAACCTCTCTGCTAGTTTTAAACTTTTCTTCTGCAGCCTCTTCACCTCTCTTAGTCTTCATAGAGTTGAAGAGAGTTAGGGCCTTTCTCTGGATTAGGCTTTGGTTTAAGGAGATGTTGTAGCTGGTTTGATCTTCTATCCAGACCACTAAAATGTTTCCCCTATCAACAATAAGGTTGTTTCTCTTTCTTATCATTTGTGTGTTCACTGGAGTAGCACATTTAATTTCCTTTAGGAAATTTTCCTTCACATTCACAACTTGGCTGTTTGGCACAAGAGGTCTAGTGCTCCGCTTATCTCAGCTTTTGACAAGCCTCAATCATTAGGCTTAATCATTTCTAGCTTTTGACTTAAAGTGAGAGAGATGTCACTCTTCCTTTCACTTGAACACCTAGAGGCCATTGTATGGTTATTAACTGGCCTATTTTCAATATTGTTGTGTCCTAGAGAATAGAGAGGCCTGAATAGAGGGAGAGAGATAAGGGAAGAGCCAGATAGCAGAGCAGTCAGAACACACACATTTATTAAGTTCACTGTCTTATATGGTTGCAGCTTGTGGTGCCCCAGAACAATTATAATAGTAACCTCAAAAATCACTGATTACAGATTACCATAACAGATATAACAATAATGAAAAAGTTGGAAATATTGCAAGAATTACCAAAATGTGACACAGAGACAAGAAGTAAGCAAACGCTGTTGGAAAAGTGGTGCTGATAGACTTGCTTGACATGAGTTGCCACAAATCTTTAATCTGTAGAAAAAAAATGCTATATCTGTGAAGTGCAATAAAGCAAAGTGCAATAAACCGAGGTGTACCTGTATATGTCTTCTCATTGTAGATGATATATACAATGAAGAGTATGCAAAACAAAATGCTAAGCCTCTCTTCTGCTTTCCACCCTTCTATTCCATATTCTTTCCTAACTATAACTCCTATAACTAGTGTTACAGATTCTTGCATCCTCTTTTCTATTTATGAATATGGATTCATACACATTGTTATATGAAAACTTATGCATACAAATAAATGTCTATTAGAGTTCTCCAGAAAAACAGAACCAATAAAAATATATATACACACACATATATATGTGTCTGTCTATATATGTGTATGTGTGTATATGCATATATATATGTGTATGTGTGTGTGTTTGTGTATTTAAAAAACAGTCATGATGTTTTGTTCAACAATGGACCACATATACAACAGTGGTACCATAAGATTATAATGAAGCTGAAATTTCCTATCACATAAATGCTATGTTACTATTTCCTTACACTATTCAGCACAGTAACATTTGTACAGATTTGGAGCCTAGGAGCAATAGCCTAGGCTATATGCTGTGGGCTATTGCTCCTAGGTTCCAAATCTGTACAAATGTTACTGTCGTGAATAGTACGTAGTAGGCTATATCATCTAGGTTTATATAAATACACTCTATGCTGTTCATACAATGGCAAAACCACCTAATGATGCACTTCTCAGAATGTATCCCTCTCAGCTGATGCACGTGTGTGTGTGTGTGTGTGTGTGTGTGTGTGTATACACTAAAGCAATTTATAAGGTATTGGCTCATGTAATTATGGAGGTTGAGGGCTCCCATGATCTGCTGTCTGCAAGCTGAAGACCCAGGAAGGCCAGTGGTGTAGTCTGAAGATTTGAGACCTGGAGAGCCAATAATGTAGATTTCAGTTCATGTCTGAAGATGTGAGAGCCAGGAGTATCAAGGGCAAGAGGAGATTGATGTTCCAGCTCAAGCATTTAGGCAGAGAGGGAGTGCCAATCATCCCTTCCTCTACCATTTTTTTCTATCCAGAGCCTCAATGCATTGGATGATGCCCATCCACATTGCGCAGAGTAATCCTCTTTACTCAGTCTACAGATTTAAATGCTAATCTCTTTTGAAAACACTCTCACAGACACACCCAGCAATTATGTTTAACCAGATACCTGGACATCCTGTAATTCAGTCACATTAACGATAAAATTAACTATCATGACATGAATATTTTAAAAATACATGGGATTAAATATGTAAATTTTGGTCTGTGATTTGCAACTTGCTGTTGTTTTTTTCTTAATATCATGCCGTATTTTTCTGTATTGGCCTATTTAGGGTCACCTCTATTTTTTTTTCACTGACTGTATAGTGTTCCATGGCATGAATGTGTCATAATTTATTTAACCACTCCCTTTTTTGTGATCATTAGGATGTTTCTATTTTTTTTTCTTTTTTAGCATTTCAAAACAATGACAAAATTAACATAAATGTGTGTGCATCTTTTATGTACTTAAAAGAGAATTTCTTTTGGATAGATTCCTAGAAATGGAATTGCCCAGTCAAAGAGCACACATGATTTAAGACTGGATAAATTCTGCTGGAGTTGATATTCAGCTGGTGCATACTGGGGACAGTGTGTTGGCAGGACCTTAACAACCGGTGGTATCTGACATCTGTTCGGAAGAGCTAATGCCCGTGCCAAACTGGATGTTAAATTCTTGAATTTTATTCCTGACATTGCCTTTCAAAAAGATTTCATTAATTTATACTCATTTCAAAAGTGTACAAAAATGCCTGTTTCTTGCATTTCTCACACATACTTAATTTTTTTAACTGTTGCCAATCTGAGAGATAAAAAATGATAAAAAGGAGTTGCTGTTCAATAGATAAGTTTCAGTTATGCAAGACGAATAACTTCCAGAGATCTGCTGTACAGCATTGTGCCTGTAGTTAGCAATACTGTATTGTGCACATATAAATTTGTTAAGAGGGTAGATGTCATCCTAAGTGTTCTTACCACAATAATACCCACCCCCTGATATTTTATTCTAAAACTTTGTAGTTCCCTAATAATCGGTGAGGTGGTTTCATCTCGTAAGTTTGTTGGTCATTGCTGTTTCTTCTGGGAATTGCCTATTCATTTTTTGTGTTATTTTCTACTGGGCTGTTTGGCTTTCTTTAATAAAAGGTCAAGTAATTTTTATATATTATAGATCTTCAGCTTTTGTAGAATATGCTACAGATGTTTTCTCTCTGTCAGTCACTTGTCCCGGACTCAGTTTTTAGTCTTTGTTATAAACAGGCTTTTAATTTTTATGAGCTAAAAACTGTCAGTTTATGCTTTAGGACGTTTCTTCTTTACAGCTTGCTTAGGGAGGCCTTTTACTTTCTAAAATTATAAAAATATCCTTCTGAATTTCCCCCTAACAAATGCACACACAAATTTAGTTCTTTAATCCATCTGTAGTTTGTAAATGCTGTATTCAATGTTGCAGCCCTAGTTGTGGAACTGGGATCTAAATTTATTTTTTCCTTACAAACAGTTGATTGTCTTATACCATTTATTGAATAGTCCATGTCCTCCCTTCATTTTAAATATCAATTTTATTATAAATTTTATAACTAAAATTCCCATGTATGTGTGGGTATGCTTCTGGTCTCTATTCTATTGACTTGTTTTTTAATTTCTTCATGATACCAAATTGTCTCAATTAGTAGAATATTTTAGTATGGTTTGCTATCTGGAGGGCAATATCTGCAGATGTTCAGTATAAACTTGGACTTTTTCTTGATTTAATTGTGTCTTCATATCTCAATTATCTAAAACAGTATTTTTGTTTTTTCCACTATTTTTCAGTTTTCTAGCTTTCAGCAGCTGAATTCTGATTGTACTCACTTGTCCCCAGTGCTTCAAATTTTTCATTGTTTTCCTACTTAAGTTGGTATTTCTGGGCACAAGTTGCTTCTTCTCCTGTGGCTAAGTGTTTTATTGGTGGAGATATTAATGAATTAAGTTATAGGCAAGAATATTTTTTATAAAATATTATGAAATATTATGATTTTGTATAATAGTTTACAATGTTACAAAAGATTATTAGCTTGAGTTTTTAGGTTCACCTGATTCTTTTTGCCAGCCATGTAGTATTACATGGTATGAATGCTCCATAACTTATTCAACCACTCTATTTTTAGTGATTATTATATTTGCCTCAATTTTTCAAAATTTTCTTTTCCAAATAATGATGAAAAAAATCAATGTACATACATCTTTGTGCACTTAAAATGAGAATTTCTTTGGGATAGGTTCCTAGAAATGGAACTGCTGGGTCAATGAAATAAATGTCTGTGTTATTACAAGAGCAATGCTAATTACATTTAAGATAGCTAAGTCTTTTCTTCCTCGCCCTCTCTTTTTGAGAAACTGGCTTCCAAGTAACAATGAGGCTGAAGACAAAAGTGCAGAAATGTACTTATGAAACTCTAGGACGGAGGTAGAACCTGATATCACCCTAAGTGAGGATAAACAGGCGACGGAAGGGTGGAGGCTGACATGGTAGAGCCAGGGAAGACAATGTGGGCAGGGAGAATGGTGGCAAGAGAAAAGCTGAGTCCTCGAGGCTTTGAGAGGCACAAGGAGAACTGAGCCAGAGCAGCTCCAGACTTGGAGCTCAGGCAAATGGAAGGTGGAGGAGATCCTGACTGAGCACAGGGGGACTAAGTAACTGGTGAGGCCCCCACCGCCTCCCAAGTGTGCTCCCAGAATGCCTGCAGTTTGCTGCCCACAGAGGAGATTGTGGTGTCTTCAGAGAGAGCCGTCCTAGGAGAAAATACCTGACAAAATAGGCATCTGAAGCCTTGCATGCACTGACACCTCCACCAAATTCCAGACACGTGTTTATCTCCACCAGATGTTCCTTACATATCTCAAAATCCAAATCTGTACTCTATTTTGCCTCTTAAATCTGCATTTTATACCCATTTTAATAGTAATACTGCCATCAGGCTAGTCTCTCAAGCCAGAAAACCCGGTCATCATTGATTCCCTCTTTGTACTTCTCAGTAATGGAGTCTGTTAATTTTCAGTCCTTAAGAATCCTCCACATCTGTCCTGAGGACAACTTCCACTTTAGTACATGGCACAGAATCTCTCTGCAAGCTGATTTAACTAGTCTCCATCTTTCAGTCTGGCCTCATTAAACCTGTACTCTGAAGCCTGCAGGCGGCTGCACCTAAAATGAAAATCTGATCGTCATCCCCAGCCCCACTCAGAACCCTTGGGCTGTTGTTCTTACTACCTGTGGCACTTCCTCCCTCAGGCCCCCTGAAGGGTTCTAAAATTTTATATACTCCAGTGTTAGCTGAGCAGTGATCTTGAAATGCATATTCCTGGGCCCGTTTTAATTCAGTAAATGATCCTAGATGATTCTTTGCAAATGTTTTTGGCTTATAATAAGAAACTGGGGGCTACAGCATCCTGTAATAAATGCTTAAATTCCTTAACATGACATATATGGCCTTTAATGCCCTGCTTTTGCCCACCATTTGTCTTCTCACTTCCCATTTGTTTGTGTTTCAGGGTTATCGAACTGTTATTTCTCCCCCAGTCATACCATTTTGTTTCATATCCTTGTACATGGAACCCTGTCTTCCTTGCTTCAGACCTTCAGTGTCTTAACTCAATTGCAAGTACATGAAACAGGGGTTCTTAACCCTGAGTTAATGGCTCTGAGAATCTGTGATGTTCCTGAAATTAATATGCAATATTTTGTGCATTTGAGTGTGTGAATATATATAAATGCATCAATGCAAATATCTAATTTTTCTACAAAGAGGTTCTTTCCATTTTCATCAGATTCTGAAAGTGGACCATAGTACCCCCCCGCTCCAAAAAAAAGAGTAAAAGTCCCTGATGGAAGGATATACATAACATTTTCTTGAATTCAGTTGAAAAAAATCCATTTGAATAATTAATTTTTACTCAAGCTGACACAGTTGATAACTAACGTGTGTGTGTGTGTGTGTGTGTGTGTGTGTGTGTGTGTGTGTGTGTGTCAGAGAGGATAAAACCAATATAGTTCATTTAGATGAGAGTAAGATCTGTTCCCTGGTAGCTTTAATGGCATTCCTTATTCTGGTTTCAGTGGGGAACTAATGTGTATTTTAGAATAGATCAGGCCAAAAATACTTGCACATGTCCAATATCCATTAGAGAACAAAAGTTTTATTTTGTTTTTTTAACATAAAGTCCCTGAATAATTGATTCTGCTCTTTTCCTTAGTGCGCGGTCTAACAACATTGATTCTTTTGATTGACTTAACTCTGTTCCAGATCAATAGAACAATACAATTGGCGTTCCCACAACTGCATTGACTGAATCCACTGGCTATTTTGGTGCTGGAGAGAAAGCCCCAGTGTCTGTAATCCAAGTCTTCCTGTTGGTGTCTAGTCTATGCTGGAGGTTCAGTTCAGGAACATTGAGCTTCATGTCAATAAAGTTTTTAGTTTTGTTGCCTTGGGACAATCTCCCAAACTTATCTAGTTGATCTTGGCTTTTTTAAAATGTGCTGGCTCTGGGTGCCATTCAGCCCTACCAATGTACAGCATTGGGAAAATAATGGTTTGGGGGAAAATTGATGTGATAATTTATCAGTAAATTAGGAAAATAGGTTCAGTAAGGCATTCCCATGCATCCCCTCTTCATTAATATTACATATTTAAATGTAATTTATCAGTCATTTCTGTGAAAATGGAAAGCTAATTGGTCTTATCTTAATGAATTTGAATACATGCTAACACTTAAGATGCCTGATAGGGTTCAAAAGATGTAGTGAGTTGTTAACAAAATGCCAAATGGAGTAGATAAGTCATGTTCCTATTCTTTTCAGATTCTCTGTTTCTTACTACAGTCAGTGTCAACCCAGATATGATGTCATCCTGGCACTTCATGTCAGTTTGTTTGGTAGGGAAAAAGCAAGGAATAAATAGATGAGCAGTAATTTTCTCTACCTGAACTCGGGCATCCAGAAGGTGTTGGAGGGAATGTCCCAGTGTCATTTATCTTGATAATATCACAAACTAATAAAACCCTATGTTGGCCTCTTCCTCTCCTGTTTTCTCTCTGTTGGTATTCTCTGGGTGATGTTGGCTTTGACATGTGTGGGCTTTACATCATACCCAAGAGGAGATGGAGGGAGTTTGGTACTGTCTTGGAAAAGTCTGCCAAAAACAGAATTTTAAAATTATATCTGGAGATTTGAAAAGGTGTATAAACATATTCTGTTATTAGGTTTTAACTTTAAGCTTTGTTAATCTATATTTTATGTTTAGTTATACTGGCTGCTGCTAAGTAGGTTTTGGCTTGAGTAATTCTGAGACAGTGACTTTTGCTGTGAAATCTGTTGTAGTGAGCCACAAAGCTCCAGTATGAGTGCAGAAGTCTTAACAAATGTGAAGACTCCCAATTTGAGAACATCTTTTGGTTAAAAATAAAATTCCCATTTGATTGTGAGCCTTTTAAAGTTAGGGACTTCTGTCATGTCCATGTATCTCTGCACTTGGTTTAAAGCTTGGTATATATTTGGTGCTTAGTAAATATTTAAATGCATAGAAGAATAACAGAAAGAATGAAAGAATTCCCTCAAACAGAGACAGTGGATATACTAGAATCACATTCACTAACTGATATAAATAGTTACCTTGTGCCAAGCACAGAGGTTGCCATATAACATGATATAGAACCTGAAACTTGACAGGTTTACATAATTTGATGCTACAGGGCAGAGGCAAGATTTAAACCCAATGCATTTCCCAACTTATTACAGAGTTACCATAGATGTATTAATAGAGATTCAAATTTGTAACTTTTGATAGGCGTAGGAAGAAATTATCACTAAAATAGAATAATCTTAACATATTTGAATAAAGCATGAAGCTGACAGCAACGTATGAGTTTACTGTAGCCCAGTAATCTAAATACCAATAGCTGACACTCCCTCCTCTATCTTACTTCCCTCCACACAGCATTTATGACATTTCTCTGTTAATACAGGCACACCTTGTTTTATTGTGCTTTACTCTATTGTACTTCCCAGATTCTGTGTTTTTTACAAATTCAAGGCTTGTGACAACTCAGTGTTGAGTAAATCTATCAGCGTCATTTTTCCAATAGCATGTGCTCACTTTGTGCCTGTGTCAATTTTGCTCATTCTTGCAATATTTCCAACTTTTAAATTATTCTTATTATCTGTTATGGTGATTTATGATCCATCTTCTTTGATGTCATTATTGTACTGTTATAGTATAATATGTCACACACATAGTATAATATGTCATACTATGTTATAGTATAGTATGTCATACCCATAAAACATGGTGAACTTAATTAATAAATGTGTTCTGACTTTTCCACCGACCTGCTGTTCACCTGACTCTCTTCCTGTTCTCAGGCCTCCCTAATCCATGAGACAAAATAATATTGATAATAGGCCAATTTACATCCCTACAATGTCATTTAAGTGTTCAAGTGAATGAAGAGTTGCATCACTTTAAATCGAAAGCTAGAAAATGATTACTCTTAGTGAGGAAAGCATGTGAAAAGCTGAGATAAGCAAAAAGCTAGACCTCTTGCACCAAACGCTTAACCAAGTTGTAAACAAACAGAAAAAGAAAGTTCTTGAAGGAAATTAAAAGTGCTACCTCAGTGAACACACAAATGATAAGAAAAAGAAACAACTTTATTGCTGATAGGGAGAACATGTTATTGGTCTGGAGAGAAGATCAAACCAGCTACAGCATTTTCTTAAGCCATAGCCTAATCTAGAGCAGGTCCCTAACTCTCTTCAATTCTATGAAGGCCGAGAGAGGTGAAGAAGCTGCAGGAAGAAAAGTTTGAAGCTAGAGGTTGCTTCATAAGATTTAAGAAAAGACATGCTGCTATAAAGACACATGTACACGTATGTTTATTGCGGCACTATTCACAATAGCAAAGACTTGGAACCAACCCAAATGTCCAACAATGGTAGACTGGATTAAGAAAATGTGGCACATATACACCATGGAATACTATGCAGCCATAAAAAATGATGAGTTCATGTCCTTTGTAGGGACATGGATGAAGCTGGAAACCATCATTCTCAGCAAACTATCGCAAGGACAAAAAACCAAACACCTCATGTTCTCACTCATAGGTGGGAATTGAACAATGAGAACACATGGACACAGGAAGGGGAACATCACACACAGGGGACTGTTGTGGGGAGGGGAGAAGGGGGAGGGATAGCATTAGGAGATATACCTAATGCTAAATGACGGGGTAATGTGTGCAGCACACCAACATGGTACATGTATATGTATGTAACAAAACTGCACGTTGTGCACATGTACCCTAAAACTTAAAGTATAATGATAATAAAATTAAAAAAGAAAAAAAAAAGAAGCTGTTTCCATGACATAAAATTGCAAGGTGAAGCAGCAAGTAGAAGCTGCAGCAAACTATGCAGAAAATCTAGCTGAGATCATTGATGAAGGTGGCCACACTAAACAACAAGATTTTTCATGTAGACAAAACAGGCTCATATTGAAAGAAGATGCCATGTAGGAGTTTCATAGTTATAGAGGGTAAATTAATGCCTGGCTTCAAAGCTGCGAAGGACAGGGTAACTCTCTTCTTAGGGGCTAATGCAGTGGGTGGCTTTAGGTGAAGCCAGTGCTCATTTACCATTCTGAAAATCCTAGGCTCCTTATGAATTACGCTAAATCTACTCTGCTCATGCTCTGTAAATGGAAAAACAAAGCCTGGATGACAGCATATGTGTTTACAACATGGCTTACTGAATATTTTAAGCACACTCTTGAGGTCTACTGCTTAGAAAAAAAGATTCTCTTCTAAATATGACTGCTCATTGACAATGCACCTGGTCATCCAAGAGCTCTGATGGAGATGTACAAGGAGATTAATGTTGTTGTTATGCCCTCTAACACAACATCTATTCTGCAGCCCATGAATCAAAGAGTAATTTTGACTTTCAAGTCTTGTTATTGAAGAAAGACATTTTATTAAGGTGTAGCTGCCATAGATAGTGATTCCTCTGATATGTATGGGCAAAGAAGGATAAAAACCTTCTGGAAGGGATTCATCATCTTAGGTGTCATTAAAAATACTCATGATTCATGGGAAGAGGTCATAATGTTAACATAGACAGGAGCTTGGAAGAAGTTTATTCTAATCCTTATAGATGACTTTGAAAAGTTCAGTGGAGGAAGTAACTGCAGATATGGTCAAAATTGCAAGAGAACTAGAATTAGAAGTGAAAACCGAAGATGTGACTGAATTGCTGCAATCTCATGTTGAAACTTCAACGGAGGAGGAGTTGCTTCTTACGGATGAGTAAAGAAAGTGGTTTCTTGAGATGGAATCTTTATGGGAATATGCTGTGAACATTTTTGAAATAACAACAAAGAATTTAGAATATTACATAAACTTAGTTGATAATGCAGCAACAGAGTTTGAGAGGATGGACTCTAATTTTGAAAGAAGTTCTGGGGGTAAAATACTACCAAACAGCATTGCATGCTACACAGAAACCTTTCATGACAGGAAGAGTCAATTGATGAGGGAAATTTCATTGTCGTCTTATTTTAAGACATTTCCACAGCCGCTCCAATCTTCAGCAACCACCACATTGATTAGTCAGCAGCCATTGACATGGAGGCAAGACCCTCCAGCAGCAATGAGATTATGACTTGCTAAATGATCAGATGATAGCATTTTTTTAGCAATAAAGAATTTTTAATTTAGTTATATACATTGTTATTTTATACATACTGCAATTGTACACTTAATACACTACAGTATAGTGCAAACCTATTTTTTATAGGCACTGGGAAATCAAAACATTTTTGTGACTTGTTTTACTGTAGTATTCACTTTTATGTGGTGATCTGGAATCAAACCAGCAATATCTCAGAGTTATGCCTGTGCACCACATATGTTAACTGAATATTCCACTAATTTCCAGTAACTTGACTTACTTTACTCCTTATGAGAAAGAGAGAGCACAATTTCTAGTAAACTAATAGCTATCAGAATAGGCCCTACTAGCAATAGGATGAAAAACTAATAGGTAAATAGTGGGAGGGAGATATAAATGATCTTTGAAAGCAAAAGTGAATTATAGTATTCATTAACTCCTGATTACTAAGAAATTAGAAGCTGGATATTTCATTTCTATTTGTGTACATCCTACACACAATGAATTTAAAATTCACTATTGTTGTTCTTTAATTTCAGAAAACCGTTGTTCTTCTATCATTTATATTCACAGAATTGATTTTCTTTGTTATTTTCTCCTCATACTTAAAGGATTTTTACATTCAACCTTAAAAGCTTTTCATTTGGGATTTGTCTCATAGAGAAATTTGAGCAGGAAGAATACCCGTAGTTAACCACTTAACGTAAGAATTGTTTCATGAGAAGAAATAATGATTATGGAAATTATGTTGATGCTAACATTTTATCTATACAAGTCATCTTTCCTGTAGCTAGAGTTTCATGGTTCAGCATTTTTAGATGTAAATATTTTTTTCCTGACCAGGGCATAAATAAGTTTAGAGTAGCACAAAGGTATATTTGGCTTTAAAATAAGTGACATCTCGTTCCAGGGCTGCCTGGAAGATGCAGCAAAAGAGGGAGTCAGAGTGTGAGAAAGTGGTGGTGTTTATTATTTATCAGACTTCTCTCGTATCCCCATTGGGGTATACAAGCCTGACTGTCTCTGCACTTGCCACATTAATCACTCTCTTTTTAAATTCAGGAGCATCATGGTTGGTGTACAGGGTCAAAGACAAGGTAAAACAATGAGACAGTCAATTATGGTAAATAAGCCTTTGATAGTAAGTTAGAGGTAGTTCCAGGATGATTTTGGCATCAGCCACTAAAAACAGCCTGCTTTCAATTTAAATCATTGTAAATAACTGTATTTATAACCTCTATTAGTGAAAATCTATGCCCATTAAGGTGATAAAGTACCACTCTTGGTTCACTCCAAATTATTTGAAATGTAAACATGCAGAATCCCTGGAGATATCAGATACTGTGTTTCTACAGGAGTAATTTTTCTTTCAAGAATGCAGATACTTGCCTGAGGGTGATACCTCATTTCTGTGCTTGTCCCGTCAATGACACTCAGGTTTGTCTGTTGTATACAGAATGGGGTCCTTTCAGGAAAGATACATAGTGAGTCTGTATGCATATTCCTCTTCGTAAAGTTTTGTTTATTCTTAGTGTAGAAGAAAGAATAGGAACTCAAATTTGTACAAATAAATCTAAAATCAGAAAGGCAGAGCAGGCAGTAGTTTCTAATATTTTCAGAGATAAGGACTTTTAACATCAACGTATGTCACCATCCCTCTCCTCATGACAGAAAGCTGCCAGACATTTATTAACATGTTCAATGCATGTCTGTATCATTTTCAAGATTTACATGCATATGGACAGTTGTGGCACACGTGTGTGAAACAGATTCAGTCTGTGAGTAGTGTGACTGTTGCACTTGAAATCCCTCGGTGTTCTCATTATTCAGCTCCCACTTATAAGTGAGAACATATGGTGTTTGGTTTTCTGTTCCTGTGTTAGTTTGGTGGGGATAATAACTTCTATCTCCATCCATGTCCTGCACAGCACATGATCTCATTCCTTTTTATGGCTGCATAGTATTCCATGGTGTATATGTACCACATTTTGTTTATTCAGTCTATCACTGATGGGCATTTGGGTTAATTCCATGTCCTTGCTATTGTGACTAGTGCTGCAATGAACACGTGCATACATGAATCACAGGGAAGGGGACAACACACACTGGGGCCTGTTTGGGGTTGGGGGGCAGTTCTTGAGCATCAGGAAGAATAGCTAATGCATGCAGGGCTTAGTACCTAGGTGATGGGTTGACAGGTGATGCAAACCATCATGGCACATGTTTATCTATGTGACAAACCTTCACATCCTACGCAATCATCCCAGAATTAATTTTTTTTTTAAAAAGCGCTTTTATAAAAAAACCCAAATCCCTCTGGCTTCCTGTTATTCCCAGGATCTTCTTTTTCTCCCAGCTGCTTCTCTGTCCTCTCGCAGCATTCTCCCGTTGTTACCACCCCCAGCGCCATGGCTGCATTCCTTCTGGAACATGCCCAGCTCACTTCTGCTTGGGGCCTCTGCACCTGCTCTTTCTCTCCTTGGAATTTTTTCCCCCAAGATGTTCACAAGATTGGCTCCTTCTTGTTATTCTGATTTCAGTCCAAATATTTCCTCTGCAAAGAACCCTTCTATGGTCACTCATTCCAAAGCAGCACTCTTCTCCACCTATCCCCCCAATCACTCTGTAATGTTAAGTGCCTTATTTTTTCCACAGCACTTATTACAATCTGGCATTGCATTGTTTACTAGTTATGTTCCTCTGCTAAACTATTCTCATGAGAGTAGAGACCTTGCCTTTCTTGTTGCCTGTAGTATCCACAGGTGCTCCTGAAAGGAGTTCACTAAGTGTTTGTTGACTGAATAAAAAAGAATACAAATCAGTTTGCAGAACTCTTAATGATATCCCAATTTTTCAGCTGACAGACTGGGAAACACCGGCTTAACTTATTCTCTCCCCATGTAGTCCCAATCAACCCCAATGGGTTGTATAAATAAGCATTTAATGAGTGTTATCCTGTCATCTCAGAATTTCTAACGGTGCCACAAAGTTGAGAACAAAATATTCTATAGGGAGGTTTTAGACAGATCCTCAAAACACTTATTAAAAGGTGGCCAAACTATCAACCCTGCTTTCCCAGCTTCCGCCCACATAAGTAAAGGTACTTACTGGAGCAGAAAGAGCAGTGGATGAAGGAGGGGAGAGAGATACTTTTCCCTCAAGGCAAGTGAGGGCTGCACCAAGACACCTGGGAAAGCTGTGTGCCAGCAGGCAGTCCTGTGTCTTACTTCCTGCCTGGAGGCTTGCTGAGCTACCCATTGTATATTTCTGATGCTCCCATTTGTACTACTACCAAAGCAGAGGACTAGAGAACTCTTTATAGATCCAGATGTGAGCTCCCTCAGGTGTGGTAGGCACAGCAACTAGTGACTGCCTTTGTCTGGGAGAGGTGTGAAGGCTAGAGGTGGCTGGAGCTGCCATCACTGCTGGGCAGAATAAGACAGTGGAAATTCCTCTGGATCAGGGGAGCCAAAATAAGCCATCTCTAAATAATCCCACCCAAGAGCATTCCACGGGAATTGAGGGTCTCCAGCAGAAAGATGCTGTGTGTGGTTAATTGCTGGAGGGAAATTGGAGAGTGTTCTAGCCATATCACACAGATATTCAAAGTAGGAATCCATGAAAAGCCACCCAGGCCCAGGACTGCAAGGAGACCCGCCTTTGATGCTTGCCATAGCAGGGGGAATTCAACAGCTAGGGGGAATTACATAACACCAGCTAAGTAAAAAGACTTTGCCCCTCCACTACTTACCCCCACTGGCAAAGCAAATGAGGGAGGGAAGAGGGAAGAAACAGATCTCACACCCCACCATTGGTCTAGTGCCGTGTTTCATAAACTTTTTTCATTCCGCTCTCCCAAGGTGCTATTTTTTGACTTTTCTCCTAACTGCCTTCCCCTTCCTCTGTGGATTGTATGCCACAGGCATACTGTATGCTGGGTACTGTGGTTTTTTGGGGTCCACAGATCATTGGAACATATTTTTTTTGCCCCCCAGGAGCCAATTACCATCCCCATGGGGGCAATATCATCCTTATTAAGAATGGATAGTCTAGAGCAGTAATTCTTCACTGGGGACAATTTTGCCTTCCAGGGGACATTTGGCAATATCTGGAGACATTTTTGTTCTCACAATTAGGGGGTCATACTGGAATCAGTTGGGTACAGGCCAGGTTTATGTTGAACATACTACAACGCACAGGGCAGCTTCCTCCAACAAAGATTTATCTGATACTAAATATCAATGGTGCTGAGGTTCAGAAATTCTCAAGTAGAGTCTAGAACATCTAGACTGAATATCCAGAGTAAGGCTTATCCTGAAAAGAGGAGAGAAGCTTTGAATTAGCACAGAGACTAATGCTTTGGGATTGATTGGAGTTTTTAAAGCCTTGAAAGTGATCTGAAAGCTGTGGAGTCTGAACCCCATGCTGCCAAGGAACAGAAGAGGGAGACTGGATGCATGAGCCAAAGGTCAGCCTGGCAGAATAAAGACATTTCTTGATTTCACCCTCCTGAGTTCACTTTCAAATTAATTGACCACTAATGGGTGCAGCAAACCAACACGGCACATGTATACATATGTAACAAACTTGCACGTTGTGCACATGTACCCTAGAACTTAGAGTATAATAAAAAAAGTAAAATAAAAAATTAATTGGCTACAGGTATAACAAAATAGGCTTGTAAGTTAGTGGTTTGGGACTTATAATTAATACAGCACATGTGAATTAGGTCTCAGACCAGCTCACCAAAGCCCACCATGCAGCACACCTAAATGGTTGTATTGATAGAATGTGTGACACGGCCATCCAGATGCTGTGGCCCTTGGAATAGGAACATGTCTTTCCACTATTCTAGCTCCAATTATGGACAAATTTCTTGTGACCTATGGTAGGCAGGTAGAAGGAAAAGAGGAGAGTGTCAGAGGTATAGATAGAGGGAAGGTGTCAGAGGTATAGAATGGAGAGAATGGGACCTTCCATCGAGGAGGGAGTTGTTGTCTTTCCAGAATGACTCCTTCCTTACAAACGCTTTGAGGTTTTCTAAGACATTTACTTGCAGCATAACACATTGCATATTCAAGGAGAAGAAAAAAGAAAAAAAAATTCCTTAAGATAGAGTCCTGCAAGGGATTGATGTGGTACCAGAATCCTGACTTTGGGAGACACGGAGGATGCATCAGTTTTCTACCCCAAAACCTAGTGGCTTGCAAATAATTTAATTGCTTGCAATTCTGAAATGTTTACTAGGATCAGCCTCTGATGTCTCACCAGTGTCATTGATGAGGTTGCTGTCAGTCGCTATGTTGACTGGGAGTTCGCTGGTTCCAGATAGTCTCGGTAACATGGCTGGGGCCTCAGGACAGGGGGCCAGGCTTTTTCACAAGGTCTCTCTCATGGCCCATCTCCAGCAGGCTAGTCTGGGCTTTTTTATGTGGCAGTCTCAGGGCAGCAAAAGGGCAAGAGAGGAAGCTACAAGGCTTTTTGAAGTTGAGGCTCTGAAGTTACACAATATCACTTCTGCTGCCATTATTAGTTATAGCAAGTCACAGGACAGAGTTAGCCCACATCAAGAGGAGGGAAAATAGTTCCATCTGGAGAAGAGTAGCAAAGTCAACTTCCAGAGACATAGGCTTCTAGGAACTGGAGAAATTGATGTAGCCATCTTTGCAAACAATCTGTCAGAAAGGATTTCCCATAATCTATCAATATATCTACAGGTAACAGTACTTAGAATTTATTTATGGTTTTAAGAACAGGTCCTGCTGAGAATGACTGAACAGGCTATAAGAAAAACAACAAAATTTACTGCACGTTTATAGTGTATATATGTTATGGTATAATGCAATATATAAGATACACAGTTTCTGTTATCTGTCTCCCATTCCTCTCCTTTAAGAAATGGGACCACTGGTTTTAGGGAATATGTATAGTCCAATCTGGATTCAATTCTTTTCTCATGTCCCACATTTTTCCTGTCCTGTACAGTTAAGCTGTTGGCAGAGCCATTTCAGAACCCTATTTCTATAATATGGTATTTACTTAAGCATTTATTTAAATTCCATCTTTGAGTACCCAAAGTAATACTATAATGCAGTGGCACTGTAGTGTTAAAATCTAACCTGAGAGTTTTGTGTGGATGTTCTCTGTTGGGATCAGATTATTGTGCTCTGGCACAGCTTTCTTTTTTCATATTATAAAAAACAGGAGTGATTTTAAAAGATCCTGTGATGTGAAGAATCTCTTCCTGTTTGGAATCTGAACTGCAAATAAATCCTGCTTCTGCCCAGAGCTGTGACAATTCCAGTGTGTATCTGATATAATGCTTTGGGCTGCAAGTAACAGAGTACCTGATTCAGATGGGCTTAGACAATAAGGACATTTGTCATCTCCTGTAGCCTCAGGTTTGATTCATTTAAGAGCTCAATGGTGGGCTAAGTTTCTGTCTCTCAGAGTGTTAGCTCTAATCTCTTGTTTTTATCTAGCAGGAGAGAGAGAGAGAGAGAGAGAGAGAGAGAGAGAGAGAGAGAGAGAGAGAAAACTTCTCCCCTGGCCATGGTCTTCTTTCATTCAGTCATCTTAGGTCATACATCCACTCCTAAAGTATTAACATGTCCCTGGGAATGCCCCAAGCTGATTGAATACTGCTGGAGCTGGGAATGTCAAGTTGCCCAGCATCATGAATAGGCAGGGGATCTCTGAATAAAATGTGTGTTCTGGTAGGAAAGCAGAATGAGGAAAGGAAGCTGAGGAGGTAACAAAAAGTGTCTTACATAGTAGGTAATTCTAGTCAACATCCTCTGGAGAAAAGTAGCTCTGAATGATGTGGCAACTGTAGAAACTAAAATCAGAATGGGGATGATAATAATTATTAAAGGTAAAATCCCCACATTTTAAAAGATACTTCAAAAGATGAAAAAAAGCCTGATATTCCTGGATTCCACTTTTTTATTATGTAAAAATTTCCAACACGTCTCCTCTGTCTTCTTTTTCTGTCTCTCTTTCTTTATGCTCAATATTACATATACAGGCACAAATGCACACAGATGATGTGGTGGGTTATTAGATCCCTTTGAAGTGGTATGTGACTCCTCAACATTTCAGAGGAAAGCCCTGACTTATTCTGAAGTGTTTTCCTTCTGAAAAAAGGCTATTGTTGGCACCTAATGAAGCCCACCAATGAGGGTGGTTGGGGATGGAGAGATGCAGTCAAGGGAGAATCTGAAGGTGGATCAACCTTTCTTGACCTCACCTCTTCCTCTCCCTTAACTTTGATAGGTACTTGAAGTTAAGCTCCCAGAGAGCAGTGTCTGTTTGGTTTACTGTTTTATCATTAACAGCTAGAATAGCACCTGACACAAAGTAGACACTCAATAAACCATTGCTGAATGAATTGTTGCAAACCCTCCCAGGAATAGCAGTGAAGCGAGGCCAGAAATAGGAATGGAAATCTTTCAACAAGTACGAGCAGCAAGGGGACAGAATGGGAAGGAAACACTTCCTGCTCAGTTGTTTGTTTGCAAAGTCAGGACTGCTTGGACTGCTTCCCCTCAGATTGCTAAGTTCTTTTTTATATTATTAAGAAATAAAACTAAGCAATTACTCCTTCAGAGAGTAAAACATCCCTAGTTAATGTCTAATGATGGTGTTTTAAGGCAAAATTTAATTAGGGTTCATGGATTTTGTCATGTTTCATGTAGCCTTTAGCCTTTCCTCCGGAAAACATATTAGACATGGAGTGAGTATAAAGCACCCCTGTGTGCTTTGTTAGTTGATGTTGATGTGAATGGCTGCCCTTTGATGCTAGTACTGTGGAATTTAGATATAAACATTTTGTTAACAGCTAAATTCCCAGCATCTTCACAACCCTTTGATGCTTCAACATTAAGTGATTGAGCTCCCTTGGTACAGGGCAGAGATGGCAGATAGGATGGCTACTTCACTTTGTCAGAATGACTCCATTGGATGCCAGGGCCATTTCTTTTTTTGGAGGGGGGCCAAGGGGAAGTCCACTGATTATTGTTGCTTGTATTAAGCCAACACCCCCAATTCCGGGGCTACCTTAAAGGAGGTGTAGTTTCTTGGGATTGTTAATGGTGACAACCCAGAGCCTCTGTATATGCGTCTGTCGGAGCAGGAAAGGCATTCCCTATGAGAATAGGGGATACTTGCTCTCCTTAAGCAAGGGCAATTAGTGACAGGTCTGTGCTGGGCTTATATACTTTTTTGAGTAATTTTTATAAAAATGCTACGAAGTAGGTGTTTATTTTACTTCCATCCTTGCCCTCCTGTAGTCTGTTATTAACAGCAGCCAGAGTGTTCATGTTCAAACGTAAGTCAGATTATGTCACTCCTCTGCCCAGAACCTTCCAGTAGATTCTTATCTATCTCAGAATAAAAGCCAAAGTCCTTGCCTTAGCCAACAAGTCATATGATTTTCCTCTTCCCTTTTCCTCTCTGATTTCATCCTCCTTCCCTCCATTCATTGCTTGGTAAATCACACTGGCCCTGTGCTGTTTTCTCACCACTCCTGCCTCAGGGTTTTTGTACTTTCTGTCCCATCTGTTTGAAATGATCTCTTCCAAGATAGCGACATAGGGAGCAGCCCACTTTCTTCAGGTATTTACTTGAAAGTCACCTTCTTGCTAAGGACTTTCTTAGCAATCCTAACTAAAATTTCACCACCTGCTCCAACACTCAACATTTCATATCCTCCTTTCCAGTTTTGATTTGTTTTTTGTATCAAATTTGCCCATTTGCTTTGTTAATCATCTTATCCATTAGAGTATAAGCTCCACAAAGGAAGGGATTTTTCTCTGTTTTGTCCCATCCCTACCCAGCAACTAGAAGAGTTTCTGGACCAGATGAGGCTTACAATAAATCTTTATTGAATGCTGAATGATTTCATTCTTTCAGTCATCAAATATTTATTCTGCATTTACCAAGACATGGGTATTATTTTGGACACATGTAACACAAAAATGAACCAGAAAGACAAGGACTGTAACCTGGTAGAACTTAAAATCAAGAGAGCAAATAATTAAGCAAGTGCCCATTTAATACATGTAAACTGTAAACTTCATAGAAATTAACTAAACTCCTTAACATTCACTGTTCTGAAGTGTCACTGCTGGAATAAACACCCAGAAATTTTAAATTACAATGTTAACCCTCTTTTCTTTTTGCATTGCTAGAATTGACTTAAATATGCTTTTATTTAAATTACTAATTCACCTCTTTGTTCTTACTCACGATGCCCTTCATTGGGTCAGAATTTTGTTGCTGTTTGGATCTATTGAGATTGTTCTCTAAGGTATTAAGGATTATCATTAGATGAAGCTCATCAATCATTATTATTGTAGATAAGCTTCATTCGATATGCCTTTCAAGAACATCAAAATAAGAATAACAACTATTTCATCTCACTTGTTCTAAATGAAAAAAAATCCTTTAGCTTATTATTTGCATAGGACAATGTGAAAATAAAATCTGCTAAGTGGCGTATTTCATGGTTCATACTAGAAGTTCTTTTTGAAAAGGTAAGATTGCCTATTAAATTTTAAAAATTTTAATAAATAGCTTTAAAAAAGTAATTATGTATTTTTAAGTTGATTATTAAAATCAAAATGGATACTTAGCCGAGCGCAGTGGCTCATGCCTGTAATCCCAACGTTTTGGGAGGCTGAGGCAAGTGGATCACTTGGGCCCAGGGGTACAAGACAAGCCTGGGCAACATAGTGAGACCTGCCTCTTAAAAATAAATACATAAATAAATAAAATAAAAATATAAAAATAAAAAAAGAATGGATACCTAAAATAGGGATCTATTCAATTTTTAATATTAACTCTCATTTTTTTTTAGATTGGAGATTTTCACAGAGAAAGTAAGCTTTTTAAAAACGTATTTTTATGTATGTTTTAAGAAAAAAAAAATTACACCTCCCAAACAACAGCATCTAAATTTTAGATAGACATTGGTTGGTGTTTCAGGAGATAATTATATATGTTATTGTATATATGTTGTTCAGCAAGTATGGCAGAAATCTCTGCATTTGGAAATACATTATATCACAAAGGAAGATTTGTCATCTCCATGGCTATTTGATGGTGTAGACTTGAGGTCATGGCTTGCTCACTGTAATGAGAAATAACAACAGATGCTATTGATAAAAGTTCTGCCAGGTTCATGCTATGCCTTATTGAATGCAAAAAGGCCTGGCTCTTATCCAATCATTATCCTTTTCATACTTTGTGGTTTTTGATGAACATGCCTATGAATAGAAAATGATTATCTACCTCTTCATTTCTTTACTTATTTAATCGTTTCTATTTCAGTCTTGGTGAGGAAGGATCTTTTAGTGTATAAATGCCGTGAGCATTAGTAGGAGATAAACTTTTTTTTTTCTTTTTTTTTTTTTTTTGGTAAATGTTGGTCTCTGAAGAAGAAAGATCTGTTGTTCTTTTCTCAGTTTGAAACTAGGAAGGGATCAAAAGGCTAGATTCAGGATGTTAAAAGAAAAACTTCAGTCAAATTAAATTTAAGCACATTTAATTGAGCAATGAATGATTCAAGAATTGGGCAGCCCCCAGAATCATAGCAGATTCAGAGAGACTCCAGGGATACCTCGTAGTTAGAACAAATTTATAGATAAAGAAAGAAAACGGTGTACAGAAATCGGCAGTGAGGTAGAGAAATAGCTGGATTGGTTACAGGTTGGCGTTTGCCTTAATTTGAACACAGTTTGAATACTTTGCAGTCTGTAAATGATTGAAGGTATGGCCGCTGGGATTGGCCAAGACTCAGCTATTGTTACAGGCACAAACTCCGAAGTTAGGTTTTCAATCTTGTCTGATTATTAAGCTAGGTTACAGTTTGTCCACAAGGACTCAAATATAGAAATACGAAGTCTTTCTCAGGCCATATTTAGTTTACTTTAAAAACAAGGATAAAGCCAGGACCATGGAGGAGGGACAAGGCAGTGGGAAAAGAGGAAACCAATGGAACGAGACTTCCAATCAGCCCTCCTAGATTCTGTCCATACATGCAGAGCACTATGTCAAAGACATTACATGGTTACACTTGTTACTGCCCTGTTCTTAGGCTCCCAGTAAAGACTTGGTTATCACATAACATGAAACTTAAGGGCCAGGCACGGTGGCTCATACCTGCAATCCCAGTACTTTAGGAGGCTGAAGCAGGAGGATTGCTTGAGCCCAGGAGTGCAAGATCAGCCTGGGCAACACAGTGGGACATGGCCTCTACAGAATTTTTTTTTTTTTTTTTTTTAAATATCCAGACACAGTGGCATGTGCCTGTAGTTCCAGCTACTTGGGAGGCTGATGCTGGAGGATCACTTGACCCCCTGAGGTCAAGGCTGCAGTGAGTTGTGATTGTTCCACTATGCTCCAGCCTGGGTGACACAGTGAGACTTTATCTCAAAAAAAAAAAGAGAAAGTTATGTATACTTCTTAAAAACCTGAAAGACAAATGCAAATGCATTGGCCTAATCAGGGTAATAGCAAGTTTAAAGTGATGACACAAATAAATGATAATTTTATATGATTTTTTCCCAAATCATAGTAGTTCCATGGAAAGTAGCAGGAAAATTGTAAATGCTTAGGGATGGGTGAACTATTCATCCCATGTTTCTTCATTGTCATTAGCACTAGCATAAAAAATTATAAATGCCCAGATAAGTTCTATGGAGTGCGAGGTGAATGCAGAGTGAGATATACAGCCCTGGCCTTCATGGTGCTATACAGATATGGGACTGCTGAGATCATCCCTTCTCTAGGCGAGAAAAAGCATAGTAGCATATTTTAATTTTTTAAAATTAGTCAGTTTGTAGGTATGTTGTTCTTGGAATGAAGGTCTCCAAAGTCCTCTGAATTAAAGAGCATAATTTCTCATTAATGCAATCTTACACATTCAAAGAAAATGCAACACCAAATTTAAAACAATATTTTTTTAAAAGACAAGACATTCTGGCCGGGCACGTTGTCTCATGCCTGTAAACCCAGCACTTTGGGAGGCTGAGGCGGGCTGATTGCTTGAGCTCAGGAGTTCAAGACCATCCTGGGCAATATGGCAAGGCCCCCGTCTCTATTAAAAGTACAAAAAAATAGCCCGGAGTGGTGGTGCACACCTTACCTACTCCAGAGGCTAAGATGGGAGGATTACTTAATCCTGGGGAGCCGAGGTTGCAGTGAGACGAGATTATGCCACCGCACTCCAGCCTGGGTGACTGAGGGAGACCCTGTCTCAAAAAAAAAAAAAAAAAAAAAGATGACATTCTAAATTGAATTCTAAATCATTTTAAATAATCAACTCTGAATACAGAGAATGGAAAATCTGAATTATTACAAATGTTTAAAAATAAGAATAAATGCTCTCTGAGAGGAGGATCTATTTTGTCACACCTACTTTAGTTCCCCTGAAATTGGTCTTTTCTGCCTAATTTTGGTTTTGTTAGGTATTCTTTCTGGTTGAATAAGACAATGGCATAGCTGAATTCTGCATAGGTAAATTGTTTCTGTACTTCTTCATGTTAATTAAATTCATCTATATATTTTTTCATTACTTTGTTGGAAATAAATTTAACACATTATGTAACAATAAGATATCTAAATGGCATACACAGGATTCTCAACAAAATTTGAGATTATAATTACTTGGAGAATCTCAGGAGATCAGTCCTGCTAAAAGTTATTCCAAGCACATGTTTTCTAGAGTAGCCTATGTCCAACATTTTCATCACTGTGCACTCATCTATGTATTTTTAATAACATAAATCTGAAGTCTTTAGTCATCCTGGCCCTGAAACAATTATTGATGTCCATGAAACTATCAATTACTACCTCAATAGCAGAATCACAACGTGTTGCTTACGTTTAACTCTCTCTTATTGGCCTTGAAGGTAGATGTTAATAATTGTGTGTGTGTGTGTGTGTGTGTGTGTGTATATATATATATATATATATATATATTATTTTTTTCCCCATAACCGAACAGGGAGGGAACAGAGATCATTTTATACACTGGAAGCTTTGTTTGGCAGTCTTAATTGAGACACCGCTGGCAAGAATGCTTTCAACTTCTTCCCCATAATACCCAGATAGAGCCAAACTTAGAAACCCTCCAACTCTCCGATGAGTAAGGTCGTTAAACAGATGAAAAATAAGAAAGCATCTGGAATGATATCATCCCTGCCAAATGTTCACACTAGAGAAAGAGTAATTCATGTAACATCTCTGTATTTTCCTCTTGAGATGCAAGAATGAAAGAGAAAACTCTATATGGCTCTAGGGATGTAGAGATCATAAGAATTTTACATAATGATATACACTCAATGGCAAGACAGATGAGCATTCCTGAATCAGCTAGAGACCATATGTTTTTAATAAAGAGCATTTTCATAAATGAGTATCCATGAGAAAACTTTAATTTCTATTTTGGAAAGACAATAAATTCATGTCTTAGAGGTGGGTGTTTTGAAGTGGAGATTTCACCCTCCCTCTCTAAGGAACTTCTATTTCATCTAGTCTTCTAAGGGTTTTCCTAGAAAACACTGCATAAATGTCTTTCACCCCACTGCTGGATGTTTTCATTGAGAAACCAAGCTTATCCATCAATGGTTTAGTGATTTGAAATGAACCCGCAGGCACTTGCTTTAGAACACAACCTTATTTAATTTCTGAGTGACACACAGCTTTCCCCAAAGTGTAGAGACTTCTTTCTATACTTTCTACCATTAGAATATTTGAGGCTGGATGCAGTGGCTCACGCCTGTAATCCCAATACTTTGGGAGGCCGAAGCAGGAGGATTGCTTGCGCCCAGGTGTTTGATACTAGCCTGGGCAACATAGCGAGACGACGTCTTTATTTATTTATTTATTTTTAAAGAATATTTGAAAAGAACTTTACTTACTGGAGGTGCACTAGATTTGGAACCAGAAAAACCTAAGCAGAAATGCTGTTTTTACTACTTCTGGTTAATTATTGAGCCTCTTGTTTTATGATCTCCAAAACAGATGTGATAAGAATACTTACTAAAAAGGGCTTTGTTACTGTAACACGTTATCACCGTGTTGTTGAGTCCCACCCCTTCCTCCTAAGATCTACTTTTTAAAGGTTCTTTTCCCTTTCATTGTTAGTACTCTGGAATTGTAAAGCATGTTTTCTTTTGGAAATGTATTTCATAGTTAAGGTTATCTTAATAAGTGTTGTTGGGTAGGTAAGTGTATTAGTCAAATATAGCCATAATAATGCTGTGTAACAAACAACCATAAAAATCTCAGTGGCACAAACGAAATCCTATCGTTCTCGCCCATGAGATCAGCTGGCTAAAGCTGACTTATGGTAGGCTCAGTTGGACTTGGATTAAGGTTAAGGATTGAGTCCTGGCTTGTGTGTATTCCTTCTCATTTTTGGGCCAGCAGATTCCAGAGGCATGTTCTTCTCATGGACAAAGGCAGAGTACAAGAGTGCAAGATCACTTGCATCACCATACATTTGCTAACATCCTGTTGGCCACAGTAAGTCACATGGCCAACCGCAAACCAAGGGACAGTGATGTATACCTTACCTGCTATGTCGTAGGTGTGATGTGTACTATTTGTTTCAGGGGATGAAGGAATTGAGAGCAGTAATTCGATTTTTTGATTAAGGTCTTTAGGTAACTTGCTTCCTCTTAAAAAGAAAGATAATGCAGTTAGGAATAGCCTTTTTTTTTTTTTTAAAGTTACAATAGATCTAGGTATAAATTTGTATTACAAGTTTAACATTTATTTTTTCCTGTAAGCTGTAGGCAACACTTCTCTAAAATTAGGCTGGAGTTTACAAATGAAACTTGAAATCTTGACAATACATGGATCTATTGATCATTATTTTGATGCTATTTCCCTTGGTGTTTTATCTTTAAACTCGTAGATCAAGAAGAGTAGAGAATATGAATATCTGGATAATGGTAAATATTCAGCATTGGCAATTTCTATTAGCTTTTGAAAGTCTCATCCCGATTTGCTTAACCTAATCAGTGGTAAACCAGTCTAGATCTCTGAAACATATCCTTCAGTGATTTCTCACATTCCTGAAGGCACAGAATCACAGAATGTCAGAGTGGAAGGAAATTTACAGTGCCCAGGCCAGTACCTTAGATTTTGTGAATGACATGGTGGGTCCAGATGTTTGAAGGGCCTTGGAAGGTGATGCAGGTGATGTGGCTCAGTGAGTTCTTAGAGTGAATGTCTGCAGCATACACAGTGCTGCAATAGCAACAGGAGTGAGGTGGATAGAGTTCATGGTCTTAAAAATTCTGTTAATATTAAAGATTTTGTTTTCAAGTTTCAGGTTTGGCCTTGAAGACTTTTAATTCCAGAAAAGTAGAAACAGCTGCTGGAATCCTAATTTGTACAGCAGTCACATCTTTGAGTGATATTCCTTGCCAGGAAGAAGTGGGACAAAGTATATACAAAGAATGAGAGGCTGCTTGAGAGAAGAAAAATCAAGTACTTGCTAGTGTTCCCTTCTTTTTTTTTTTTTTTTTTTTTTTTTTTTTTTTTTTTGAGACGGAGTCTCCCCCTGTCCCCCAGGCTGGAGTGCAGTGGGATCGCGGCTCACTGCAAGCTCCGCCTCCCGGGTTCACGCCATTTTCCTGCCTCAGCCTCCAGAGTAGCCGGGACTACAGGCGCCCACCACTGCACCCGGCTAATTTTTTTGTATTTTTGGTAGAGACGGGGTTTCACCGTGTTAGCCAGTATGGTCTCGATCTGCTGACCTCGTGATCCGCCCTCCTTGGCCTCCCACAGTGCTGGGATTACAGGCGGGAGCCACCGCATCCAGCCTAGCTTTCCTTTCTCTTATCCAGGCCAATGATTATTGATTGAATTGATTATGGGAAGACATGTCTCAGGAACATAGAAATGAATAAGTGAAACACTAGTTTTGAGTCAGAAGTCTTGAATTTGAGGCCTACCCCTAAATTTTATTGCATATGTAATCTTAGGCAGTTTCTTAAATACCCTTACACTTTGAGCTGCACTTTCTCTAGATTTATTTATTTTTATTTCTAATATTTGTTGTCTGTGCCTCTCTGTGTTTTCTTTCTGTACCCTTGATCATTTTTGTCTAGAGGTTACAACTTTTGTCCTTATTGATCCTCTTACATTTTATTTTCAGATTTTCAAAATATTTATTGTTTCTATACTTATATTTATCTCTTTCCTTGTACTTTCTTGGTTTTATTTTTCTAATCCTTAAAGTTAGAAACTTTAGTTATTAATTTTTTCAACTTAGTTGTCTCTAAGTTAGTTATCTAGATTATTAATTTTTGACCTTCTGTCTATTCTAAATATGTACTTTAGGCTTTAAATTTACATCTAGGTATTACTTTGATTAATTCCACAAATTCTATGTTGTCTTTCTATTTTAAAATTTTTAGTATTTTATTTTTGAATAGCTAATATATGCACATAATCTGAAAATCAAAACTATAGAATAACTGTAGACTTAGGAATCTTGTGCCTGTGTTTCCTTACCCACTCTATTCCCTGACATTCTATGGGTGATGACTTAATTTTTCATGCATTCTTCCACTGTTCCTTTATGTAAATACAAGAAAATATGAACACCTATTCTTGATTTTTCTCTTTCTTACACAAAAGGGAAAATATACTGTAAACTTCCTGCCCTTGTTCTAGACAGAGTACCTTATCTACAGAAAATTTCATACAAATTTCCTAATCCTTACTATGGCTGCATAATATTTCATTGTGAGGAAGAGTGAAAACTTGTTTTGCTAGTTTTCTATTGAGAGACTTGTGCTACTTTCTATCTTTTGCTACAGTAACTAGTACTGTAATGAATAATCTTGTACATACGTCATTTTGTACATGAGCAGATTCATAAGAAAAATTCCTAGAAATGGAATTGTTGGGTCAGGAGGTAGATTTATATCTTTTTTATTAGTGTCACCAAAATTGCCCTCCATAGGGGAATTACTTTGTTTTAACATCATCAGAGTATGAGAGAGTCTGTTTCCCAACAGTTTCATCAACAAGTTGAATTTTTGGAATTTTTGAAAATTGAAATATACTTTTAACATTTGTTAAGATTTCTTGTTTGTTCCTAAGGTATTTAGAAGTGTTTAATTTCCCATATACGTGGATATTTTGCTTGTTCACATGTTTATTGGTTATTGATTTCTACTTAATTGCACTTTGGTCAGTAATTCTATATTGGACCTTTTTTAAAAAAATGGTTGAGACTTGCTTGTTATAGAATATACATTTTTTCAAGCATAAAAAACATTAACAAATATTAATCACAGTATGTGAAAAATATATGTTCTGTAATTGTTGGGTTGGCAGTTATATCTCTGTCCAATTAGATCAAGCTTGTTACTTCTATTATTAAAATACTTTATATTTGTATTGATTTTTTTGTCTGCTTAATTTCTCACTGTTGTGAGATGATTATTGAAATCTATCATAATAGTGGATTTATCAATTTCTTTGAGTTCTATCTTTTTTATATTTTGAGGCTATTTTATTAGATACATCTTTCTAGTTTTCAATAGCGTCACATGAAAATTATAAACACACATAGCTAAGAAGGTAAAAACTACAGGAAACGCAAAGAATAAACATTACTTTTCAATCATTCTGCCACTCCAAAGTAACCACTATTTATTTAATATGATGGCATGTTTCTCTTTCTATATCTTTGTAATGATACACATTTATATAGAAATACCCATAAAAAAGAGAATATTTTTGCTCTACCATTCCAGATAGAGATGTTATGGGCCATATGTTTAGTTCCACCCCTTAGTACAGTTGTGGAAGCTCTTTCTTATGACTCCATAGGATATCCAAGAGCTCTTTTGGTTTCGTATTGATCCTGCAGGATGGTGAAAAGAGATATCATTATGGAGTAGAACTGATAGGAGTTGATAGATGGTGGAGTGGGTGGGGGAATGTGAGAAATAGGAATCTGAGAAAACATCTAGATTTTTGCCAAGACCAGGACAAGGAAACCAGAAGAACATGTATGTGGGGTGTTGTAAATTAGGAAATCTGTTTGGGATTTATTTTCCTTGAGATTGCTGTTGGATATCCAAGTGGAGATATCAAGCAGGCAGCTGGATGTGTGAATACTGGTTTCAAGAAAGAGATATGTATGGGGACATAATTTGGGGAATCATTAGCATGGAGATGATATTAAATCCATGGGACTAGATGAGATCACTAGAAATAGTGAATACTCGGTACATGGCTATTCAAAGTCAGATAAAGAATAAGAAACTAACAAATAAGACTGACAAGAAGTCAATTAAGTAAGAGGCAAATTAAAGTGGTAGATACTAGGAAGATCTCTAAATGAGAGGAAGTATAAATTGTGGTATAAATTTCTTGAACACGGGGAGTGGGAATTAGGGTCTGGAACAAGGGAAGCAAGATTGGCTCTAGCCAGGAGGAAAGGCAGAACTCTAATTGCCAGAAGAGAAAAAGAATCAGTGTAAGTATGGCAGAGTTGTAGATTTGTTGGCAAGAAAATCTGCCTTATAATTTCTATTTTCTCTGTGAAATAGAAGGCAAAGTCAGATACTAATTTTAACTTAGAGGAAGGGAAGTTTGGAAGAATTGTTGTCAGAGGTTTGATGACAGTGGAGAAGGATTATGCCAGCCAGAAGAATTATGCCAATTAATATTCCAATTAGCAATACGAGAATGTCTATGACACCCACCCTTGCTAACATTGCATATTATCATTTAAAAATATAATTAAACTTTCTGCTTGAATGAGAAAAAACACTGCATTTTAAAAATACCATATTTCTTTGATTACTAGTAAGAGAAAATATTTTTCTGAGTCTATTCATGATATAAATATGCTAATCTTTTTCAGTTTTCTCTCAAGCCTTTTACTCTGTTATCTGTGTTTCAAATATTGTCACCCTTTGTTTTTCTGTTTTAACTTTGTTCGAGTGCGGTTTGGGGCATACAAATGTCTTAAATTTTTGTGTATTTTAAGATCATTTATCATTTCCTTTCAGGGAGTTCTCTCCAATTGTATGCTTAGACAAGGCACCCCCTTACTCACTACAGATATATATTCATATGTATTTTCCCGAAATTCTTTTGTGGCTTTGTTTTTTATGAATAAATATTAAAACTTCCCTAGATTCATTTGAAGATAAAATGTGAGGTATTCTTTAACTTTTTTTTTTGTCATAAATTGTCAAACGGCCATCTCAATATGACTCATTGAATAATCCATTTCCCCCCTACTGACTTAAAGTAATTTACTGAGTAATTATTGTGTGGCAGGCTTTGTGCAAGTGCGGTACAGACATTGTCTCATTTATCTTCAGAAAAACCCATGATGTTGTATTGTTATTATTACCCCTGTTATAGATATGAAGACAGGCTGCAGCTCAGGGGTCTCCAAGATCACCTTCATGTTGAATGATATGCTAGAAGAGCCCACAAGCCTTTTAAAAGCTGTTATCCTCATGTTGATAGTTAATTCCAGCAAAAAGATAGAGATTAAAATTGGCCAAGGAAAGGGACACATAGGGCAGGATCCAGAAGGCACCAGGTTTAAGCTTTCAGCTCTCCTCTTGCAGTGGAGTCATGTGGACAGTGTTTATTTTTCCTAGCAATGATCTGTGGCAATATGCATGGTGCATGGCCAACCAGAGATGCTCACTTGAGCCTTGGCTTCCAGCATTTTTATTGGAGGTTGGTCATATAGATATAGCTGACTGCCCACATGGGTGACCTTAGTTCTAGCCCCCTCAGAGGTCAAGCTGATAGCACATAGCCCAAGTTCCCCACCATAAATAATCCTGAGACATGGACCAAGACCTCTGGGTAAGCAAAGATACTCTTAACAGGCAGAAAAATATCAGAGATTAACTCCTAGGAGCTGGGCAAGGAGTACACTTTTCTTTGGGCAATCTTAATTCTTTAATCCATGGAGATCTAGAAAAGGGAAGGATGTTCCTCAGTGTTATGCAGCCAACATATAGAGGCAGCATTTAAACTTCAGCCTTTTCTAGGTCCAGAGCCTGAGGTCTTAGCCACTGGAATTTAGCCACTAGGAGGAAAGAGGTGAGAACCATTTTACCTTTGGTAGGTGAAACAAATAATTAGGCATAGAATTAGATGTTTGAGTGTTTGACTATGTTTTGAAAAATCATATTGCTACTTCATCATCATATACCTGTACCACCAGTGTTTTATCATTTGCTAAATTTTTGTAAATAATTACCTGTCTCTCTAGATTTAATATTATGCTTATTGTTATTGGTGTCTATTCTTGTGCCATTTCATACTTCTGTAATGATTGTAACTTTATTGTATGCTGTAAAATGTGATAGAGTGAGTCGACAGCTAGCCTTTTTTTTTTCCCTAAGTTTTCTCACCTACTGTCATTTACTTATTTTCTAGCACTTCAGAATCATTTTGTTAAATTCCAAATAATTTCTTCGGAATTTTATTCTAGTTGCACACCACTAGTTGGTTGATCTCTGGGGAAGAATTTAGATATTTACATTACTGAGTCTTCCAATCCAGGAACATAATCTTTATTTTCATTTATTTAAAACATTTAAAATTTTTCTGCAAGGTTTTATAGTTTCTAGTGCATTTTTTAATTAACTTCATTCCCTCATAATTCCTTTTTTTTGTGGATATTTTGAACTGTATTGGGAGCATGACTTTTAGTTGATGTCTAGCATGCATTCTCCCCTTCTTCCTTAATAGAACTCTGGATTTTTTTTTTTATAGCTGTACACATGGCCATTTTGTATAAAGACATTTCTTACCCTCTTTTGACATTCAGTGTGGCCATGTGACTAAATTTTGGCCAATGGGATATGAACAGAATGCCATATGTCACTTTTGGACAGTGATTCTTAAGCTTTGCTGTCTGGAATGCAGTGATGGTGAGATCCAGGAGCCAACCTGACCAGGCTCCCTAGGAATGGCAGAGTAGAAACCTGGAAGAAGCTAGCTCCCTGAGGATTTTGTGGCCTTGTCATCTACCTCCACACTGTTTATCTGAGAGCATAATCTTTGCATGTGTAAGCCACTGCTTATTACAGTTGTCTTATCATTTGCAGCCATATGCAAACCTAACAGCTACAGTGTTTTTCTTTTTTCTGTTCAGGTCTTTAAGGTAATTTTGCTGAATTATATATATTGAGCCATAATGCTGCGTGCAAAGAAAATAATTTTTCTCTTTTCCTTTGCAGTGTTTATACTTCATTAGCTAGAAATTTCAGAACAGTGCTATATAAGGATGACAAAAGCAACATTTTTCTCTTATTCTTGACTGTAATGGGAATGCTGCTACAGTTTTACTATTAAGTATGGTGTTGCCTGTGGTGATTTTTCAAATTTAAAATCGGGATAATGACGTCTGTTTTACTTTGTAAAATTGTTATAAGGATCGAATGCACTAATAAATATAAAAATGCCATGTAATTGTAAAAAGCTATACCACATTTGTCTGGCATATAGTATGCACTCAACAAACTTTTTCAGTATTACTGTTCTTAATAATAACCTCCTGTGTTTAATGGCATAAGAAACAGAACTATGTGTTCTATAAAATATCTCTTTGGTGCCACTATACAGAAATAAGTGGGTCTAATGGATCATTAAATAAATTTTTATTTCTTAGTATTTAGGCTAAAAGTTAGAAAAGTAACATGCTTTTCATTACAAAGAGAAGTGATATATAGATTGAAATGTTGGGAAGAAATGATCATTTGAAAGTAGAGGTAGTTCCCATGAAATGAGACATACAGAAACATACATATAATTTAGTCATCAGGAAGCCCTCCTTCCACATGCTTCTCCTCTTTCTCCTCTGACAACTGCCTTAAAAACATGTCCCTTGTGGATATATATGTCATTTCATTTGTCCAGTCTGTTCTTGGAGCAAAACCTTATATGTGTCTACTGTTTTCTGCGGAAGCCAGACACAAATTTATATCAAAAAATATTTTGCTGTAATTTAAAAAGTGCTCTTTTTTTTTCAGATGTTCCATAGTAGAGTTGCTTATTCTAAAATTAGTCCATTTCACTCCTTGCAATCAGTTCCAGAAGAGGCCTGTGGAGAAATAAGTTGAATCTGTTGACTTTAATACATTTTTGATGTTATCCATTGATCCCTCACCTCTGAAATAGATGAAATGTATGATCTATAGCTTGACATATAATATATGGAATATTATTTAAGTTTAGTAATGACATATTATTTTGCTTTTTTAAAATTTTTTGTTATATAGGTATATACGTACCATGGTGGTTTGCTACACCTATTAACCCATCATCTAGGTTTTAAGCCCTGCATGCATTAGGTATTTGTCCTAGTGCTCTCCCTCCCCTTGCCCCCCAGCCCCTGACAGGCCCTGGTGTGTGTTGTTGCCCTCTTTGTGTCCGTGTGTTCTCAATATTCAACTCCCACTTATGAGTGAGAACATGCGGTGTTTGGTTTTCTGTTGCTATGTTAATTTGCTGAGAATGAGGGTTTCCAGCTTCATCCATGTCCCTGCAAAGGACATGAACTTATTCTTTTTTATGGCTGCATAGTATTCCATGGTGGGCATGTACCACATTTTCTTTATCCAGTCTATCATTGATGGACATTTGGGTTGATTCCATGTCTTTGCTATTGTAAACAGTGCTGCAATAAACATATATGTACATGTGTCTTTATAGTAGAATGATTTATATTCCTTTGGGTATATACCCAGTAATGAGATTGCTGGGTCAAATGGTATTTCTGGTTCTAGATCCTTAAGGAATCACCACAATGTCTTTCACAGTGGTTGAACTAATTTACATTCCCACCAATGGTGTAAAAATGTTCCTGTTTCTCCACAGCCTCACCAGCCTCAACTGTTTCTTGACTTTTTAATGATCACCATTCTGACTGGTGTGAGATGATATCTCACTGTGGTTTGGATTTGCCTTTCTCTAATGACCAGTGATGATGAGCTTTTTTTCATATGTTTGTTGGCCACATAAATGTCTTCTTTTGAGAAGTGTCTGTTCATATACTTTGCCCACTTTTTGATGGGGTTGTATGTTTTTTTCTTGTAAATTTGTTTAAGTTCCTTATAGATTCTGGATATTAGACCTTTGTCAGATGGATAGATTGCAAAAATTTTCCCCCATTCTATAGGCCATCTGTTCACTCTGATAATAGTTTCTTATGTTATGCAGAAGCTCTTTAGTTTAATTAGATCCCATTTGTCAATTGTGGTTTTTGTTGCAATTCCTTTTGGTGTTTTCATCATGAAGCCTTTGCCCATGCCTGTGTCCTAACTGGTATTGCCTAGGTTTTCTTCTAGGGTTTTATGGTTTTGGGTTTTACATTTATGCATTTAATATATCTTGAGTTAATTTTTGCATAAGGTGTAAGGAAGGGTTCAAGTTTCAGTTTTCTGCATAGGGCTAGCCAGTTTTCCCAGCACCATTTATTAAATAGGGAATCCTTTCTTTATTGCTTTTTTTTTTGTCAGGTTTGTTGAAGATCAGATGGTTGTAGATGTGTGGTGTTATTTCTGAAGTCTCTTTTCTGTTCCATTGGTCTATATGTCTGTTTTGGTACCAGTACCATGCTGTTTTGATTACCATAGCCTTGCAGTATAGTTTGAAATCAGGTAGCATGATGCCTCCAGCTTTGTTGTTTTTGCTAAGAATTGTCTTGGCTATATGGGCTCTTTTTGATTCCATATGAAATTTAAAGTAGTTTTTTCTAATTCTGTGAAGAAAGTCTACGGTAGCTTGATAGGAATAGTTTGTATTTTTGTGGGGTCAGTGGTCATATCTCCTTTATCATTTTTTATTGTGCCTATTTGATTCTTCTCCCTTTTCTTGTTTATTAGTCTAGCTAGCAGTCTATCTATTTTATTAATTTTTTCAAAAAACCAGCTCCTGGATTCATTGATTTTTTGAAGGATTTTGTGTCTCTCTATCTTCCTCAGTTCTGCTATGATCTTAGTTTTTTCTTGTCTTCTTCTGGCTTTTGGATTTTTTTTGCTCTTGCTTCTCCAGTTCTTCTAATTGTGATGTTAGGGTGTCAATCTGAGATCTTTCCAGCTTTCATATGTGAGCATTTAGTATATAAATTTCACTCTTAACACTGCTTTAGCTGTGTCCCTGAGATTCTGATACATTGTCTCTTTGTTCTTACTGGTTTCAAAGAACTTCTTGATTTCTGCATTAATTTCATTATTTATCCAGGAGTCATTCAGGGGCAGGTTGTTCAATTTCCATGTAGTTGTGTGGTTTTGAGTGAGTTTCTGAATCCTGAGTTCTAATTTGATTGCACGGTGGTCTGAGAGACTGTTTGTTATGATTTTTGTTCTTTTGCACTTACTGAAGAATGTTTTAATTCCAATCGTGGTTGATTTTAGAGTAAGTGCCATGTGGCACTGCGAAGAATGTATATTCTGTTGATTTGGGGTGCAGAGTTCTGTAGATGTCTATTAAGTCCACTTGATCCAGAGTTGATTTCAAGTCCTAAATATTCTTGTTAATTTTCTGTTTTGTTGATCTGTCTAATATTGGCAGTGGAGTGTTAAAGTTTCCCACTATTATTGTGTGGGAGTCTAAGTCTCCTTATAGGTCTCTAAGAACTTGTTTTATGAATCTGGATGCTCCTGTATTGGGTGCATGTATATTTAAGATATTTAGCTCTTCTTGTTGTGTTGATCTCTTTACCATTATCTAATGCCCTTCTTCGTCTTTTTTGCTCTTTGTTGGCGTAAAGTCTGTTTTATCAGAGACTAGGATTGCGACCCCTGCTTTTTTTTGTTTGTTTGTTTTCCATTTGCTTGGTAAATTTTCCTCCATTCCTTTATTTTGAGCCTATGTGTGTGTCTTTGCACATGAGATGGGTTTCCTGAATACAGCACATTGATGTGTCTTGACTCTTTATACAATTTGCCAGTCTGTGTCTTTTAATTGGGGCATTTAGCCTATTTACATTTGAGGTTTTATTGTTATGTGTGAATTTGATCCTGTCATCATGATGCTAGTGGCTATTTTGCATACCAGTTGATGCAGTTTCTTCACAGTGTCATTGGTCTTTATATTTTGGTATGTTTTTGCAGTGGCTGGTACTGGCTTTTCTTTTCTGTATTTAGTGCTTCCTCCAGGAGCTCTTGCAGGGTGGGCCTGGTGGTGATGAAATCCCTTGGCATTTCTTGTCCAGAAAGAATTTTATTTCTCCTTCGCTTATGAAGCTTAGTTTGGCTGGATATAAAATTCTGGGTTGAAAGTTCTTTTCTTTAAGAATGTTGAATATTGCCCCCACCGTCTTCTGGCTTGTAGGGTTTCTGCTGAAAGATATGCTGTTAGTCTGATGGGCTTCCCTTTGTAGGTGATCCAAACTTTCTGGCTGCCCTTAACTTGTTTTCCTTCATTTCGACCTTGGAGAATCTGATGATTATCTGTCTTGGGGTTGATCTTCTTGTGGGGTATCTTAGTGGTGTTCCCTATATTTCCTGAATTTGCATGTTGGCCTCTCTTGCTAGGTTGGGAAGTTCTCCTGGATAATATACTGAAGTGTGTTTTCCAACTTGGTTTCATTCTCCTGGTCACTTTCAGCTACTCAATCCGTCATAGGTTCGGTCTTTTTACATAGTTTTACATTTCTTAGAGGCTTTGTTTATTCCTTTTCATTCTTTTTTTTCTACTCTTGTCTGCAGGCCTTATTTCAGCAAGGTGGGCTTCAAACTCTGATATCCTTTTTTCTCCTTGGTCAATTCAGGTATCGATATTTGTTTATGCTTCACGAAGTTCTGGTGCTGTGTTTTTCAGCTCCATCCGGTCATTTATGTTCCTCTCTAAATTGGTTATTCTTGTTATCAGCTCCTGTAACCTTTTATCAAGGTTCCTAGCTTCTTTGCATTGGTTTAGAACATGCTCCTTTAGCTCAGTGGAATTTGTCTTTACCAATCTTCTGAAGCCCACTTCTGTCAATTTGTCCATCTCATGCTCCTTCCAGTTTTGCACCCTCACTGGAGAGGCATTGCGATCATTTGGAAGAGAAGAGGCATTCTGGATTTTGGAATTTTCAGTGTTTTTATGCTGGTTTTTCCTCATCTTCATGGATTTATCTACCTTTGATTTTGAGGTTGATGACCTTTGGATAGGATGACATTTGCTTTCTGTTTGTTAGTTTTTCTTCTAACAGTCAGGCCCCTCTTCTGCAGTTCTGTTGCAGTTTGCTGGAGATCCAGTCCAAACACCGTTTGCATGGGTATCACCAGTGAAGACTGTAGATAGAACAGCAAAGATTGCTGCCTGCTCCTTTGGAAGCTTCATCCTACAGAAGCACCAGCCTGATGCCAGCCACAGCTCTCCTCTCTAAGGTGTCCGTTGGCCCCTGTTGGGAGGTCTCTCCCAGTCAGGAGGCATGGGGTCAGGGACCCACGTGAGGAGGCAGCCTGTCCCTTAGCAGAGCTGGTGTGCTATGCTGGGAGAAACCCCCTTGTCAGAATAAGCCACTCTCTTCAGAGCCAGCAGGCAGGAACAATTAAATCCATGAAGATGTGACCGCAGCCACCTTTCCCCACAGGTGCTCTATCCCAGGGAGATGAGAGTTTTGTCTGTAAGCCCCTGACTGGAGCTGTTGGATTTCCTGCAGAGATTCCCTGCCCATCGAAGAGGAATCTAGAGGAGCAATTCTGTCCAGTCCAAACTTCCCAGTCTCCTTAGCATTGTCAGGAGAAAACCACCTACTAAGGTCACAGTAATGGTGGTTGCCCCTGCCCCCACCAAACTCATTGTCCCAGGCTGACTCCAGACTGCTGTGCTGACAGTGAGAATTTCAAGCCAGTGGTTCTTAGCTTGCTGGGCTCCGTGGAAGTGGGACCTGCTGAGTGAGACTGCTTGGCTCCCTGGCTTCAGCCCCCTTTCCAGGGGAGTAGATAGGTCTCCTGTCTCACTGGAGTTCCAGGTGCCACTGGAGTATGAAAACCTTCTGCAGCTCAGTGCCTGCCCAAACAGCTGCCCAGTTTTGTGCTTGAAACTCAGGGCCCTTGTGGCTTACACTCACAAGAGAATCTCCTGAGCCACGGGTTGTAAAAATCCATGCAAAAAGCGTAGTGCCCCGGGCAGGTAGCATAGTCCCTCACCACTTCCCTTGGGTGGAGGAGGGAGGTCTCCTGGCTCCATGCACTTCCCAGATGTAGTGATGCCCCACCCTGCTGCTGCTTGCTGTCCATGGGTTGCACCCACTGCCTAACCAGTCCCAATGAGATGAACTGGGTACCTCAGTTGGAAATGCAGAAAACACCCACCTTCTGCGTTGGTCTCCCTGGGAGCTGCAGATCAGGGCTGTTTCTATTCAGCCATCTTGGCCCCTCTCCTGTTTTGCTTTTCTTAATGAGATAAGAAATAGATAAAATACCTTAACTTTGTGTATTTTATATACAAGCACTTGATATATGCAAAAATTGAAACTAGAGATAATCTGGGCAGTTAAAACAAGTCAATCAATAAACTAAACCCCCGTTAGCATTGCTTTATGTTAGCCATTTGAAGTCTTCTCTTTTCTATTTTTTAATAATTACCTCAAAAAAGTTTCTCAAATAATTACCTGAAAACAATTGGTTTGTCATGAGATTCATCTAACTTCAACATTTACTGAAAAGCTATTAAGCACCGTGTACTGTGAGGTGATGATCATCATCATAATATAATAACCTGTATAGTCTTTTATATAAATCCTTATTTTATATAATTTGATCATCATAACAATCATTTGATATAAGAAAAGAAATATTGTCACATCCAAGGAAACTGAGGCACAAAGAACAAGAGTAAGGCATCACTAAGATTTACAGAAGTAAATCTTACAGCTCTGACTTGAACCCAGAATTTCTGACTATAAATTTTGAATGGTTCCCCCAGTTGTCACTGCTCTTTGTCATTTGATTTTAAGCTTACTGTTTGAAAATATGTAGTAACTAACACTTGGTAAACGCTAATTGTATGTTGGATACTGTTCTAAATGCAGCAGCTGTATTAGTTTATTTAATCCTTATTACCTCCCTTGATGGTAAGTGCTCACATCATTCTCATTTGAGTGAACTGAGGTCCAGTGAGGTTGAGTAATTTGCCCAGGGTTAATATAGCTTAATATCTAGTGGAGCTAGGATTGAACCCAAGCATGTAACTAGAAAACTGCTTCTTTTAAACCATTAGGTACTGTGCCTCTTTTTTAGCAATGCACTCATTCCCTCCTTGTTAATGTTAATTTTGTCTGGTTGGCCCACTTCTTGTAGCAGGAAAAACGTTCATTAGAAACAAAAATCTATCTGAGTTTACCTGTCTTATATCTAGAGAAACCTGGAAAGTGGCCCATCTCCTCTAGGTTTTAAATTCTGAAAAAAGACTACATAGTGACTTTTTGGAGAGGTAATAAGTTTGCACGCACAAATGTAGATGTTTGCAAAACTGTTTGATTCTTCAAGTTGATCTGTTCTTTGCTGCTGTGTTAATGGAAATAAATGGTTGAGACTGAATTTTACAGTCCACTTGCGCACAGAAGCAATGTGTAGATTCAGCCCATATCCAACTATTCTTGGGCTTACTTTTATTGCTTTCCTTGGAAATGCCTCCAGTGTTTTCCAATTATTACACACCATGATATCCAGCACTGACCAGAGCTTTGTAGGTGAAATTCTGCTCAGTCTCAGGAATCCTCTGAGCTTACAGCAAAATTACATTAGTTTTTTTCTTCTTTCATCCTTCTGTTTCTGTATTGTAGTGCAAGCCCATATATCATCTGTTATCCTTTCTTTTCTCCAGGTCTTTTTTGTCATTACTGCCTTCTAGGTGTTTTGGATTATTTTACCTAAGATATATCGTTTGCTTTGTCTGAAGCAGAACATTATTTTCTTATTTCCTTCCTTGTTTCTCATGACCACTCCCAAATTTATAATTACTTTTAAGTATATGTTGTAATTGCCTTCTTTTTCCACATCATGAAGAAATGTAACTTAAAACATTAACTATAAGTGACTTATTGGGATAGCTACTTAATTTCGTTTTGGTCAGATTTCAGTATTTTTCTTTCTTTTTTTTTGTTTTTTGTTTTTTTTGTTGTTGTTTGCTTCTGAACAATTTGAATCATTCACTGACTATCTTTTGTTAACTAGAAACCTATTATATACATGGCATGGTACCATGAGAAACAAACATGAATGATGGTCTCTCTTACTTACCACATATACGACTGATCCTCAGCTTCCTCAAAAGGGCTGAGTAAAATGAGTATAGCAGTACTTTAGGGAGATTAACCATGGCAAAGTGTATGGATTAAAAGCAGGGAGAGACTGGAGACAAGGAACTTCGTTGGGATGCCATTTCAAGAAGTACAATTCATAGGTAAGTAGTGACATGGATTAGGGTACTGGCACTGAAAATAAAGGAGGAATGGGAAGTAAAATATAAATGTGTCATGTAGGGAGAGTTCACTGAATTTTACAAAGGTCCATAGGAAGAAAAAGAAGTCAGAAAAGTTTGGTAACTGCTTGGATATGCGGTGGTTCCATTATAGGTTCCGTTAGGAATGAAGTGGGAGCATTTGGTTTTAGACATGTCGAATTTGGAAACATGGGGAGTTTTATGTAAATATAGATGTGCAGCAGTCCTTTGGGACTATAGAACCAGAACTTATGAGCGACATCAGGTTTAGTGGTGAGGACTCCAGCTGTGAGACTGGATATTTCATAAGTTACAGAAAAGAAAAGGGAAAAGCAAGCTACATTTCATAATACTTACAGTTATAAAAAGTAGTAGTTCATAAAGATACTTGGTGAGTGTGTACTATGTATCTCATATTGTGTGAGATACTTTTACATATATTATCTCAAACTTCAAAAGAACCCTGAGAAACAGTCACCATTATTCTAGATAAAGAACTAGAGGAGAAATGTTAGATTATCTGCCAAATAAATCATTTATTCATAAAAAGTACATATTGAGAGCTTGCTGGACTCTCACAGCTGGAGTCCTCACCACTAAACCTGACACTGTGCTAGACACTGGGAATACAATGGTGGATAAACAGGCATGGTTTTTGTTCTCTTGGAACTTTGCATCTATAATTAATCTGGATATAATTTTTATGTAACTGCTGAAATCAATTCAACAAACATAGTAGAGATATAAGAAAGAATAAAATACCAGTCTTTCAAGAGCTGCTGTTGAGAGAGGAACAGGAATTAAACTCTCAGAAATTTTTAGCAGTCCATACTTAAATGAACTAGTAACAATCATTTTGATACTTCATAAAATTACTGCATGTAGTTACTGCGGTTTTATCTTTAATACCAGACCACTTCAACCTAATTATTTAGCTCATGAAGATATCTAGGAAAACGTGGTATGATTTGCCATATTTAAAGGAAGCTATTTTTGATTTAGTTAAAATCTTAAAAGACTATGACAATGCCACGTTACCAAGGATTTGGATCTACTCATGTATTGCTGGTGCCAGTGGAAAATGTTACTCTCACTTTGGAAAAATTTCTGGCAACTCTTTTTGTTTTTTTAATTAAACTTGTATTTACTTATGACCCAGCAATTTTATTCCTGGAAATTTACCCAGAAAAAAACCAAAGCAAATATCCACAAAAAGACTTATATTAGAGTGTGAAAAGAATAGTTTTGGGCTATCCCTAATAGCCCTAAACTAGCCCTGGAAAGGAGACTGGATAAACAAAAGTGTTATACAAATACAATGATACAGCGGAGTACTACTCAGCAATGTAACTGAATGCTCTTGTGATGCATAAAGCAACATTATGCTGAGTGAAAGAAGCCTTATGCAAAAATGAATACAGTGTAATTCCATTTACGTAAAGTTAGTTAGCCAAAGCCAATGTGAGACAGTCAAAACAGCAGTTGTCCCTGTATATGGAGAGTAGAAATTGAGAAGCAGCAAGAGGAAGCTTGCTGGGGTGATGGACAGTGGTTTAGTTGCTGGGTTGCATGCATTCTCACAACTTCTCAAGTGGTACACTTCTGATTTGTGTATTTCACAGATAATAAATTGTTAATGTCACAAAAACCAAAATAAAAGTTGTATTGAAGGGTTTTAGGGTGATGGGCATTGGTATCTCTAATACAACCTACTTTTAGATGCATCCCCAATTAAGCCAGATTAATGGATAGAAAATGATAAAAACAACTCTAAAAATACAAAACCAAAATACATTCTAGGCAGTAAGTATGTAGGTGAATACTATACAATTCTTTCAACTTCTCCGTAGGTTTGAAAATTTAATAATGAAATGCTGGAGGGAAAAAAAGACTATGTAAGTGGTATAACTACTATATTGTTCATCTCCTCATTCCCTCAGCAAATTAAATGCTTTCCTGTACCACACCCTGGTCTCATGAGTACTTCTTTAAAAGCTGGAATCTTTGCTTTTAGATAGCATAAGAACAGGCATTTGTTTTCATCCCATTTGAGTATGGAAGAAATCTTACTCTATCTCAGTAAGTTTCACGGATGCATCAATTAAACCAGAGAGTGATAACTGTGGACATACAAGATTATTTGAATAGGACAGAGATGCTGAGGATAAAACTCTGAAACTTGTGATCTTACTGAAGTCTTTGTTCCTAAGGATGACTTTGCTGTGCATTTATTTATGGCTTGTGTGTTGGAGGTGTAGACAAAGAGTATATTGATCCAGTTAAGCAGAATCATAAAATAAAAAGAATGACCTATTACGTATCTCTATCAGGGGAAAGGCAGACATATTTTAAGTAGAGAGGATGGGGGGATTAGTTGAGAGTTATGGGCTACATTTAGAAAATGTTTTGTGTTAAAAATTAGGAGTAAAGGAGAGAGTATTATGAAAAGTAGTAGAAATAGAGCAGATTTTATAATGTTTTCCAATGCATTGAATATTTCTTGATCTTAACCTCTGCCATCCTGCCCCTTGGTGGTAGATAGTAAGAAATGGCATCACTTTCATTTACAATTTTTCTCTCGTTTGAAAGTTATGAACAAATTGGGCTGAGTGAGGCTCCACATGTAGATGGATTGCATTTTTACAGTCAAAAGAAGATGAGGACATTCTAAAAAGTGAGAGCAATTTGAAAAAAGGAGAAGAGATGAGAGTCACAGGTTATGCTAATTAGAAAATAATTACACTTTTCTAGAAAAAGTTGTCATTTATATTGGAAACATTTGGGCAATGAAGTTATTTAGCTACATTGATTGCAGACTGATGAACTAAGATGATTGGGTTGAGAAGCTGACTTTTAGTATACTCAAGAACTCTGATGAGTTCCCTTATACTTATCACTATAAGCTTATAATATTATGAATATTTTACTTTATTTTTTGGATCTATTCTAAATTTTGCAGGAGTATGTGGGATGCCCAGTGAGATGGACAGCCTCAAGCATGCAGAAAGCAATTATAAAAATTTATTTCTGAAAGCATGATGTTTGCACTAGCATGTTGACAGTATGAATATAAAGTGAAGATGCAGGTGAAAATTATCAAGGAAGAATGATGAGACCAGATGATGAAATAAAGAATTGAGGAAATGAAGAGTCAATGACAGCTTCCAGGTTTCGAGCATGGGGAGAGTGGGACAGTTGGGAAATATTAACTTCCTGAAGGATGTTATACTTGAACTGAGATTTGAATTATGAAAAGATATAGCTGGATGAAAGGAGGGTCAGGGTAGAGGAGCTAGGTTGGTTCATCAAATATACAAACATCATATTATGAGTTTGGAGAATTAGGCAGAAGCAAGACTATGTAGAATTTTATACACCATGGTCTATTAGTCAGGGTTTTCTAGAGGTACAGAGTAATAGAATAGATGTATGTATGAAAGGGAGTTTATTAAGGAGTTATTGTTGACTCACACAATCACAAGGTGAAGTCCCACAATAGGTCGTCTGCAAGCTGAGAAGCAAGAAAGCCAGTCCAAGTCCCAGAACCTCAAAAGTAGGGAAGTCAACAGTGCAGTCTTCAGTCTGTGGCTGAAGGCCCAAGAGCCCTTGGCAAACTACTGTTCTAGGTCCAAGAGTCCAAAAAGCTGAAGAATTTGGAGTCTGATGTTCAAGGGCAGGAAGCATCCAGCATGAGAGAAAGATGCAGGCTGGAAGACTCAGCCAGTCATGGTCCTTCCACGTTCATCTGCCTGCTTTTATCCTAGCTGCGCTGGCAGCTGATTAGATGGTGCCCACCCAGATTGAGGGTGAGTCTGCCTCTTTGTCTTCCACTGACTCAAATGTTAATCTCCTTTGGTAACATCCTCACAGACACAACCAGGAACAATACTTTGCATCCTTCAATCCAATCTACTTGACACTCAATATTAACCATCACAAGTGGTAAGAATTTTGGTATTTATCCCAAGGTACTGGGAATCCAATGAGGGGTTTACACAGAGGATGATCTGATTGCCATTAGGCAAGGTTATTCTGGTTTCAATGTAGCCACTGGATTTTAGAGGTTGGGTGGAAGTTGGTAATGTGGGGTGACAGGAAGGATATTCCTGGGATAGTCTTGCCTAGAGATGATGATGGCTGGAACTAAAGCAGAGAGGGGTGGAAGAGATTGACAGTGGATGATTATAGAATGAGGAAAGAAGAGAGCCTAATGATGAACCTTGAAGATCTAACACTTAAAGGCCAGGGAGATCAGAAAGAGCCTTCAGGAGTGACAGATAAATGGTCAGAGAGAGAGGAGGACAACACACTGGTATGCGCTCAAAGGAGACAAGGAAGAAACAGTCGAGTATGTTGTCATGGAGACAATGAAGAGAGGTTAAACATGTTTCTGTACAGCCATTCATCTTGAGAGATGCTTCTAGAGAATAAATTCTGGCCCTGGTACCACCACCACGTCATGCCTCCAAGACAGCACACCATGGCTGGCCCTCTGCCATTGGACGCTAGATGCTCTTGCCATTCCTAGAATGGATTCGATCATTAACTCCAGATGCAATTCCCTGGTGGTTGTATCTTATTGACAGAGGTTAGTTCATGTTCTTTTAACTTTACCTCCTAGAGTCCGGGAAAGCAGGTAGCTGGCCTTTTTTGTTTCTGTAATTAGTGGCAGGGTACAACCTCTCACAATACTCAACTGATGGCTAACTCTCACATTTAGGAAGGAGAGGTCAGATGAAGGGTATAAAAAAAACAATTGGAAATATCCACTACGTTAATCTTAAAAATCATTTTATCTCAGAAGCTTTCCTTGGTCCTGGTTTTTATCTTGGCAGTTGATCTTGGAGTTGATTGCTTCCTCTGGTTAACACTGGGTCTCATATGCATCAGTGCTACTCCATTTATCCATCAGATATTTTATGTAGATTCCCACTTGCATCATGCATTGTGTGAGGAGTTGGGTATGTGAAATAGAAAAGATGCAGTTCCTGTTCTCCGGAAGCTTAGAGTCTGAAGCAGGAGGTCCTACTGTGAATACAAAGGTTGAGTTTCAGGGTCACTCACTTGTCTTGGTCCCATTCAGGGCTCCAGAAGGGGCCCTAGGAATGGGTTCATATGGTCATACATTTAAAACTATTTTGCAAAAGTAAGCCAATTAGCCTGCATTTGGTTAAGAACTTTTGACATCTCACTCTGACTCCTCTGAAAATTCTCTTCCTCTTGGGTGGTGTTTAAATGGCTACGGGCATTTTTGCATTCAGCTAAGGGGGAGTTGAGTTGGGATACAATTTGTTTGGGTTTAGCAGGATATAGTTACTTGGTTTGTAGATACTTCCATAAATTGTTCAATTATAGTGAGCAAGGAAATCTGCTGAGAAGGGTCTGGTGAGGCCTTGGAGACTGCTCTGATCCCAGGATGACTCTTACCCTCAAAAGGCAGGAAACTGGGAGCTTTTAAGGTGAATTCTTTTAGTACTAAAAAAACTATAGCTAATTGTCTCTTCCTTTCTCAGGAACCTCCCTTTGAAAGGCCGTATCTGCTTGAAAGTCATTTTCCCAGGGTGCTATATGCAGCAAAGATCAGGGAGAAAGACCCTGTTCCTGTCTCCCAAATCTTGGTGCTAACTCTGCTCAGTGGGAGGTGCTGGCATCTGAGGCCAGAGCCATTCACTCCCCATCATCTGGTGGCTTCCCTCTCTTCCCCCTGCACTGCCACCTCCACAGTTTTAGAGGCTGTGGACTACTTCAGTGGACAGTTTTGTCCTTTTTTGCATTTCTCATTCTTTGCTTGGATAGGGAAAACTTAGATTGTCTTTGGAGGCCGTGGGTAATGGGATGATTTGAACTTTAAAGTGGTTCATGCCTTGCAACTTGTTTTTAATGACATAAGGACACTTGAAAGAGAAAACAAAACACTACGTAGATTAAAAAAAAAAAACTTTGTTCAAAATTATTTATAAAGATCAAATACTCCATTTGAAATGCATTTTGGAAAAATGTTCTGTAATGATTCAATAAACTCTTCTTTCATCATCATTAGATTTAAATTTTAGGGAACTAAGAGTATATTCAGAAAAAGGTGGAATATTAAAAAAAAATTGGATGGGTGCTGTGGCTCAGGTCTGTAATCCCAGCATTTTGGGAGGCCAAGGTGGGCAGATTGCCTGAGCTCAGCAGTTTGAGACCACCCTGGCAACATGGTAAAACCCTGTCTCTACTAAAATACAAAAAAAAAAAAAAAATTAGCCAGGCATGGTGGTGCATGCCCGGGAGGCTGAGACATGAGAATCACTTGAGCCTGTGAGCCTGGGAGACGGAGGCTGCAGTGAGCCAAGATCAAGCCACTGCATTCCAGCATGGGCTACAGAGTAAGACTCTATCTCAACAACAACAACAAAAAATAATAAAGTATGATATTTAATCATATCCAAAGCAGTAATTGATTTATGGGAAGAGATACATTTTGGGTAGAGATAATAAATAGGGTTTTAGATTTTTGATAATCCAGTTAATGAAGAGGAATGAAGCATATGAAAACATTGAAAAAGATTTAGATTTCTTGGCATTTTGACATAAATATTGACATAGATGGAAATAAAATCAAACTTATGCACAGCTACAGTGAGACCATCAACATCAAACTAGTTAAAAAGAGTCAACAATCTGGAGTGTTTAAGATTATTATTATTATTATTATTATTATTATTATTATTATGTGTTTTATTGCACAGCCAAACTCAAAAGAGCTTCACTTATATAGCAGTTTGGCCCAATTTCGCAACAATCCTAAAAAGGTACATTACCAATAATGAATAGTGAAGCTGAAAGAAACTTTTCTAAATTATTGTTGCTTATTAAAAATTTTTTTAAAATTTAATTGTGCTAAAAATACATAACATAAAATTGATGATCTTAACTATTTTTAAGTGTACAGTCCAGTAGTGTTAAGTCTATTCATATTATTGTGCAACTGATCCATATCATTGATTTTAATTATAAAATAAAATTGAGAAAATATTGATTTTAGAATTTATGTTACAAAATAATTGTCATATGAAAGACAACCAAGGCTATTTGTATTGTTATAGGAAAGTTTTACCAACTCCTAAGTGTAAGTATGTGGAAGTTCCTCCCATGTGACCCTGTGCCTAACACAGATGCCTGGCATCTTTGAAACTGTACTAGGTGTCTTGTAATGGAGGGTACAATGATCAGTTCTAAGGACTTTGCCATGCTGTCCTTAACCAATCAGAACTTGTTGTCTAGGAATTCCCCCCAATATAGAAGATATTTCTTTTGCTGTTCAGCTCTGAGAGTCCCTCGGAATTTGTTTCTTGCTTTATTAGGCTCTCCTTTGCCTTGCAAGCAAAGTAATGGTCTTATTTTATTTTCAAAGTTGATCTTTAGTTTGTCCTTCAAGAACTTTTAAACTTTGTAACTTATTTTAATAGCTTTACTTATTCAAAACACACACTCATTTTTGTAGCTAATTGTTTTCATAATTTTATGCTCTTTCTAAGCCCCACTTCCCTCTGCATAAAGTCCAAGAGATTTTGATCTTCCCAGTCTATGGAGTCATGACTGTTTTATGCTTGTCCATTAAGGGTCTGCCATGACCCCGCACTGTGTTTGGAGGTAGCTCTTTATTATTCAGGTTTTGGAATAAGAAGAACCTGTTTACTCCTAGTGACATAAATAAGGTGCTGGGTTCTTCCAACCTCACTTTTTCTTTTGTTTCTTTCTTTCCCACTTCCTTATTTTGTAAGGTAAATAAACTATAAGTGACTTTTCAGGGTCACATATAATTAATTTCAGAGTTAGGCCTAGCACTTAGTTTGCTGTCTCTTATGCTGATATTAGTTTCAGCATTTCTATCTATTCCTCCACTAAAATATTACAAACATATGCAAATTTCTTTCTACAGAGCTTAGTACTTACCCCAAGCTCAAACTATTAAGACTGTATTAAAATCCTCAGCCTCTTTACATAAAATATACATTATTATAGAGAAACTCACCTTCAGTTTTAATAATCTCCTTACAATTAGATTCTAAAAAGGGCATGTAAGGCAAAAATCACACGAAGTTAAATTTACCAAATTACCCTTGAAAGTCCCTTAAACAGTCCATAACAAGTGAGATGCTCAAGAGACACAGGAAAACTGAGCCCAGGTTGGGGTAAGAGCAGATTCACATTTCTCATCCCACACTCACTCTGGGGCAAATGCTCCCTGACAACGGCAATGATCCCTATGGCACTCTTCAAATAGATACCCAGCTATGATAGGTTTATATTCAAATTAACAATATTTCTTTTTCTCCACTTAGTCCCTCCTGAATCAGACCATATTAAGGATAAAATTGGCATATGGTCCCAATTGAATCCTTAGGATTTTATGTAGCATCTAATTTGACTAGAATAGAAGTCTGTGTGGAAGAATAACTTGGCCAGGTTAACAAAGTTGAATTGCAATTATTTCTCCCAAATCCAAACAAAATCTCATTTTTTTCCTTCTCAATCATTTAGATAACTGTGATCTTAGAAACTGGTCTATGATTATTGGCATAACTGGATGTCAACTCTAGCTGTTTGCCATCTGAGCCTAGGCGTATCTCCATTAATTCTAAACTCGCAATTATCAATGTGTGTTAAAGAGGCATTTGGGCATTTGGGGGTATGTGTCAGCTATGAAAATTACTTTTGTGCTGAGATAGAAGTAATCATTGTATAATAACAAAATGAATACTTTAAATGATTATTTAAAATTTTTGTGTAATGTGGAAATATTTCAGCATTTGCCATTTTTTTCTACAATGGTTGATTTGCTGCATTTATTCTTTATTTGTCTTCCCTGTGAATACATTTATTGCCAGTGTTTTTAGTTGTATTGTTAGCTTCATTGCATAATTAGTGGTATTCAGCTGCTGCTTTTTAGCCTGGAAGAACTATAATTAGTTTTCATTCACTGGTGACATTTATGCAGTATCAGGGTCATTGTCAAAAGGTATAAAGACTATAATTCTATTGCTAGACTTTAAATCCCTAAAAATGTACAAATCTATTTTATTCATCTCATGTAATAAAAGAAGATATGAGCTACAACTGATAGAATTTCATTCTGCTTGGAAGAAACGGATATTATAGGATTTAAATGAGTTATGTGTTTGGGTACAAAGTATCAAGTTGTTTTCTGTCCCAAAGCATGAAATTCTATTCCCACTATTTAGTGGGTTAATTTGGAATAACTCAAGTCATGTTTAAGAGATCTGTTGTTTTAAGCCAGGCATGGTGGTTCATGCCCATAACCCCAGCACTTTGGGAGGCTGAGGCTGGAGGGTGCTTGAGCCCAGGAGTTCAAGACCATCCTGGGCAACATGTCGAAACCTCATGTCTGCAAAAATACAAAAATTAGCTGGGCCATGGTGATACACATGCCTGTAGTCAAAGCTACTTGGGAGGCTGAGGCAGGAGTAGAAATGTGGGCTTGTACAATCTAAGTCAGCCTGAGTTCAAAACTCACTTCATTCACTAAATAGTCCTCAAAAGGTTAATTGTGAAGATTAAATTCAATAATGTTTGTAAAGCATTTAAGATAGCATTCATAACCATCAAGTCATTCACAAGTTTTTTTATGGATGGTCAAAAGTCTCTGTCCAGGAGGCTGGAGGTCAGAAGGCCTTATTATAGGGTCAAAGAGTTCTGGAATTCTGAAGAGGGAAGACACAGATTGAAGTCAGTATCAAATGAAAGAATGTGTCTTGAAGAGTGTTTAATATTGGCTGAAGAAGTATAAATCTAAATCAGTAGAGATGTTGTTAAAATTTTGCCACAGCCTATGTGTTCCAGTTTCAGCCTTTTCCCTTCTTATTGCTACAAAAGTTTTTGGCAGTGTGTGTATGTGGTAGTGGTGGTGTATGTATGTGTGTGCGTGTTGCCTGGTGTATGAGGTGTGTATGTATGTGTGCATGTGTGTTTTCTGTTGTGTGTTGTATGGCATGGAATAGAGTATGAGTGTATGTCTGTGTGCTTAGGGTAAGGAGTTCTGAAATCATTGGGGACATCTTAGGAATCACCTTATCTTCAGTGGAGCAATGCTCTGCACATCGGTCCGACGAATCCAGTCATTCCAATAAATGAGGTTTCTTTCATTTAAATCATCGTCCACTTTTGGGACTCTTAAATATTGGCTATATGAACCAGTATAGTCGCTCTTCAATGTAAGTTTATGTACCTATAATGAATTCAGAGTTTGAAAACAAAAGTTCTGGCTGTGAAGCAACCTTGGAGAGAGCAAGAATTAGGAAAGAAATATTAAAAATGCCAAATGCCGACAATCTGATAATACGAGTCCTACCTACACTTAGGTAGGTAGCCCTTGTTCAGTGTGTCAGGCAGTTACAAGGCTTTTATACACGACTTCATTTAATCTTCACAGCAACTCTGTGTGGCAAAAACTTTTATTATCCCTGTATCATAGATGATGAGGAAACAAAGGCAACATAAAGAAGCACTGGAACTAGGCACGTGATATCTACTCTTCATTGGTACTCCACACTAATTTATGTAGTGCTTGTAGGAAATTTTTCACCCCCTTTCTGCTATGTTTGGATGGCCGGGGATGTTCATTTTTTAGCTTACCACTAGCCAATAAATGAGAATTAATCTGTAAGACTTCTTTATCATGTAATTTTTTTCAAATTAAAATATGATTTGTTTTTTAATCCCTAAAAATCTCTTGAGTTAGTTACACTATTGAGATATTGTTATGGATGACTTTTATACAGAAATAAAGAGAAATAGGCAGTTTAAACAATTATTTGGATTATTCAAGCAAAATAATATAAATCTGTTGTTGAGGAAAACATGTTGAGATTTTGGATTGATTTATGAAAATCAAAATCACTGAACAATTAATGTAATTCTGTGTTAGCAGATCTTGAAGTCAAGGTACTTTGCTCTGAAAACACTTCTTATATGTTTTTTTCTTTAATTTTACTGCTTTAATTACATACATTTAAAATATGTTGCCAGGAATGTAAAGGTTCTTGTTTTTCTTTCTAGATGTGGGGGCCAGAGCTGTCAGAGTTGGAAATTGTTTTAATTAGGGAAGAGGAGTTTGGAAATAAGGGGGCAAAGTAACAGAGAAAAACAGAGTAGAGCATAATTTTAGCTGCTATTCTTCAACTAAATGATAATTGGCTAAAAGCTAGTGAATTGATTGTTTATTAAAATGACTCATCTTTAGTAGGATAAAATGTCTATAATTAAACATTGAAGGTCTTGCCAAAGCCCTTGAAGGAATTATCATGGGCTGAATACAGGTAGTCAGTGGGCCTCAACTACACGCAACATGAGTCGCCTTTCTTTCCCCTTTGTGTTTTGTTTTGTTTTGTTTCGTTTTTTTGAGATGGAGTTTTGCTCTTGTTGCCCAGGCTGGAGTGCAATGGGGCCATCTCAGCTTACCACAGCCTCCGCCTCCTGGGTTCAAGCAATTCTCCTGCCTCAGCCCCCTGAGTAGCTGGGATAATAGGCATGCACCTCCACGCCTGGCTAATTTTGTATTTTTAGTAGAGATGGGGTTTCACCATGTTGGTCAGGCTGGTCTCAAACTCCTGACCTCAGGTGATGCGCTCACCTCGGCCTCCCAAAGTGCTGGGATAACAGGCATGAGCCAGCGCACCCGGCCCCTCTTTGCATTTTCTTTGGATAATATCAAACTATAGTTTTGTGTGCAGACAAGGAGTGATTAAAGTCAAACATTGGGTTCCAAGCATGGAAGGCGGTGTGGTACAGCAGGAAGTGCACTAGACTTGATATAAGAATGCCTGAATCCTTATTCTTGCCCTATCACTTATTGTTTGTGCTCCCTTGGTCAAATCAAGGCTTTCAAATGGGATAATACATGTGCTGCCAACTCTACAGAACTGTTACAAAGGAAGAGAAAATAAAGCTAGCTATTTCAGAAGCATTTTGAAAAACTGTTAGAAACAGAAGTAGAGGGCATTGTGGTGGAGCAGGCATCGGGATGGGAATGGTAAAATGCAACAGAGACTGTTGCACCAAGGAGATAAGAAGTTACTCTAGGCTGGCAGTTTAGTCCTGACTGCACATCCCTGGGGGAGCATTTAAAATATACGAATACCTACTCCCACGTCTAGGGTTTTTGATTTAAATATTCTGGGGCAGGCCCAGCCATATATAAATTATTTTCTCTCCAAATTTCCTAGGTGATTCTAAACAGCAGTCAAGGATAATATCCCTGCTGTCAGGTTTCTGAAACAAATTTTACAATTTGGATTAAATGAACACTTTCACATTTTTAGTTTGAAAAATTAAATCTATCCTGTTACAAATAGGTTTAATGTAAATGAACTTCATGAAGATACAATGTTGACAAAAAAGAGGGACCTTTAATTAGAAATACTGTCAAAGATATAGAAAATATCTTTCATAGTTGGTAGTTCTAAAACAAAGTGAAACTACATTTACTTAACTTTTAAGATAATTTTTCACATTAATGAGCCTTAGAAGCCAGTTTCATGGAGCTCCAATTACTGAAAGGGCTTTGAAAGTGTGATATCATACATCATGAGAAAATGTAATAACTCTATAAAAAAGAGGTTTGAGGTAATAAAATTATCATAAACAACTTGATTCAGTTATGCTATGGAACATCTAGTGATTAAAAACTTCCATCCCTCTAGCTTCACAGTTTAAATTCAATTCACTTATATTTTTGCACTTTTGCTAATTGTATTATTTGAAAATTCAATGATATGTAAAATATAAAGGCAGCAATTTAAAACTGAATGTATATCTGCTCTAGGATGTCTCAATTTGCTACTTAATTTGAATAAATTTGGGGACTGTTAGAAAGTTGCTAAGAAGAATTAGTTTAACACATTTGGGACTATTTTCCCTCAAACATAATGATGCTTAAAATAGAAAAGTGCTTGAAATTATGAAGTTTTATGTTCTGGCCTCCCATGGACTCCAAAATGAAACTTCTCTGTAAATGACCATGACCTTGTTAACTGAGCAGGGAAATTCTTTGGATGGGACCACAGATTATCTTGCCCAGTTTGCAGCAGAAGAAACCGAGGCCAGGAAACACTAAGTGACATTCCCAAAACCACATAGCTCATTAGTGGCAGAAGTTGGACAGATCTCTTAGCTCTCAGCCTTCTCTGTCTCATTCTAGAGAAGCTTGATAAATATTGATTGGCTATCATCTGGGATGGACATTGCACTTGGCAATGTATGGCTGGTTTTAATCTCATAAATGTACCAGAATCGTAGGAGAATCCCCTCACTGATGTGTCTATACTTCTGGCAGCTGATAAGTTGAAATTTACCTAGCTGTTATTTGGGGTCTTTTGAGTAGTCTTAAACTATCTATACAATAATTTAAATATTGGGGTGTGTTTGAGATTCCAGCAGCATTCTCTGAAGAAATGACTTTAGCTATCGATAACCTAATCAACCTGAAGCCAGTGAAGGTTATGGTGAACTACAGTGCAAGTGAAAGTTTGAAGCATCATATCATTAGAAAGTTTATTCATATCAAATTTGACTCACTGCACATTTGATATCACTGATGATCTGATAATTGTAATACCCATGTCAACCAGAATAAAAGTTATGTCACTATCTTCATACTTTCAGATGTATTACCCTGTTGGTTCATATTTCACCTCTATTTGGCTTCCCAAACTCCCTACTCCCAAAGGAGGCTGCATAGCACTAGCCCTGCCATAGCTATTATGATACCCAATTTACTCAGTTGAGAGAATAGATTACACTGGTGGACAAAGATAGAAAAATAATAATCAAGCATAAAATATGTGCTTTCCAATTCTGTGTGTACCTGTTTTATAATTACTAGTGGCTACGTGGGACATTTTATGTCACCCAAAATGTGTCAAGAGAAATGCAAAAAGTATGAAAAAACTAGGACTACAGTATTTTAAATCTGAGTATTTGAAGATACATTGTTATTCTTTAAGAAATTGGACACGTCTTATCAGTAAGTAATGAATTTGTAGTGCCTTGATTCACAGGTATGTAAGGAAAATTAATGCAATGGGTAAAAGGTGAGGCTAAGGGAAATACAAAGTCTATTCCAAATTACTTTTATCATGTGAGCCTTCAAAGGTAATCCATTTTTATTTTCTAGCATGGTTCCAATTCTTTTATTTTCAGAGATTGGCACCATAAGCACTGCAGGCTTTAGTAGAATGAGTTTCCTACTCCTCTCAGAGCTTCAGGTAGAGGAGAGTTGACAGTGGACTTTCAGGCTCGGCCTCAGGCTTGCATCTTGACAAAAGAGCTAGGTACACCAGGCTTTAAGGTTGCCATCTCCTGTGCATTTTTTTGCCATGACAGAACTGTGCCAATTTTAAATAAATTATTTGGAATTAGGATTTTCCTCTGACAGAGATTGGGATGTGGGATGGCAGCATGGCTATGAAGGATCATTAGTAATTTTAGATAAGCTTTGTTAATCACTCTATTTGTCTTCTGGCCCAGTCTCCAAAGACTTTTCTCTGAATCCCAGGGAAAGGAGGCTAATGGAGAAGGTGAGCCAGAGAAGGCATGTACATGTGCAACCAGGATCTGTGGTCTCATGGTGGTGTTGCCTAGTAACTGAGCTTAACCACTGGAACTCAGATGAATTACAGAACCACTATGTCCTCAGCACAGAATGTATCTCTGCAGGCCAGAGTTCCTGGTTTCAGTTGGACTAACAGGCCCACCAAGAGAAGCAACAGCTGTCATGGGAATACAATCATATGTGCAGAGAGCTACTTGAGGGAACAACAGAGGAAATCGAGGATACAAATCAGGGAAGATGGTGGCCACAATCATGTGGTAAAATCAAGCGAAAGAACCTGGGAAGCGCCTTGATCTAGTTGCAGAAGGTTGTATTATGAATTTCCAGCTACTTTCACTCTCTGTGCTGAGCCAGAGAATAATTTTTACTGGGTCAGTTATGCTGTCCTGCTTGATGTGGCATTGGTAAATACAAGTTACAGGTTTATTTGTTTTTATTTTTTATTTTTTTGAGACAGAGTCTCACCCTGTCATCCAGGCTGGAGTGCAGTGGTATGATCTCGGCTCACTGCAACCTCTTCCTCCTTGGTTCAAATGATTCTCGTGATTCAGCCTCCCGAGTAGCTGGGATTACAGGCATGTGCCACCACACCTGACTAATGTTTGTGTTTGTAGTAGACATGGAGTTTTGCCATGTTGGTCAGGCTGGTCTTGAACTCCTGGCCTCAAGTGATCCACCTGCCTCAGCCTTCCAAAGTGCTGGGATTACAGGCATGATCCACTGCACCAGGCCTATTTGTATACTAAAGGTAATTTATTGTAGTTAGTTACAGAGTTATTAACAGGTAAAAGTTTTTGGATTTACAATTACTATCATCATTATTATTTATCATCTCTTGACTGTAATACTTTCTTGTGGCAATGATACTGATAATAAAAAATACAGTCAAATGATAGAAATCCATGAAATAAAGCTGGACAATGGAAATCAATGAAACTCTCTTTTCAAATCTCTTTTCAAATAGTCTGGGTAAATATTTTCCAGTAGGCTCTACTTTGAAGTTCAGCCAGGATGTTCTTAAGTAAACCATTCTGGGATACTTTGCAGAGAGTTTGCTTTTAGATATTGTTTGATACCAAAACATATTCTTATCATTTGCATACCAAGAGAGTTTTATTTTATTTTCGAATAGGAAGCAGCTTCCACAATCAGAAATTCATAGCACATGTTCAGTCAAGAACTCAACTAACACAAATTTCCTTAATATTTTACTTCCTTGAACAAAGATCATGACTCCTTTGTAGATTTTCAAACAGTACTGTGACCTCTTTTTAATGTTATTAGTTTCCCTTTCAAATAGCATTTTGAAGTTTGTTAACTTGTGAGTACCAGGGCCATTTGAGTGTCACGAGGCCGTTCCTCTCCTGTGGACCACAAAGTAGCTCTTAGAGAGGGAGCGGTTATGATTTGCCCTCATATCAAAGTGAGCCATGCAATTGATGTGGGAGCACTGAGGTATGGTAGTTGCCTAGCTTTTGGTTGGTGGGCTCGTTCTTATTATTTCTTCCTTCAGTGAGTAACTGATATAGTTTGAATACACGTCCCCATCAAATCTCATGTTAAATTGTAATCTCCAGTGTTGGAGGTGGGGCCTGGTGGGAGGTGTTTGGATCATGGGGGTGAATTCCTCATGAATGGCTTGGGCCATCCCCTTGGTGACAAGCCAGCTCTTGCTCTGAGTTCACATGAGATCTGGTTGTTTAAAAGTGTGTGGCACCTCGCCACCACTCTCTCTAGCTTGCTCCTATTTTCAACATGTGATGTGCCTGCTCCCCCTTCACCTTCCACCATGACTGAACACTCCCTGAGGTTTTACCAGAAGCCAGGCAGATGGCGTTGCCATCCTTCCTGTAAAGCCTGCAGGACTATGAGCCAATTAAACCTCTTTTCTTTATAAATTATCCAGTGTCAGGTATTTCTTTATAGCAATGCAAGAATGAACTAATACAGTGACAAAACTCAAAATTCCAAAATTACAAATTTGCATGCTTCCCTTCTTTCTTCCCAAACATCTTCAAGCCAAAAGATTTTAAGATTGTAAACAGGAACCTGTATCTAACTCCTTATAGGCACATAGGATGATACCCTTGAATAATTTTAAAAAGTACTTCTTAATCCCCCTGTCCATGATTTATTGTTTGAAAATTAAAATTTTACAAATGAAAGCAAAGCTTTGTGGGGCCATTATAGACAATATCAGAGAGCTCAACCATCTGCTCAACTCTGTAAAATTTCAGAAACATTTAGGTGACATGTTGTAGGAATACCCTGCTGGTGGAGTTCATGACAAAGGCTTCCACTGATGCCTCCTACTAAACCAAATTTAGTGTGTTTTATGGCCCAGAAAATGATCCTGGTCAGGGAAACTGGTTGTGTAAATGCCTTAGAAATTAAAGGAACAATTCCCAATACAAATGTTGCTCACAATGCAAATGTGCTCAGTAAAACCCAAGACCAGACCATCTTGGGAAACCTGTAAGATGTGCTTAAATAGTCACTTACTACTAAGCTCACAAGTGTTGGATTAGCAAGTCTGCTTGAAACCAGAGTAACAATTACAAAGGGAACAATTTTGCAAAAATGAAAAGTACTTTGAAATGATCTGGCATTCAAAACATTTTATATTATTGTTGGCCCGGCATGGTGGCTCACGCCTGTAATCCTAGCACTTTGGGAGGCCAAGACAGGCGGACTGCCTGAACTCGGGAGTTTGAGACCAGCCTGGGCAACACAGTGAAACCCCGTCTGTACTAAAATACAAAAATTAGCCGGGCGTGGTGGCATGCGGCTGTAGTCCCAGCTACTCAGAAGGCTGAGGCAGGAGAATTGCTTGAATCCGGGAGGTGGAGGCTGCAGTGAGCCAAGATGGCGCCACTGCACTCCAGCCTGGGCGACAAAGCAAGACTCCGTCTCCAAAAAATATATATATATATATTTTATAGCAAACATTAAATACAACATCTGCCATTTTGTGATCTTGATAGTTTACATATTCATATTCAGATAACCCCAGGCTTGATGCTTCTGTTTAATTCAATATTTGGAAACATATTCATTAATGAGGGAAATAGTAGCAATACAGGACAACACCTACTGAGCACTTACCACACACCTGACACCGCCCTAAATGGTTCCTGTGTGTTACTTTGTTTCCTCTTCAAAACAACCTTTAGAGGTAGGGGCTATTGTTACCCTCATTTTATCTATGTGGAACCTGGGGCCTAGAAAATTTCAGTGAGGTAACCTGCTAAGGGTCACATAATTATTCGAGGCAGAGTTGAGTTCTCAATCGAGCCATTCTGACTCCAGCGTCGGTGGTGTTTACCATATCGCTTCATTCATTAAGTGCCTACCTTAACCTCTGAGCTCACAGTCTAGTGGGGTGGAAACAAACGCTAAACAAATACATAAATACATGTCAGGGGTTTGTAACTGTGATAAAAAAAAAAATAAAATGGTGGGGCCGGGTGCGGTGGCTTATGCCTGTAATCTCAGCACTTTGGGAAGCCGAAGCGAGTAGATTGCCTGAGCTCAGGACTTTGAGACCAGCCTGGGCAACACGGTGAAACCCTGTCTCTACTAAAATACAAAAAATTAGCCGGGCGTGGTGGCAGGCGCCTGTAATCCCAGCTACTCGAGAGGCTGAGGCAGGAGAATCGCTTGAACCCGGGAGGCAGGGGTTGCAGTGAGCCAAGATGGCGCCACTGCACTCCAGCCTGGGCGACACAGCAATACTCCATCTCAAAATAAATAAATAAATAAATAAATAAGTAAATAAATAAAATAAAAGGTAAAGGGATAGAGAGTAAAGGTGTTATTTTATAATGGGTTGTCAGGGAGGTCCTCCCTGATAAGGTGAGATTTGTGCCAAGACTTGAATGAAGGAGCAAACTACATGATATTTGGCAGAAGAGTAAGGACAGAGGCAGGGGGAACTGCAAGCAGAAACACTTGAGCTGCAGGAAGCCAGAGTGACTGGAGCAGTGTGGGCAAGAAGCCAGGGGCAGTGGAGGGGACAGAGAATGAGAAGGACTGGTGGCCAGGTCACCTAGTTATGGCATATTATAACTGGTACATGCACCCTTCACACATGTTTTTAGAACATCATCACTAAGATGAGTAAGTTCAATGTCCATCATTATTCTGATTATTCAATTGATTCAGTTGTGAAGACTCCCTGTCACAGAAAGGGGATTGTAAATGTGAATCTCTTCAGCAGGAACTGGTTCACTTAGTTGGATTTAAGTACTGAGAGTTTGATGTTGAATAAACTTCACTCTGGAAAATTGTTCAGGGGTGACCAAACATCCTAGTTTGCCTGGAACCCTCCTAGTGTTAGCACCTAAAGTCCTATATCCTAGGGAACTCTTCAGTCCGGTACAAATGGGGATGGTTGGTCACTGTCCACGGTTTCTTAAAAGTGTTCCTTAGGAAACGAAGGAGAAAACAGTGGCATGCCATCTGGCTTTCCACATTGAACCGATTCACTTCTTGGTCATAGTTATACCTTTTATTCTGTAGATAAACAATGAAAGTGAAAACAGAGAGACTTGCAAGTGACCTTATAAGTTTAAGAAAAATAACCTCAAGCTTCTTTCTCCATTGTCAAAGCTTCAAAATACCACTGAAAGTGCATATTTATAAACAAGATACTCCCAAAGACAATCTCAGATCATTCTAAAAGGTAAGACATGTTTCTGACCACATTTCCCAACTGCAGCACTTTAAAATAAAAAAGAAAAGGAGGAAAATGAAGGTAACAACTCATGTTTTAACAGGTAACAGAGAAAAATTGTTGAATATCTCAATTAGTGCTACAAAGACATTTGCTTGAATTCAAAACTATTTCTGATGCTTAAAAAAACAAATTATGAGTAGATCCAAGCTTCCATAGCAAACTAGCTAGCATTTATTATAAACCAATACAAAGCAATTGAAATTTCACTATTGTAAAATTAGGCATTATATCTGAATAATCAACTATAACTAGCATTAAACTTTGTTACAAATAATTTTTGACATGAAAATGTGAATGACATGATAGTAAGTAAAAAGTAGGATAACAAATGTATATGCAATACAAATTTGACTATTTTAAAGAACAAGAATAAACCAGCAACAAAAAAACCCCAAAATTATTTTTCTGCTTTTTAAAAATTACACTTTTTAACATATTCCACGATGTGCCCCTATTGTTTTTAAAATTTGGAAGATAAAGTTAAGGCAATTTTTTTCAGAACAATTTTAGTTTTCTGATAGGACTTCCAAAACTGTAAAATTACTGCTAAGGAAATAAGAATGATCAAATTGCAGGTGAAAAATTTACGCTTACCCAAATGATCAAGGCAAATGCTTCAAACATGGAAGTGATGAAACACAGCAGTTTTATTTTGATGCAGAATTGGAATGGAGGAAACAAAATCTCCCTTTAGTCGAGCAAGTCACAAGGAAGAGGGAGAATAAAATGTGGACATTCAAAGTTACTTGATAGTAAGCTTTCAGTCCCTCTTTTGGAGAAGTGGTCACAACAAGGCAAAAGAAGAAAGAACTTTGAAGAGCTAGAGAAACTCAATAGGTTATCCCATGTCTTGGAAAGTGGTGATTTGCTTCAGGAGGGTGGATTTGGGGTTTGTCAGAGGCCTTTGTGATTCAATATTAAATGGCCCCTTTATTTCTTTGAATTGTTATTTGTTCTTTGTAGCCCTCTATATTTACATATTAGGGTAAACAGGGCATGGAGAAATATGTGGTCCTTATTTATAGCATTATACTTTCTTTCTTTTTTCTATTACTTTCCTTGTTCTTTACTGAAATATAATTCCTCATTGAAACACTATAACAAAAAGAATAAAATAATCTCCATTTTAGATTACTTTGTCTTTACAGTTGTATGCTCACTGACTTGTTGGATCCTCTTGATAACTTAGGAATGGCATTGAATTAGTATTATTTGAGCTTCTTAAAGATACATAGGCCGTGTCAGAGTAAACATCTTGCACATCTGAAATGGGATGGAGCAAGACTTATACCTCTCACGAAGGCCCATGGCCCCTAGGATTGTCCTATTTCCTACAGTGTACCACTTTGGAGGTGTGATTCCCAGAGAAAGAAAATACAATTAGAAGTTTCTATTTAAAACAAAACAGAGCAAATACCCACATTTCTTGCCCATACATAGGCAATATTAAGAAATAGATCACCTGTTTCAATGGAGTTAAATAGACATTAGATTGGGAGAACGTGCCTACTTGGTCTATTTTGAGGGATTTACATGTAATTTTGGAGTTGCAATATTATTTTAAAACTTTCAAAGCACAAATCTTTTTCTTGAATAATATTGCATCCTTCTTTTGATTTTCATTTATTCATTAAAAAAATAAATGCTACGGATTAGCCAGATGGCTTTCAAATCAACAGTGAACAGTCTCACGAAACTACTATTTTCCACCTTAGTTTCCCCAAAGGAAATTAAAGCTATAATCTTATAAAATATTCTACATAATTTAAACTCTTGGTTTAATATTGTCATTTTATGCCTTATGCTTACACCTGCATTTTAATAAATGCAACACAGTGTGCATCTCCTGGTGTGTCTCTGGGGATATGCTTTTTATCCTTTTGTTATTTTGCATTGATTTAGAACTACCTTTTCTCTGGGTCATTTGTGGTGTCATAAGTTCTGTCTTTAAGTGATGGCAATAATACAGAGAAAATTTTCTGTTAATGCCGAGCTATTATTTAAAAGAGATAATAATAATTCTTCATGAGAATCTCTACAACACCTTCCTGGGAGGCCAGGAAGAGGCATTTTAGATGATTCCTTTTTAGCAGCTTGGGGACATGAAAAGACTTGTAGTTTGATGCTTTCTTATGTCCGTAGGTGCAGATGAAATGCGATAGTGTAATCAGTAATCCTTGACAGTGATGACAAGGATGTGTGTTCTGCCTGGGATAATTTCCATGAATTCAAGGGCTGTCATTGAGTTTGGCCTGGGCATGACAGCTTCTTCTTGAGGAAGCCATCGTGTACCCTGATATCACCATTTTCTCTTCCAAGAAACAGCTGATATATTGAACAGAGATGACTTGTGGAATATAGTCAAGAAGTAGCTTAAATGTTCTCTCCCTCTATCCTTTTAAATGTAGTTTGTAAGTTTAGCCTTTTCATTTCTTTGTGAAAAGTTAGGCAGATTCCATGATGTTTCTGGTCACTGTTGAGTAATACAGTTTTCTTGTTACTTCAGGTCACAGAAAACTGCCCCAGTTTAGTAATTTAACTGTCAGAAGCATGTGTTTGTAAAAACTTTGATCTTGTGTTAAAGTTGAAGTTTTTTTCCTTTCTGGCAGCTTGAGTCTGCTGTGAGTGGGAAGCCAGAAGTTGAAGTAGGGGTGGAAGAGATTTATTACCTAGTCTAATACTACTTCTACTCCTTCTCCAATTCACCGGCAGAGTTTTCTGGCTCTTCAAGGATTGGTGCCAGGAAGGAAGAAGTAAGAAAGGCAGCAAAGATGTTACTTCACAGCTCCTTGTGAGGTGATCTAGCATTTTGGCAGTTGTTTACAGCTGACAACTTGACAGATGGTCACAGCAGACTCTTTTGTGGGGGCTTTTGTGAATTTTCTGTAGTTCTCTGTAAGATCTCAAGCAGGGGTCAGCTTGCTCTTTGCAGTATGATCAGTAAATGTGTCTTCTCTGAAGCAAATGATCCCCCTTCTCACTTTGTGGCATATCCTATGAATTCTATCCAGTGCCTGATGAATGTGTGATAATCAATTGATGACAGATAAAGAAACACTGCCATAAACTGAGTTGGTTAATCAATATAATGAAAGAGTTTATACTGATAGGATGTATGGGATAGAAGAAAGCACACATCAACACAATGATAAATAATATTGATATTGCAAGTAGACAGGAATAGTAATGATGGAATTGAAGTCATCTGCAAGGGGCAAAGACAAAAAGGAAAATAAGAAAGAAGGGCATATAGATAAAATTGCATTGTCAAGTGAAAAGAGAATATGTTTAGGATTGTCTGACAATCAAAAACTGTTTAAAAGAGGAAGTTATACCAGCATATTGCATTTGTGGTTAGGTAGACAATAATTTCACAACAGCACATGACTCAATAGGCTTGAACAGCACGAAGTGTCTGCCCAAATGCTACTAAGAATTTAGGCAGTCAATAAAACAGGGAAGAAAAAAGTGAATGGACATTTTTCTTTTCAAGAGAAGCTTTATATGCTTCTTTTAAAAGGATGGAAGTATGTTATAAACAGAAATTAAATGGTTGAAATAGGGTTTAATTTAAAGACAGTAAGACCATCAATATGCTCATTAAATACCAGTTGGCTATTAGAAACCTGTTTAATGAGATTTACCAACCACTAAAACCATCATGTCTGTCAGTTCAGCAGCCATTAAATATCAGTAATTTTGTTTGTTATGGAAAATACAGTTAAACTATTCCAAGAGAGTCAGAAAGTTACAAATAACAATGAGTAATATAATATTTGTTGAGTGTTTATAGCAAACTAGCCACTACTCTAACATTTTCCTGAACACAATTTCCTTTAGTACTCACAAGGTCAGTGTCACTGTGTCCTATTCATAGTTAGGGGAACTGAGGCCTGGGCAGTGTAATTAACTTACCTAAGGTCACACAGCCAGGCAGTGGGTTGAAGCTTAAACTCAGGCAGTCTGACTCCAGAACCCACATTCCTAACCAATGAGTTACCCAATGGTACCTGTCATAAAATATATCCAGCAGTCTTAGGGCAAATCTAATAGTAGCAGCCTTACCTGCTAGAGGCTGGTGATCTGATTTTCAGCCCAGACCTCCATGTGGTCTTTGTCACACTGGTGGCAGGAGTCAGATGGTCTCTTGCAGAAAGAACTGTGAGAGAGTCACCTGTCACAGGCCCTTGCTTTCACTTCTGCACAGTTTCAGCCAGATCAAGGACTGGAGACAGGAAAGCAGGGCTCCTGAAGTTTTGACCCTCCTAGCTCTTTCTTTGTCTCGGATTTTTAATTCTTTCATCACCTGCAGTCTCTCAGATCTACTTTCTCTTTGGTCACTACCCAAAGCTCTCTTTCTTACCATCCTGCATCACCTCGTTTTGTATCTTCCATTTTGTTTGTGGCCTGGGGTGCAGGTGGGCAATGGTATAGGGGAGAGCTTGTCTCAAAGATTCACTGATTCCTGAGGGCAGAGTGTGTTTGCAGAAGGCTGAAAATGTGCACGAAGACCCCCTGAATGTTTTGCATCTGTGGTATTGTATTATGGTTAACATTTTGGGGGCAAATTGTGAATGGTGAAAGCTTAAAAAAAACCCAACTAATTATGAAAGGGAATGTTGTGCTTACATAATTATTGCTTGTCAAAACTGCGCTTAATAAATACAGCCCATAGCAGGATTTTATTCTCTGCATTACAGTTAATAATTAATCCTCCAAACTTATTGTCTACTGCTAATAAACACATACCAAGCTTATTACTCTCTCTAAATTCTTGCCCAATATGTCAACTTGTTTCCTTCTTATTTCTTTTCTCTTACCCCTAATTTTTAAAAGTTGAAATCCATATTATTTCATACTGCTCAATAATGCTTCTAAAAACTTTTTTTCCTAGAGTTTTTCTACAAATAGAAGTGTTGAATAATAAAATTATAATCATATCTTTATCTTTCACTTGGCTAGATTTTGGATTATGCCCTTAGGTTAAGAACTGTATCTTTTGCACCTCAATACAGTGCCAATCACATTGCTACACTTTACAACTAAATAACAACCTTAGTACCAACATATATGAGGTCTTATTAACCTTAACTCTGAACTTATACTTTTAAGGAAATAATTATGCATACACACTAGACTATGTGGGAGTCCAAAGTCTGGAAAAAAATATAGCAAGACCTTTATGTAAGATACTCAACCAAACATATTCAGCTAAAATAAAATACCCAATTCTAGAAATAGCATGTAGTGGATGACACCAGTAAGCTAAACCAGATGGCTTGTATGACAATGTCCTGTGTTAGAGATTCTGAAGTCACCCTTTGGGAACCCATTTCATTGCCTAATATTGAAGTTGGAAAGAAACTCTTTGCATCTGATCTTTATTTTCCTTTATGTAACTAAGTCTGTTTCTTCTTGGACTGTCTATCTGGGAGGTAAAAACAGTTGATTCTTAAAAGAACTCCTCCATTGGTCAGAGTACTCTCATTAAGTCAAGTTTATATTTCTTTCTTTAAGCCAAATAAAAACTCTTGTTATTCATAGTTGCTGATGGGGTAGTTTGCCACATGTATGAAGAGGGCCGCACAATGCACTACATGACGTAAGTTTCACACCTGTGATCTGTGGATAAGTGAACAAGTTCCCAATATTTTCTGTCACCTGGAATGTGCTGATTTAATTGATAAGATTTTCTACCCTGGCTTTCAATTTCCCAGTTTTTAGAGATCCACAGCAGATGATATTAAAGAACCGAAACAATGGCGGTGATAGAACTAACATAGATGCTTCAAAGAGGAATAGTTTATTCTTTATGGTGCAGACTGACACATGTTTTTAGTAGATCTAGTTGATTATCAGCCCACAAGCTTTATGTTTGCTTTTGCAGCTGTTCTATCCAATGACGGAGCCACTAGACCCATGTAGCTTTTTAAGTTTAAAATAGCTAAAATAAAATAAAAATAAAATAAAAAATTTGGTTCTTCAGTCATGGTAGCTACATTTGATTACATGAGGGTAATGGCTGACATATTGGACAGTACAGTTATGGCGCATTTCTAACATTTCAGAAAGTTCTGATGGAGGGTGCTCCTAGTATAGAACAACCCTGGTCTTCGGCCTGCATGCTTGTAGTGACACAGAAAAGTAACTTTCAAAGATCTCTACAACCTAAGACCATATCCTTAGGTTGTTGAGTGCATGGTAAAAGAATATTAGAGATGGGGAAATAATTTCTACCCCATAAACACATTCTCAACAGTAGGACAGACTTAACACAAGAGGGACTTAGAGAGCTTCTCTCTGGTCTCAGAAAATAGTCATCTTTTCCCACTTGACTGCTTATCCATATGGTAATTCTCTTCTTAGGAATTAGGAGAGCCATTGAGTTTTTCACTTTGTTTGCTTTATATTTTCAACATCATTTTATAATGAGTACTTTCTCAAATTCTTTTTTATTTTTATTTTTTGTGACAGGGTCTTGCTCTGTTGCCCAGGCTGGAGTGCAGTGATGCGATCTCGGCTCACTGCAGCCTCCACCTGTCAGGTTCAAGCGATTCTCCTGCCTCAGGCTCCCAAGTAGCTGGGATTACAGGCACGTGCCACCATGCCCAGCTGGTTTTTGTATTTTTAGTAGAGATGAAATTTCACCATGTTGGCCAGGCTGGTCTTGAACTCCTGGCCTCAAGTGATCTGCCCACCTCAGCCTCCCAAAGTGCTGAGATTATAGGTGTGAGCCACCATGCCTGGCCTGAAATTCTGTTAGAGAACATTCACAACCTCCATAATAAAGTAGTTTACTGTTATTTACAAGTCAACTGAAACAAGTTTTAATATTCATTTCTGTGATTTAAAACTCTTTCTTCATAACCCTTTAAATGTATGAAAAAGTGGGATTTTGTGGATTCTAAGGTAACATAATATTAGTAGAGAATGATTTTACTGTTTTTACCTTTGGGTTCTTGTATGATATGGTTTGGTTCTGTGTCCCCACCCAAATCTCATCTCGAATTGTAAAACCTGGATGTTGAGGGAGCGACCTGGTGGGAGGTGGTTGGATCATGGCAGCAGTTTCCCCTATACTGTTCTCATGCTAGTCAGGGAGTTCTCATGAGATCTGTTGTTTGATAGATGTCTAGCAGTTTCCCTTGTGTGCTCTCTCTCTCTCTCTCTCTCTCTCTCTCTCTCTCTCTCTCCTGCCACCTTGTGAAGAAGGTTCTTGCTTCCCCTTCACCTTCTGCCATGATTGTAAGTTTCCTGAGGCTTCCCCAGCCATGCAGAACTGTGAGTCAATTAAACCTCTTTTCCTTATAAATTACAGAGTCAAGTAGTATCTTTATGGCAGTGTGAGAGCAGACTAATACACCATATATATGTATTAATCTCAATGCTTTATTGTAAAAGTGAGTGTTAAGATTGTTTATAGGTGCTTTGCTCCTTCCCACATTTGGTGACAAGGCCCCTCACTGGTATCATGGCAGGCTCTGTACTAAGCAAGATATTAAGATGAAAATTTCATATTGATAATTAGAATGAAAAACATAAGCAATTGTTTGCCAAGTGAGTTACATCTGAGATTGCTCTCCTTAAATTTTTTTTAAATTCAATCTTGGTTTCTAATGAACAACCCTATAGAATTAGTAAATTATTTAAATAAGATTTAAGTAGACTTAAATACATTGCTGTTACTTGAAGAAAAAACAGTCTACTCAAGAATAACTTAATTTTTTCAAAGATAATATTTAAGATGGAGGAGTTATAAAGGAACATATATCTTTGATGTGACTTTAATACTCAAGAGTTGGCTGTTTAAAATCAAGATGAAAATACAGCTGTATTAATTTGGCTCCTTAGTAGCCTCCATCACTCTGCTTAGCACTTCCAGAGGTCTGTTTTCTTTCTTGTTTTCTCAGGTTGATGAACCCATTGTGACAAATGTTAGGGGGTTATTTAAATCCTTTAAAATGCTTCTCTGCAAAATGTGGTTCTTCTTCAGATCCTTAGCTACTGGTAAAAGTGTTTACATCTGGCCAAAACGTTGCCTCTGGGAATCCAGAGGGGTGAAAAGATGAAATGGCCAAGGGCAGCATCCTCATGCATTACATTATCACCTGTCACTATGTCTTAACGTTCTCTGTAAGAACAAGATGGCCCTCCCCACTCAGGCCAAGACCTTGAGCACTGGCCAGATGCCAAGCAGCTTGTTTGACCTCATTAAAATTGAGCGATCATGTAAATGTTTGGGTCTGAGGCCAAATCTCTTAGAGCTGTTTAAAATTTCTGAGGATATTATCATAAGACATTTGATTTGTGATCTTTTCTTAGTATTTTCTAGCTGGGCACTCTGAATGGAAATAGGCCAAGAGGGAATTAGATCTGGAAATTACTATTAAAAGCAAAACACGTACTAGAAAAAACACAGCCAATACATGGCTACTTATCTCACTCTTTTTTTCTCTAAAAACAATTCATGTTGTAAAAACTTAGCAAATATAATACTTAAAAATTATAGTTAAATGAAACTTGTGAACTACAAAAATATGGCGTTAGCTGGCCAGACAAGCAAGTGGTGTTTATTTTCAGGGAGTAGGGATTTGGGGTCCTGACAGCATCTATTTGATACTACGCTAACACAGAGTCATGACCTCTGCTTCCATGCCTATTCTGCTGAAGGTCAAAAAAGTGAATTTAGATTATATAGAAAGTGCAGTACAGGAGAACAGTGCAATTTCTCATGGCTTCATCAAGATCACGTGGGATTGGTAACTGCTTAGATTTTCTGAAGGCTGAAGATTTTCTTGAATATAAATCAAACTCCCATCTATGAAGGATAAATTTTTTACTTCCAGTTTAATTATTTACTGCCAAAGGACATGCTTCTGCTATTGCTTTGGTTCCCGTGAACTTCCCTGCACAGTGGTTCCGTCAAGTTGGTGCAAATGCCTCCACTAATTGGTGTCCTGCCCTGTTGTCCTCATGCTGAGTTCAGCATGAAGTCGGTCTCTCTCAAAGAACAGCCTTAGGGTGATGAAAGCTATGCAACACTACACAGCACAGACGTGCCATGCCTGAATGTGTTTGTTCAATCAGCATGGACACTTTTCAAACAAAATAAAACAGGTGACCAAATATGATTGTTATTTTTAACTTTCATAGAAATGATATTTGTGCTTTTGCAGATACCTATTGGCCATCAGTGACTCCAGTACTGTCTCCTAAAACTATCATCAGCCACAGTGGTAGCCAAAACACTGAGAAGGAATCCTCAGTCTTCACTGCCTACTGACTTCTTATGTTTATGGCAAGGTCCTTTTCAGTAATTTCATTTTATATCTGCACCTCTGTCTCCTTGTCTATAATATTATGACTTGGGACTATAAAATGACAAATGTTCTTTCTATATCTAAAAGCATAGGGTTATGTGACATAACTGGGTTACAGGATGGAAGAGAGAACTTAAGAAATAAGTTGAAAATATTGCTACATTGATTAGTGGAGATTTTATTACCATGAATTGACTTTTTTAAGTCATTGTCTTTCATAAAGAATTAAAGTGGGAATAGAAGAATAAGAATAGCAGCTTTCACCTTACCTTAACAAAATCATAACACCTCACATTTACACAATAACTCCTAACCTTTTTCTAAGTATATTACAAATTGTGAAGCACCATTACATACATGATGTGAGTTGAACTTCACAACCACCTGGTCTAGTGGGTGAATAGACCAGCTATTGTCCGGCATCTCAGAAAGGTCAAGTCAGAGAGATCAAGTGGCTAGTGGTAAGCTTGCATGAGTCCATTTCTTTTGTTACTAACACAATGACTGTTCCATGGTATGACCCTACCTTTATGCTTTATTTACTGCTAATAACCCTTCTAATACTTTTTCTGACTTAGAAAAAAATAGAACCTTGCTATATATAAGATGTGCATTTTCTTTTAGCTTCCTGAAACCATGTTTGGTTGGCTTTTCAGTGTATTTGACTTCTAGTTATATTTTAAAAATCAGATTGTAAAGTTGTTGTGGAAGCTATTTTGCTTTTACTTTGTTTTCAAAGATATGTGGAAAATGTTAACTTCTTAGAGATATAAGGGGAAAAATCCTACATGCCTATTATTATATTGGGTGACAATCTTAGAAAAGAATCTATATATGGCTAGTGGGTAGTGGGTATGGACCTTAAATTGTCTGTCAAAACCAACCTACCTTTTTAAATTTGGGGAAACATTGTCCCCTTAAGACATAATTATAGGAAAGAATATTAAGATCAGAATTACAGACTCCAGAGGAATGCATAGACTCTATTTTTTTAAGAAAAATTCATGAAAAACATGGTAATTAAATATTGAACAATCTTGGAAATTTTGCTTGCTGTGTGACTGTTATTTCTAGGAAGCAAAGAGGAAGAGTCAAATGTGAACATTCATGATTCATTCAGAAATCTAGACTCTGAGTTTTAACAATTATTTATACAACTTCTCAGGAAGTTTTTCCTGTAGCTGTGAAAACAAATCACAATTGACACCTCAAAAACACTAGTTCCCAAATTAAAAAATGGCTATTACAGTGCTTTCATGTGAAGGGATGTTTGACTTTCTGACAAACAATCTTTGTGGAGCTAAAAATACTCTAAGCAAGAGACAAGCATTTACGTGAGTTTATTAGAATCAAGCCAAATTATTCCATGTAATTTTGGTTTCTTGAAACTCTGGGGCAGAACTTTTGTTCCTCTAGGTTTAGACTCCTTACAGTAACATGGCCACTGTGTAAATAAATAAACACATTGATAAATAATATTTTCTGTTTTCAACCCCCCTCCACCCAAAAGACGTCTTCTTTAGGGAATCCACACTGGCTATTTTGAATGGCATTAACCCAATGTATTGATTCATTCTCTTGACTGAGTTGCCCTTTTTTAGTTTGGCCAAGTCAACCTTATTTTGAGAGGCAAGGAAAAGACTTTTATTCTTGTTTTGAAAATCTTGCTGATTTGCTGAACAAACCTCCAGCCTGATCTTTTTCTTTTGTAAGTTACATAAGTCATGCTGTGTGAACTAACATCTTGTCACTCATTGTCCTAAAGCAAGAGCCAAACTGGTGAGAAACCACCTACTGCTGAATATCAAGCCAGTGCCAAAAAGGCAACAGCTACATGCTGTTCTGTTGTTCCCTGAGTGATCAAACAATACTGAGAGCAAACAGGAACTTCAGCATCAGGAATCAAAGGACTTCCCTAGCCCTGTAGAGTGGAGAGGAGCAGAGGAGGGATTTTCTTTAGGTGAGGTGACACTATGCAAATAAAGGCACCTGTACTTTGTTTTCTGTTTAGGACCTTTGAGTACCATTAGAGGAGAAAACTTCAGGCTGATGCAATTTTTATTTAATGGATAGAGAAACAACAGAGGACCGCTGTTAGAATGTTTTTGCTTTGTATTTGGTGTTTACTTGTATGTATTTATGTTTAAACTTCTTATTTTTAAACATTTAAACATTTTTTTCTGAAAAGAATTTGAAGTATCTCATGTTTCAGTCTCTTATACACACACAAACATGTGCATACACACATACACATGTTACACATTTTAATTTAAGGCCTTCCATATTATCTTTTATAGATAAAACTGGACAGAATATTTTAGGGTACTAATCTTAACAATGCAGTTAATAAAAAACAATTGTTTTAATGTCCCTTAATCCCTTCAGAAGTTGTTTCTATTGGCCAAAACTTGGCAGAATTGATCTTTTTTTTTTTTTTTTTTTTTTTTTTTTTTTAATTGAGATGGAGTCTCGCTCTGTTGCCCAGGCTGGAGTGCAGTGGCATGGTCTCGGCTCACTGCAACTTCTGCATCCCAGGTTCAAGCAATTCTCTGCCTCAGCCTCCTGAGTAGCTGGGACTACAGGGGCCTGCCACCATGCCTGGTCCATTTTTTGTATTTTTATTAGAGATGGGGTTTCACCATCTTGGCCAGGCTGGTCTTGAACTCCTGACCTCACGTTCTACCCACCTTGGCCTCCCAAAGTGCTGGGATTACAGGCGTGCGCCACCGTGCCCAACCTGATCTTTTTTTTATAAGATAGTTAGCAATTAATAACTTTAAAACTATGTCCACTCACATTTTTAAGAATGATTGTTTGATGATGTAGAAAATAAAATTTCTATAACTGTATACCTCTTCAAAACTTTCACAGTAACACTATGGTTTAGAAGACACTAAAATGAATAGACAGGCAGAAGGGATGGTTTGTTGCTTCCAGTTAGTATTATTCATACTATTTCCATCATTTAGCCATTATTCACCTGCTGACTCTCAGTAACTTGTATATTCCTTACAGAATGAAAGCCTCACCAACATTTGGTCACAGGCCTCAGAGTATTAAAACTCTGATTAGATTTGGTATAAGGAATAGGTTCTTCATATTGCGGTCATAATGTCTAAAATATACAGAATTTCTGGCTTCTTTTCAGTATGTCATAGTTTGGGATGCTATAATAAAGTATTATAGACTAGGCTTTTAAAATAACAGATATTTATTTCTCCCAGTCCAGAAGCTGAAAGTTTGAGATCAGGGTGCCAGCATGGTCAGGTTCTGGTGAGGGCTCTCTTCTGGATTGCAAACTGCTGACTTTTCACTGTATCCTTACATGGTGAAGAGACAGCAAGCTCTTTGGGGACTCTATAGGGACATTAATCACCTTTATGAAGGCTCTAATCTCACAACCTCATGTAATCCTAATTACTTACCAAGAACCCTACCTCCTAATACCATCACATTAGGAGATGAGGTTTCAACATATGAATTTTGAGGAGATACCAGCATTCAGCCCACAACATAATGCTTTATGAGATGACCTCTAACAGCCTCATCGTCAGCTACATCTGTTTATATGTACTTTATTTCAGCCATATCAACTTATTTAAGGCTTCTATCCCATGTCATGCCACACTCTTTCATGTCTGTGCATTTGCGCAATGTTAGGGAATATTTCTTTCTCTAGTCTGGTGTTTCTATGATGAGGGAGGAAGTTCCACTAGAATAACATTCCTGACTTTATTTCCCTTTTCATATCCTCACACTCTTCACTCCAGAGCAGGTAGATTGTGGCTTCTCTAATCGGAGGGTTTGGAAAGAGAAAGTGATCATGAGTATGCCAGCTCCTTCTCTTTCTTTTTATCGGGAGCCGGTCCATTCTCCTTGGCTCCTCATGTTCTCCTGGTCCAGCATTGCCTGCAACTGGCTGTCTGACCAAATCACTATTAGAGTCTGCTTGCCCACAGATGCCACCAGTATCCTCCACCTGAGCCTCCTTTTAAGGTTTCCTTCGTGGCTCCTGTCTTAATCAGTTGGGGGTGTTGTAACAAACCACCATAGACATAGACTGAGTGGACTATAAACAACATAGATTTGTTTCCCACAGTTCTGGAGGCTGGAAGCCCAAGATCAGGGTGCCAGCACAGTCAGGCTTTCATGAGGGCCCTCCTCCAGTTTGCCAATTTCTTTCCGCACCATTACATAGAAGAAAGGGATGAAGAAATTTTCAGGGTCCCTTTTACAAAGACATCCCATTTATGACTCCTCCACTCATGACCTAATCACCTCCCAAAGGCCCCACCTCCTAATACCTCCGAATACCATCCCACTGGGGGTTAAGATTTCAACATGTGAATTTTGAGGGGAAACACTCAGTTTATAACAGTCCCCCTCTACTGTCTTCTTTGGATTATATCTCAATTGATTCTTATTTTGAGAAAAGGGGTGTTATTTTTGGGCTCCCATGAACCTACAACACATGTGTTGTCTTTTCTTGCTGTGTCTTTTCCTTTCTTTTTATCTTTTAAATATTCATCTCAGGCATCATTCCGTCTTGGTTTTCCTCCTTTCTTCTTCTGTGGAATCACATGCATACTTCTCCATAGCTTATTTTCTTGTCTCTCCCCCACTAAACTGCAAGCTTCTTGGGTGCAGAGACTGATTGGTTCATCTTTGTCTTCCCAGTGCCTATCACACACAGAACCTGGCATACGGTAGGTATTGGATAAAGGTATTTGGAATGGAGTAATGAATTATGAGAAGATCTAATAGCTAAGATCAATTTTTAATCCACCAATATTGAATTATAACAGTTAAGTCTTATAGTCACAAACAAAATCCATGAGTGTGTTTTCTTTTTCAGAAACTGTTCATTTTCCATGCTGCTATCTTACACCACTTTATATACATCATAATTATGAAGATACACCCCCAAGGGTTTTGTTCTGAAATTATTCAACCCCCAACTCCAAATGCCCTAGCAGTATGTAAGTATTGGCACCAATGTTTCCTTCCTAATGTTATTATTTTGATTGATATATCCAGTAAATATAGAGATGAGTGTGAATATGTGTATGCACCTTGGGAATGGAAGTTTGTAGTTGGAGCTTAGCAGCAGAACGCTGGGGATGAGGAGCTGAAAATCTGATATATATTTTGTGGCCCTGGCTGCAAATAAATCCTGAGGCCTACACTAATAAAGTGGCTCATTTGAAGTCAGTGATTTTGAGATGAGGGGCACAGTAGCAACCAGTGATTGACTCGGCAGGCAGCAGATCAGGTCTTAAATCAAAGGGCAGCTTTCATCCTTGTTTCCGATGGACACAGGCACCTGCCATTCATCAGCTGCTTTATTCCCACCTTGCACATGATTGACACCTATTTACTGTCCAGTTTAGTATCTTTTCATGTGTGTCAATCCTATCCTCCTAAATGGGTTGTAAGCCCCTCTGGAGCAGTGTGACAACAGGGATACACTTCTTTGCAAATTTGTAAGTCTGTTGCACAGTGCCTTGTATATACTTGATGCTCACAGAAGGTTTTTGTGATTGATTCTTTGTAACACTAACAGCAAACATAACTTTCAACATGTAAAAAATGAAAATAGTTACAAATCTGTGTCTTTAATCTCTTAAAGGTAATGGAAACCTTTAACTGTTTGATCCTCTCATTGTCTCTCCTTTACTTCCCCTTTTATGACAAAACAAAGCAGATTTTTTTCTGCTAATTTACTTAAGTAAAGGGTTATTGTAGCTGAAGATGAAATAGTTGGAATCCTGGAATGTTTTAGTGACTCCCAGGTTCAGATCGGTAAATAATGTGGCATTGCTGAGTTCTGGGAGAAAACAAATGTTTTAGCTTCAAAAACTATCTGTTAAACAGAGACAGGTGTATCATGTTTACAAGGAATGTGACATTATAAACTCAGTCAAAACAGCCCATCCATATGTGCAGTGATCTGTATCCATGATCTCAGAGAACCCTGTCACAGGTTTTATGGGTAATTTTTGTTTGGGAGCATTTAGACACCTTGGCAGCCAACTGGAATGTGGCCAGTATCAGTAACAACACACAGTTGAAGAACCATTATCTAATCAACTCCCATCAAACCAGTCAGTGGTAAAACAGTGCTTCTCTGAAACACTTTTTACAGATAACATTTTGGTTGTTAAATTTATGAAGTGTAAAATTATATAACTTCTTTTTTGAAAAAGTAAAGGCTGTATTTTCATACACACATCCACCCACAAACACAGTTCAGCAGTGGAAGTACTAATAAAGTCATTGACAAAAATAAATTACATAAATTGTATTTAGCAATTTTCAACATTCACTGAGAAAGTCCACGCAGGGGGCATGGCCTTGCCAATTATGAAAAATGTTATCCTGAATAATCAGCAGAGTGTGTTGACAAAAATGTCAGCATGAGCAGAGGCAGTGTACTTCATCTACTGGCCTGTAAGATACACCTTTTTGAACCCAAGGTTTTGCTAATTTAACCTGTTTTCATCTTACAGGCACATTGTATATTCTTACTATAAATTTGGTAAAGGTAGTCCTTGTCTTAAAAGAAACTGTTTCTATTCTACTTCATGGTGTATATCATGGGAAAATGTTACTGCATCAATCACTTTGTTGGGAGATTGGTTGCTGTCTTTCTTCTGTGCTTCAGACATTAGGTGCCTCCCCCCAAAGAATAAAGAAATGCCCACAATTTACTTGAATCCCCTACTAGAAGAGCATTGGGATCACCTAGATTATAGATCTCTGTTTCTACCAGGATAAAATTGAATTTCCTGGGTCCTTTCTGTTCTCAGACTGGATTCAAGGTATGGGGAACCCTAGCCCTCCAGTACACACACACCTGAGCTTGCACAGATGGGCATGTTGGCCATTAGCTGCTCCACTAACCTGCAATTACTTGGGCTACTTTGAATATACACCCAGGAGAAATTACAGAAGTGAAGGTGTGATGGCATATTGGACACTTCTTATTGGAGAGTGCCATTATTTTAGTTTCCAAATGTCAATTTTTGGTTTAATAAATTTCAGAATCAAAAAGATTTTTGAGATACATGATTTTAATTGCTCTTTTAGTCATTCTTCTGAAAGTACTTGCTCAATGGTCACAAGCTGCCACCTAACACACGTCCAAAACCACTTCCTAAACGGGAAGACCCCTTTTCTCACTTTGAAGCAGTTGGCCCTGACTGCTGACCTGTTCTATCTGTCCCATGCCTCCCATGGGCATCTCTGCTTTTTCTCTCTTTCCTTTGCTAGCTTCTTTTTTTTCCTTTATTTCTTTAAATGCAGGAGCTTCCTAAATTGTGTCTTTACTCTTTTCTTTCTTGGTGTTCACTGGTAATCTCATCCTCTCACATGGCTCCAATTATGGTTTGTGTGAAATAGCTCTCAAGTTTATATCCTCCCTCCTGAATTACTGGAGCACACTCCCACGGTGCTTGTGTGTTTTGTATGTATCATACTTCACTCAACATTTTGAAGTTCCTTAAAATTGTCTTCTCACTCTCGTTTCCTCCTTCTTGTTAACTGCAGCATCACTATTATGGTCAGATGGAATCCAAATTTCAAACTTTGTCTTGACTCTCCTTTTGCCTCAAGATCTAAAGATTCATCAGATTATGTCATTTCCTTCTTACTGATGTGTCTTAGATCCTCTTAGATCCCCTCCTTTCTCATTGTCAACCCTCAGTTCATGTTTTTATTGTCTTCTTCTCAGGAAGTTAATACAACGTTTTAACAGGAATCTAAGTCTCTTTTTGGACTTCAATTCATCTCATAAAATACTTTCAGACTTATTTTTGTGAAAATGATTTTTTTCACTATCACTTCACTGTTTTAACAGTCATCTGTTTCACTCACTAAATATTTATTGAGTAGAACTACATATGACTAAGGAATCCCTTTGTTGGATATGTACCTAAAGAAAATGAAATCAATAGCTCATAGAGATATCTGTGCTGCCATGTTTACAGCAGTATTATTCACAATAGCCAAGGTATGGAAACAACCTGTGTCTGTTGCTGAATAATGGATAAAAATTGGATAAAAATGCTGTGATATACACACAGAGAAGAGTATTTTTCAGCCTTAGAAAAGGACATACTGACAACAATGATGAACCTGGAGAACATTATGCTGAGTGAAGTAAGCCAGACACAGAAAGACAAATATAGCATGATCTCACTTATATGTGGAATCTTAAAAAGAAAAAAATCAAATACATAGAAACAGTAGAATAGTGTTTACCAGGAGTAGGGAAGGAAAGAAAATAGGGAGATGTAGTTCAAAGGATAAAAACTTGTTGTTATGTAGGTTGAATAAGTTTAGAGTGCTAATGTGCTGCAGGAGGACTATAGTTAATAATATTGCATTAAAAATTTGTTAATAGAATATATTTTGCATGCTCTTGACACACACACACACACACACACACACAGACATGAATTAACTATGGAAGGTGATGTAAAATTTGCTTACTTGTAATCATTTCACTATGTATATGAAAACATCATGTTATTTACCTGAAATATATACAATAAAAATATGTATTGAGTTTGTACTATGTGCTTGGGACTTGTATAAATTCTGGTGTGCAAATGTCAAACATGATCTTATCTTCAAGGAATTCCTAAACAGGTAACCAATAACTGTAATACACAGTGATTTGTATAATGATAGAAGTATTTTCCTACCTCTAAGTAGCTGCTTAGCATTCCTTTCCTCTTTATACGATACAATTTCTTGCCATTTTAAAGACCTAGATAAAATACTATCTACATTATGGTGTTTTTCCTTGTCTCTCTGATCATATTTCCTTCATTTGAAGTACTATATAATTTATTCTCTGAGTCATTTATTTGGAAATTAATCACCTGCTAGTTTGTCATTTCTTCTGATGTCAATTTTAACTGTAATTTAATGTTTAATATTTTGTCTTGTATTCTCATTTAGGTTGTCCATGTTCCAAGATTAGTGATTAGGTCTTAAGCTTCTTTATAGTCTCCCCTAACATTTATACTACATTGCTATTAGGTATTCAAATGAAAACACGTTTCAGATGATAAGAAATATTAAGTACATTTTACTGGGTAAGTTAATATCTTCTTTTCTACCCTGATTTAACTCCAATACTGACATAAAATGGTTTGAAGTATTTTTATACACAAATTTTTAAACAATCAAGTTTATTTTTAAGTGGGCATTTTCAACCTTCTATCCCATTCAGACTTGTCCTTGCAATTTTTAAGTCCCATCTCTTCTAACAGTTCCCACAAGAATTATTGTTAAAAATGAAATTCAGTGTAGTCTCCTGAGAGATGAAATATGTCCTTCAAAATAATTTCACCACAATACATTTTCTGACTCAGGAGATTTTGATTTTTGTCAACTTGGTCTCAAGGCAAACCTTGAATATTATATAAAGAAATGAAATGCAATGCTAATGGTACAGAGACTGCAAATTCCATTAGATAATATTCTCTATTTATGTGGAATAATGAACTAATTCAAGATTTTAATATACTAAATTATTAAAAATTAAATTACGACAGTGATTGCATCATTTCTGATTGCTGCTATAATAACCACAGACTTAGTGGCTTCAAAGAGCAGAAATTTATGTGTATTTACAGCTTCACAGATCAGAAGTTCAACGTGAGTCTCTCAGAGCTAAAATCAAAGCATCTGAAGGCTACTTTCTTCCTGCAGAACCTAGAGGAGATTTTATTTTCTTGCCTTTTCCAGCTTTTAGAGACCACTGGCATCCCTGGCCCCTTCCTCCAGCTTCAAAACCAGCAACGGTGGGGGCCAAGTGAATCCTCCAGTCCCAGTCCAGTTTTTGGATGACTCAGTCCTGGCTGACATCTAGATTGACGTTGGCATTGTGACTCAGGACTCTGAGTTACAGTGTGGGATACTTTGTTACACAGCAATAGATAACTAATCATCATCTGATCCACCACTAAGTCTGTGGTTATTTGTTATAACAGCAACAGGAAACTGTAATCACTGCAATAACTTAATTTTTTAAATACTTTAGTATATTAAAATCTTGAATTAGTTCATTATTCCACATAAACAGAATATTATCCAAAGGAATTTGCCATCCCTATATCATCATCATTGCATTTTATTTCTTTACATTAACACTCATTGTTTGCCTTGAGACCAAACTGACAAAAATCAAAATCCCCTGAGTTGGAAAATGTATTGTGGTGAAATTATTTTGAAGGACATATTTCATCTCTCAGGAGACTACACTGAATTTCACTTTTGACATGTGTTCTGAGTGTCACTAATTCAATTAGATGCACTTTTAAACAGTAATTCCTTGTTCTAATAACATTAAGGAACACTATATACTCTATGCCTACTCTTGGATAATTAAAATATACATTAGTAGGAAATAAACTTTCACAATATTTAACTCAATGTGAAGTACATTAATTTGACTGTGGGTCACCCCCTGCTACTACCTCCCTTGCCACCTATTTTCAAGTAGAATCTACTAACACCCTTTAGGGTACCTTTTGCAAAATTTTGGCTTACTCTAATTTTCCTATACTTTTTAAAATAAGAAATTGAATGGTAGAGAAGTTGTAGCTTTCTCAAAGTCTTTTGATTTAGGCAGCAAAAATGAGTTTAGAGCATAACAAAACTAGAACTCAGGCCTCCTGGTTCCTGTGTCCTTCACCTCTGCTGATCAAAGTTTGCTTTAGGGGAATACATGAGCAGATGCTTAATAGCATCAAGAAGCAAGGCCTGAGATATCATCTCACGCCAATCAGAATAGCGATTATTAAAAAGCCATGAACAACAAATGCTGGCGAGGTTGTGGAGGAATAGAAACACTTTTACACTGTTGGTGGAATGTAAATTATTTACACTGTTGGTGAAATGTAAATTATTTCAACCATTGTGCAAGACAGTGTGATGATTCCTCAAAGATTTAGAACTGGAGATACCATTTGGCCCAGCAATCCCATTACTGGGTATATACCCAAAGGAATATAAATCATTCTGTTACAAAGATACATGCATGCATATGTTCACTGGAGCAATATTCACAATAGCGATGATATGGAATTAACCCAAATGCCCATCAATGATAGACTGTATAAGGAAAATGTGGCACATATACACCATGGAATACTATGCAGCCATAAAACAAGTTCATGTCCTTTGCAAGGACATGGATGAAGCTGGAAGCCATTATCCTCAGCAAATTAATGCAGGAACAGAAAACCAAAGAGCGCATGTTCTCACTTATAAGTGGGAACAGAACAATGAGAACACATGGACACAGGGAGGGGAACAACACACACTGGGGCCTATTGGGGGAGGATGGGGGTGGGGATAGCATTAGGAAAAAGAGCTAATGCATACTTGGCTTAATACCTAGGTGATGGGTTGATAGGTGCAGCAAACCACCGTGGTACACATTTACTTATGTAATAAACCTGCACATCCTGCACATGTACCCCGGGACTCAAAAAATAAAATAAGAAGCAATGCCTGTTTCCCGTTGACTCACTTCTCCTGCCCTCTCATTATACCAAGACCTCAAACTCAGCCATCAGAGTGTTTGTAATGGAAGCTTCAGTACAAGTAAAAATGTCATTAGGAGGAAAAACACTTTATTCTGTTAACAATTGCTTGCAATTTAGGATGAATTAAGTATTTACGGTTTTGATAGCCGGGTGTGGTGGCCCACGCCTGTAATCCCAGCACTTTAGGAGGCTGAGGTGGGTGGATCATTTGAGGTCAGGAGTTTGAGGCCAGCCTGGCCAATATGGTGAAACCCCGTCTCTACTAAAAATAAATAAATAATTAATTAATTAGCCAGGTGGTAGTGGTGCGTGCCTGTAATCCCAGCTACTCAGGAGGCTGAGGCAGGAGAATTGCTTGAGCCTGGGAGGAGGAGGTTGCGGTGAGCTGAGATCGGGCCACTGTGCTCCAGTCTGGGCAACAGAGTCTCAAAAAAAAGAAAACGAAAAGTTATGGGAAAATATGTAATAACTGAGGATCCTAGGTCACTGAAGAGGAGTATAGTGCTTCCCTGGACTCTGTTTTTTTAGAGGTCCTACTTTTACTTTCTCTGGCCACACCATCCCTGTGGGGTGAGACTTGTGCAGGGGCCAATAGAACTTTTCCACCTAGAGCCCACATTTCCCCTTTAGACCATATTTCAGCTACCAGAGAGCCCAGAGTTGCCCTGCGAAAGGGCCTTGCCCCTGTTCCTCATATGCGGGCAAATATCTTCTCTGGGACCACTTTTCGAAGGCAGACCATGCCACGGCATCCATGCAGTGGACCCAAAGGGTGGCCAAGGGATGATGGCTGTTTTTGTGGGGTGTACACAAATTCCCAGGCCCCTCATAGTATAAGCTGAAGCCGAAGTTCCAAAAAGAAGGTGAATGTCTTGAAAGCGGGGAACTGGTTTTCCTAGAGCCTCAATATTTAGGCACAAAGCACTGAGTCTGCATATTCTGAATTAGAACCCGCCCTGTCAAGTTGTTATGAAACTGTATTTATCAAGGTAAGTGGATACAGCATATTTTATTTAGTAGTTTTTAGCTGGATTTATACCTTTCAACTATTTAGACATGTGGTATGTGGGCTTCCGTTTGTGTACTTGTCCCTGCTGTGCGGTTTTCCCGGTGGGCTGGCAAAGGGTATGTTTTGTGTGTATACGTATGCACACATTTGTTGAAGAGGCACACAGTGATAACAGGAGTGGAGGGGGTGGGGATGTAAGACAAATCAATTTTCCAGCATTGCTCCTGGACCTGTCATTCCTTGTCGTCAAAATAAAATCGATTCTTAGGTACATGAGATAAATTTTAGACATTACATGTGGTAAGTATTTATTAGGTAATTTCTAGAACAATTTAAAAATATTTGCTGCCTCTACATGGTACGTTCATCAGCAGTTAAATTCCTTGATTGAAATTCTCAGTTCAGCTAGATTCCGAGGAACCCAAATGTTGACATATTTCAGTTATTGACAATCTCCTTTGTCCGAATTCTTTTAGCCCAGTGTTCATAAAGGGTGATTACAGTATCAGCAGTACCAGCCACCTGGGAACTTGTTGGAAAACAAAATCTGGAAAGCCAGTCCCCTATCCCTAAGCCTAACCTAAAACCCCTAAGGTGGGCAGATTCAGAAGTCCAATTAAGCAGCTCTCCATGTGATTCTGAAGCTTGGCTGCAGGTAAGAGTTGGGAACCAGCACCTTGGCCTATACTGACTTCTTGATAAAGTTGATTAGAGGCAAATATGGCTGAAAGTTTTCTTTGTTCCTGGCTATATTGGTTCAACAGACCCAAATACACACCATTGGGAAAAACAGCATAATTTTATAATTGAAATACAGAGAGCTTTCACTTTAAGTATTTTTTTTTTTTAGAAGGAATGAATGCACTATTGTATTTTAGATATTGCAGCAATTGCTAGATTTTGTCTGCTTGGCGCTTTTGCTAATGCTTGCTCTCTTTTGGATCTCCTTATTTTTGTATTTACCAGTGGTTTCAAGTTGCGGTTTTGGATATTGTTGTTTTCCAGGTTCAAAACCTGAGACGTGCTTCATTAAGTTTTGAAATGCTATACAACAGAATCAATAAGTTAAGTTGAAACTGAACTTCAGAGTTGGAGAGTAGAAAAAGAAGAATACCACTATTTCTCCACATGTAATTTAACCTCCATAAGGAAAACAAATCTGTTGCTTGTTTTTTTTTTTTTACAGTTTCCTTAAATTCTCTGATCACAGTATTAGTGAGCAAACCCACTCTGATATTCACTGTAATTGAATAATAATAAAAAAAGCAGTGTTTTTATCTAGCAGCATAAAAAGAAGATGCAAAATAAATTGTACTGATTTCTGAACTTCCAGTGAGGGTTAATATTTATTTACTAATTGACATTTAATATAATTTTACTTTGTATTTACTTAGAAATAAAGTGAATTGATGTAAAACAGAGAGGAAAGCAAGAGAGGATTGAATATAGAAGTGCTCCAGGATCAAAGCTGATGTATCATGGGACAACTTTTATAACTTAGTCATTGGTCATCTTTCTGTCTTTATTAATCCACTGTTTCAATATGAACACTGTAGCCAGTGAGACTGCTTCAAATGAATGTGAAATAAAGCTGAACCTCATCTGCTGAAACTTGTGCAGCCTTCTTGTAGGCCTAGTCCTTGCTAACCTGTGAAACCACCTCTATTGTTAGCCATCGTTTTTTGTATGTTTGGTTTTTTTAAAGGACTCACGTATTTGATAGGTAGAATTAGAATATGATTTGCACCTATTGACTTCTTATTTATAATTATTCTTCCTCATTTCTGGGGTCTATGTTTTGTCCCTACAAATTTACATTAAGCTTTTTAAGATCCAGGGTCTTTATTTCATTTGCATTTCTACCAGTACCTAATAGTTTTCTACTCTTAGTGAAAACTAAATAAATTATATGAAAATAATTAACATTGTAGCTCACTTGAGTAAAGTCAAATTGATAGTGCACCAATGTTACAAAGGGATATAGAACATTTATGGTGAAAAGAGAACATCTCACCTAATTCCAAAGCTTTGTCTTTGCACCTTCATTTTTCCTATTTTATATAAAGGGTTTCTATAATATATATTAGAATTCTTATTATTACCATTATTTTTAAGTGACAAATAATTGTATATATTTATGGGGTACAATGTGATTTTTGATATATGTATACAATATGGTTGATTAAATCAAGATAATTAAAATACCCATCATTTCATTCACCCATCGTTTTTATGGGGAGACATTTGAAATTTTTTCTTAGTTATTTTAAAACTCAAACATTTATATTAAAAATACAGGCTGCCTATGTTTCCATTCAGAGGAAGTAAGTAGCAAGTAAATTCTTCTTGCATTTTTTACAGAAAAGAAAGAGAAACATAAAGTTGCAGGATGAGAAAATTCTAAGAAAGAAAATATGATGGTTGAGGGAATATATATATCAAAAATTTTCTTGATTTTATACTTACAAAATAACTTTCAAGTTTCAATTTTTATTTACTTGAAGGTTTTTATGCACATTTGAATATTGATGTGTTTCTTCTCAAAATGAATATTTGAAATTAAAAAATAAGAAAGGTTGATTTCTATATCTTTTGCAATCTGCAGTAATTCAAATGAGTCCATACCTTGATTCTACTCATTTTGAGAAGAGTGAATTTCTCAATATTATATATTATATGCCTGCACTATGGCATTTTATTTTATATTATTAAAATATGCATTTTAGGAAATGACCATTAAAAGAAAAGACAAGTAAATACAGCTTCATTAGATGATATCTTGGGCTTTAGATTTGCAGTTGTTTAAAGCCCATATAAATGAGAATATGATAAAATGGTTAAAACTGAGCAAAATGAATGGACAACATTCTATTCATATAACAACACAATGCACTGAAAAAGGCATGTCTTTCATTTCAGTCCAACTATTTTTCAAGCTTGCCATGAATAGGTATTATTTGTGTACCATGTGCAGAATGTCTTTCTAGGAGCTATTGGTACAAACATGAATTTTAAAAAATTAATTTTCCTTCCCCAAAGTGGCTTATAGTAGAGAGAATTAAAAATATAGAGATAAATAAATATAATGTTATCTATGACCATTTTTCACGAACAGTTTGATACTATAAACAACTAACTGTCACTGGGGTGCACTCAGCAAAATTTTTTAATTTTAATACTTGAATATGAAATCTAATTAATGTGTCACAAACAATGGTAATAGAAACTGGTAAGATGAAAAAGTGTTAGTCACACTTATACTGAGATGCAGGTTTAATGAATCTGCTCTTGCTAGATACAAAATAATTAGCTAACCTACATTGGGAAGGTCAGGTATTTTGTAATGTCTAATAAATATAGAGGATATATCTATAATTATAAAATAATACTGTGATTTTGCACCTACAAGGTTAATTTTGTATTACAAAAGTAAATTGAGACCTGGTATGTCTCAACCTTGTATGATTTAATATGCAATCACTGAATCGTATTTTTAGCTTGGTCTTCAGCTCATCCTCAGGAGATTGTAAAGATGGATGTTGGAGGCATGTTGATGTAATATCTAGACAGGTGAAGGTAGACTCTTGTGTGTAAGGACCATGAATGTGTTATAAAAGCAAAGTGAAGGTACTGCAATTCGTAGATCACAACACCATTTGTGAAACTCCAGACACCCACATTTAATCCTCACCTATCCTTCTGGGGTAAGATTGTAGTGTGCAGTTTTATTGTGTTTTACAGGTGGGATAAATAACTAGCTTCACGTTGTTTTTGGAGTAGGGAATAAAACAGAGCTCTTTTTACTTCTTACCCTGTAATTTAGCTACTGCTTTCCCTTAACGGGTCATTATATTCTCTTTCACAAGTGTCTCAAATTATTTTTTATTTTGAAATCCTGTCTTCTCAATTAGATTTGGGGCTGGGCCGCTTCTTCCATGTCATATAACATTGATCATACAGTAAATGTTTATAGTTCTTGATATATGTTTTTAAAGTTTTTAAAATTTTGTGTTTTATAAGAATTGCTGATACTGAATGGAAAAATTAAACATCACAGGAGTGTTGAATCACAGGTATCCTCTGACTGCTGGCACATTGAGTACTGACTTTGGCTTTGAGGGGCCTGTGCCTTCCTAACACAGTTTTTCACTTGCAACAACAAAGCTGCTGTTTTCTGACTTTTACAAATGAAAAGTGCTGTAGAATAAGCAAAAATGGGTTTTAACTCCTCTGAGAAACTTATTATGTAAATATGCATTATTATGATCATAAATAATAATAATCTATTTTCTGAAGCATAATGCCAGCGCAAAAGTCATTTGGGGAGGCAAACATTTGTTAGTTGTATGGAGGTTTCATCAAATCAAGTCTCCATTCCGTGATAATAGATACTCAAATGGATTTTTCTATTTCATGAATGCACTTCAAAGTTTAGAAGCAAATGCATTGTTAGAAAGATCAGATAATAAAAACAATAATTTTTCAAAAATCTTTATGGCCTGCCAAATTTGTTGCATGAAAAAGGCAGAAAATCACAATCCTTTGGAAAATTGAATTTGATTCTTTTTAATTTATTTGTTCATTCAAGTTACAAGTCCAATCACAGGTTTCTCAGACTTGCTGATCTTGGGCTTTTATTAGACTTAAGATGTTTTAATTTTGAATGTAGTTTTTATAGTTTTTACTTTTAGGGAAAAGAAAGTTGCCTGCCCTTTTTTTTGTAAGAGACTATTATAAAATTCAACTATAAGATTAAAATAGCATCAGTGGTTCTCATAGTTGGGAGATATTTGTGATGCCTTATTCATCTCTGTTAATAAAGAGTTTCTAAGTTATGTTAATGAGCTGCATCTGAAGGAACTAGGGGATTCTTGAAAAGCTGGAACTAAAGGGGGAACACAATGACTATAATATAGTTGGAAATTATAACATGGAAGAGGACATAGTCTTGTTCAGTTTTGAGCCAGAAAGTAGAAATGAAAAATTTAGGTGTAAGTTATGGGAGAGTGCATTTTAATTCAACTTAAGGAAGGGGTTCCTAGTAATGTTCCTAAATACAGAAAGTTTCATACTTCTGTGAGGAATATTATAGAAAGGATTCCTGAATCCTGCTGAGGACTTGAACCCATAGGTCCTATGAATCTCTCAACTCTAACATTTTGGCAGTTCCATTAGAATCTGTCTTTACTGCAAAATCTGAAATACAAAACTCAAGTAGTTCTCAAATAGATGCCCGCCTCCTAATTTTCCAAGTTCATTGATTAAAATACCACTCTTCCTAATTCCAAATATCAAAACGTTCATCTTTTTCATAATTATTTCTCCTAAAATCTCTCATAACTCACCAATCACCTAAGCCTACAGGTTCTTATTTCTCAGTGTCACTCTTAATTATTATGTTATTTGTTCTCATCTGTCCAATCAAGGCCCTCATCAATTTAGACCTGTATTACCACAACTTCTTAACGTGTCTTTCTAATATTTGCATATATAGTCCCTAATCTGTAATTTCCTTTTGTATACTTTTATGTCACTCTCATTAAGAATATAACACTTCGCCCTTTTAATGAGTTCAGATTTTCTCAATCCAGTATTTAAAATCTTTCTTAATGTGGCCCCACCTTATCAATATTTTCTCTTACTGCTTCCAAACATCAGCCAGTTTGTTCTCTTTGACTCCCCATAACCAAACACTCAAGCTATAGGTAAAAGTATAGGTAAAATCTTACACTCTTTTGTGTCCCTCCAAGAATATTTCTTAGACTTAACTTATCCCACAATGACCTTTCTTTTATTTTGAAATTAACTTAAAACCCACCATGTGATTTATGTCAAAAGAATATCCACTTTTAAAAATAGCTGTCCACTAGTTTTGTTTACATGTGTATGTCAAAGTTACAAATATCACTTTCCTATTTTAAAATCCGTGAGTCTGTATTTCATGTTATAATTTTCCATAGAATCTAAAGCAGTATATACCATGAACATATATTAAACACACATCAAATTCCTATCAAATGAGGAAATAAAAAAATTATAAGTAGTATATGTTAAATGGAGAAATGGACCAAAGTGGCTTCCCAGGGAAGGACCTCTAAGATACCTGGGGGTAGATGTGCTTATACTGATTCTCTTAGAGTTGGAAATAGTTGTGAGTGCCAATAGAGTCAGCCCTGATTTAACACATGTCTTTTCTCTTGGTCCATTTTGATGAGCAGTATGCCATGGGCTATTAGCCCCCAAAACATTTTGCGTTAAATAAGATAGCTCACTGCACACAATTCTCATTTTGCAGTTAGAGCTTTAGGCTTTATTACATCTGAAATACCATGGAGCACATAATCTTGACTTTGATTTTTTACAATGTACTCAGGATGAACAGAGATTTTAGTGAATTTGATTCATATCATCAGTTCATTTATTAGAAGATATAATGACAGAACCAAAAACCTGTCACCCAAGGTAGCACTAATGAACTACTTTTGTGAGCTCCCTAAGCAATAAGGGTAATATTTGAATTGAAATGGACACTGGTTCTTTATTTCTAGATGTGCAAAAATTGCACTTGTAGGTGTGAGATTCTGTCCTTGCCTGTGATTGATATGTTTTTTGAAGAAAGAATGCCATTCTGCTGAAATTCCCAGAATTTTTATTTTAGTCTTATCCTCATCTCAATCTTAATTTCCTATACTTATTGGACATTTTAGGTGTTCTCTTTCCTTTAAAGTAATGAGAGAAAGATAAATAACAAATATAAATATGATTTATCTATAGAACTTTTAATTTTTAATGTCTTAGCCTTAAAAGAATCTATCACAGAAATAGTAGTCCCAGGAATGTCTGTCTACACAACATTAAATAATTAGCAGTTCACCAACATAATACCACCACCAACAACATCACAAATCATATAATTGAGAGTCTGCAGTAGAAGCAGACATCAGTAATTATAGCAAAGGTTATTTAATTATAGATGAAATAAGTGCTATGAACAAAATGAGTATATAACGCAGACCTGATCAGTCTGGGAGGGACAGGGGAGTTAGGGGAGGTGCAGGGCTAGGGAAGCTTCTCTGAAGAAGTGACATTCAAAGAGACAGGAAGTGTGAGTAGAAGAAAGGAGTGGGTTAGACGAAGATCGGGGATTGAGTGGGGATGGGGCTTTCAAGCCAAGGAAACAACTTATTTAGTGGCAAGAAGTTACTTAGCTCTTCAGAGTAATGAAGGAGTAATCGTGTGCCTTGAACATAATGCGAAAAGAAAGGAGGATATGTGACGTTGGATGAAAAAGTGAATAGAGGCCATATCACGAAAAGTGTTGTTAGTAAATATGAGGAGTTTGAATTTTATTCTAAGAGAGTGGGAAGCCCTACTCTAATGATATGATCCATTTTAAAGATTACTCTGATTTTTGAAAGGAAAAAGACTGGAAGCAAGAGATCAGCTAGGAAGTTTTAGCAATACTTCCAGAGAGAGAGATGAAGGTACTTGGGTCAGGAGAGAAGGGGATGGATTTGAGATGGATCAGGGAGGTAGAACATGGCGATTGCTGTAAAGTAGAGGATAAGAGAGAAGAGCTGTCCTTCAGGATTTATGGTAGAAACAACTTTGATGAATGGTACTGTCATTTACTGAATGGGAAATGGCAGAAAAGAAACAGGTTTTTGAGTTTACTTTAGGCCAGGTTGGGTCCTGAGTTGCCTGAAGTGGGGCTGGGAGGAATGCAGTTGGATAGTCAATGGATAGCTGAGACAGCAGCACTGAACAGGACACAGAACTTAAGCCACTTTTGTTCCTAATTTTCTCCAACTGAGAGCAGTTTCAACATACCTTTGCACACCAAACCAAACAGACAAAAAATAAAAAGTACCCCCACACAAATTCAGTTTCAGAAATATTGATGAATAATATGCATTTCTTAGCAAGGTTTTGTGAGACAAGAAAGGATGTTCATGGCATAGCAAAGCTTCTCATTTAGTTCCCTTGAAATATTTTAGCTCTTTCCCAAGGGCTCTTTCTCAACAGCAGTTGCTTCATCTCTTACCCTCTTTTTCTACAATCCTTAACTTCACCCTTACCACTGCCTCACCCCCATCTTCCACAATAAATCTTTATTTCTGTAAGTTTAGCTTTCCCTTATTTCCTGTCATCAATAGAGCACCACTCACTATCTCATCAAAACAAAGATCCAGTTCAGAAGCTACCTGCCAAAGAATGGTGAAGGTTGAAAGGAGAGGGAAGACTGTAAAGAGTAAACAAATGCTTTCCTGCAAAATAAACATGTTAATAACATATTCAGGGTAATGTAAGCTATGAGTGGAATCTCAACATTGAAAAATTTACTACAGGAGAGAGATATTAAAGGAGCTATTGTCTAGCAACTTGAAAGGAGGAGGATATCCAAAAAACTAGAGGTTCCCTAAACAAAGAAAAAAGAGGTTTACGAAGAATGTAATGATCAATTTATCAAATCTGTCGAGAGGTAATTTGCATATTTAAAAATACAAATGAGGCTGAGCATGGTGGCTCACGCCTATGATCCCAGCACTTTAGGAGGCTGAGGTGGGTGGATCACCTGAGGTCAGGAGTTCAAGACCAGCCAGGACAACGTGGTACAACCCTATCTCTACTAACAATACAAAAATTAGCCGGGTATGGTGGTGGGTGCCTGTAATCCCACCTACTCAGGAGGCTAAGACAGGAGAATCACTTGGACCCCAGAGGCAGAGGTTGCAGTGAGCTGAGATGGTGCCATTGCACTCCAGCCTGGGTGACAGAGCAACACTCTATCTCAAAACAACAACAACAACAACAACAAAAGCTACAAATGATTACATTTTACTTTTTAATAAATCTGCTATATATACTTTCAGAAAATAGAAAAATTGACAGGCCCGAATTTGTGCCCCAAATTTTGCTATGAATTTCTTTTGTCTAAACATGGCAACATTATTAAATTTTTAAAATTTAATTAAATGTAATTAAATTAAATGTTAATTAAATTTAAAAATGTTTGTGGGTACATAGTAGGTGTGTATATTTATGGGTTGCATGAGTTTTTTGTGTGTACATCATAGGTGTATGTATTTATGGGGTACATGAGCTATTTTGGTACAGTCATACAGTATGTAATGATCACGCTAGGGTAAATGGGATAGCCATCATCCAAGCATTTATCCTTTCTTTGTGTTATAAACAATCCAATTATATCTTTTAGTTATTTTAAAATGTACAATAATATATTGTTGACTAGTCATGCTGTTGTGCTGTCAAACATGAGATCTTATTCATTCTATATAGCTATATTTTTGTACCTATTAACCATCCCTTCTGTCCCCCCACCCAACAGCTCTTCCTAGCCTCTGGTAGTCATCATTCTACTCTCTATCTCCATGAGTTCAAGTGTTTAAATTTTAGCTTCCACAAGTAAGTGGGAACATGCAAAGTTTATCTTCTGGTGTGTGGCTTATTTCACTTAACATAATGTCCTCCAAGTCCATCTATGTTGTTACAAATTACGGTATCTCATTTGTTTTTTATGGCTGACTCCATTGTGTATATATATCACATTTTCTTCATTCATTTATCTGTTGATCCATTCAACTTAAGTTGCTTCCAAATCTTGGCTATTGTGAATGGTGCTGCAGTAAACGTGGGAGTGCAGATATCTCTTCAACATACTGATTTCCTTTCTTTTGGGTATATACCTAAGAGTGGGATTGCTAGATCATATGGTAGTAGTGCCATTTTTAGTTTTTTGAGGACCCTCCAAACTGTTTTTTCCTAGTGGTTGTACTAATTTACATTCCCATCAACAGTGTACAAGGGTTCCTTTTTATTTTTAACATCCTTGTCAGCATTTGTTATTGCCTGTCTTTAGGATAAAAACCATTTTAAATGGGGTGAGATGTTATATTATTGCAGTTTTGATTTCCATTTCTCTGATGATCAGTGATGTTGAGCACCTTTTTATATACCTGCTTGCCATTTGTATGTCTTCTTTTGAGAAATGTCTATTCATATCTTTTGCCTATTTTTAAATCAGATTATTAGATTTTTTCCTATAGAGTTGTTTGAGCTCCTTATATATTCTAGTTATTAATCCCCTGTCAGATGGATAGTTTGCAAATATCTTCTCCCATTCTGTGGGTTGTTTCTTCACTTTGCTGATAGTTTTCTTTGCTATGCTGCAGCTTTTAAACTTGATGTGATTGCATTTGTCCATTTTTGCTTTAGTTGCCTGTGCTTGTAGACTATTACTCAAGAAATCTTTGCCCAGACCAATGTCCTGGAGAGCTTCCCCAAAGTTTTCTTTTGGTACTTTCATAGTTTGAGGCCTTAGATTTAAGTCTTTAATCCATTTTGATTTGATTTTTGTATATGGTGAGAGATAGGGATCTAGTTTCTTTCTTCTGCATATGGATATCTAGTTTTTCCAGCACCATTTATTGAAAAGACTGTCTTTTCCCAATGTATACTCTTGGCAACTTTGTCAAAAGTGAGTTCACTCATTTGTATAGATATTTTTCTGGGTTTCCTGTTCTGTTCCACTGGTCTATGTGTCTGTTTTTTAATACCAGTACCATGCTGTTTTGGTTACTGTAGTTTTGTAGTATAATTTGAAGTCAAGTAATGTGATTCCTCTACTTTTGTTCTTTTTGTTCAAGATAGTGTTGACTATTCTTGGTCTTTTGTGTACTCATGTAAATGTTAAAGTTGTTTTTTCTATTCTTGTGAATAATGCCATTGGTATTTTAATAGAGATTGCATTGAATCTATAGATTGTTTCAGGTAGTGTGGACATTTTAACAATATTGATTCTTCCAATCCATGAACATGAAATAGCTTTCCTTTTTTCGTGTGTCCTCTTCAATTTATTTCATCAGTGTTTTATAATTTTTATTGTAGAGATCTTTCACCTTGGTTGTTAATTTCTAGGTGTTTTATTTTATTTGTAGCTATTGTAAATGGGATTACTTTCTTGATTTCTTTTTCAGGCTGTTTGCTATTGGCATATAGAAATTCTACTAATTTTTGTACACTGATTTTGTATCCTGCAGCTTTACTGAATTTGTTTATCAGTTCTAATAGTTTTTTAGTGAAGTCTTTAGGTTTTTCCAAGCATAAGATCATATTATTTGCCAACAAGGATAATTTGACCTCTTCCATTCTAATTTGGATGCTCTTTATTTCTTTTTTTGTCTGACTGCTCTAGCTGGAATTCCAGTACTATGTTGAATGACACTGGTGAAAGTGGGCATCCTTGTCACGTTCCGGATCTTAGAGGAAAGACTTTAGTTTTTCCTCATTTGGTATGATACTAGCTGTGGGTCTGTCATATATTTCTTTTCTTGTGTTGAGGTATGTTCCTTCTATATCCAGTTTATCCAGGTTTTTTTCCTCATGGAGGAATGTTAACTTTCATCAAAGGCGTTTTCATAATCAGTTAAAATGATCATATGATTTTGTCCTTCATTTTGTTGATATGGTGAATCACATTGATTGATTTGAGTATGTTGAACCATCCTTGCATCCTTGGGATAAATCCCACTTGGTCATGATGAATAATCTTTTTAATCTGTTGTTGAATTCTGTTTGCTAATATTTTTTGTTGAGGATTTTTGCATCAATGTTCATCAGTGACATTGGCCTCTAGTTTCCTTTTTTTGATGTGTCTTTGTCTGGTTTTGGTATCAGGGTAACACTGGCTTCATAGGACGAGGTTGAAGTACATCCTCCTCCTCTATTTTTTGGAGTAGTTTGAATAGGATTGGTATTAATTCTTCTTTAAATGTTTGGTAAAATTCAGCAGTAAAGCCATCTGGTCCTGGGTGTTTCTTTGCCATGAGAATTTTTATTACAACTTTGATCTTGTTACTTGTTTTTGGTCTCTTTAGGTTTTGAATTTCTTTATGGTTCAATCTGGGTAGGCTCTATGTGTCTAGGAATTAATCCATTTTTCTTCTAGATTTTCCAATTTATTGGCATATAATTGCTCAGTGTAGCCTCCAGTGATCCTTTGAATTTCTGTGGTATCAGTTGTAATATCTTCTTTTTCATCTCTGATTTTATTTATTTGGATCTTCTCTCTTTTTTTCTTAGTCTGTCTATAGGTTTGTCAATTTTGTTTATCTTTTCAAAAAATAACTTTTTATTTTGTTGATCTTTTGTATTGTTTTCTTCATTTCAACTCTTTCTGCTCTGATCTTATTTCTTTTCTTCTACTAATTTTGGGTTTGAGTTGCTCTTGCTTTTCTAGTTCTTTAAAATTCATCAAGTAGTTTATTTGAAGTTTTTCTACTTTTTTAAAAGTAGGTGCTTGATATGGTTTGGCTGTGTTCTTACCCAAATCTCATCTTGAATTGTAGCTCCTGTGATTCCCACGTGTTGTGGGAGGGACCCAGTGGGAGATAACTGAATCATGGGTGCAGTTTCACCCATACTGTTCTCACAATAGTGAATAAGTCTTACAAGATCTGATGGTTTCATAAGGCATTTTCCTTTTCACTTGGCTCTCATTCTTTCTTGTCTGCTGCCATATGATATGTACCTTCCACCATGACTGTGAGGCCTCCCCAGCCATGTGAACTGTGAGTCCATTAAACCTCTTTTCCTTTATAAATTACCCACTCTTTGGTGTGTCTTTATCAGCAGCATGAAAATGCACTAATATGGTAAATTGGTATCAGGAGTGGGATGCTGCTGAAAAGATACCCAAAAATGTGGAAGCGACTTTGGAACTGGGTAACAGGCAGAGTTTGGAGCAGTTTGGAGGACTTAGAAGAAGACAGGGAAATGTGGGAAAATCTGGAACTCCCTAGAGATTTGTTGAATAGCTTTGACCAAAATGCTGATAATGATAGGGATAATGAAATCCAGCCTGAGGTTGTCTCAGATGAAGATGAGGTACTTTTTGGGAACTGGAGCAAAGGTGATTCTTATTATATTTTAGCAAAGAGACTGGCAGCATTTTGCCCCTGCCCTAGAGATTTGTGGAACTTTGAACTTGAAAGAGATGATTTAGGGTATCTAGTGGAAGAAATTTTCAAAGCAGCAAAGCATTCAAGAGGTGACTTGGATGCTATTAAAGGCATTCAGTTTTAAAAGGGAAACAGAGCATAAAAGTTCAGAAAATTTGCAGCCTGACATTGCAATAGAAAAGAAAAACCCATTTTCTGAGGACAAATTCAAGCTAGCTGCAGAAATTTGCATAAGTAACGAGAAGCCAAATGTTAATCACCAAGACAATGGAGAAAATGTCTCCAGGACACTTCAGAGACCTTTGCAGCAGCCTCTCTCATCACACAGTGATGAGAGGCCTAGGAGAAAAGAATGGTTTTGTGGGCTGGTCCAAGGGTCCCTCTGCTGTGTGCAGTCTAGGGACTTGGTGCCCTGTGGCCCAGCTGCTCCAGCCATGACTAAAAGGGTCGAAGGTACAGCTTGGGCCACGGCTTCAGAGGGTGCAAGCCACAAGCCTTGGTAGCTTTCATGTGGTGTTGAACCTGTGGGGACACAGGAGTCAAGAATTGAGATTTGGGAACCTCCACCTAGATTTCAGAGGATGTATGAAAACACCTGGTCCAGGCAGAAATTTGCTGCAGGGGTGGGCCCCTCATGGAGCATCTCTACTAGAGCAGTGTGGAAGGGAAATGAGGGGTCAGAGCCCCCCCACAGAGTCCCCACTGGGCACTGCCTAGCAGGGCTGTGAGAAGAGGGCCACTGTACTCCAGACCCTAGGATGGTAGATCCACTGACAGCTTGCTCTGTGCACCTGGAGAAGCTGCAGACACTCAATGCCAGCCCATGAAAGCAGCTGGGAGCCAGGTCATACCCCACAAAGCCACAGGGGTAGATCTGCCTAAGACCATGGGAACCCACCTCTTGCATCACCATGGCCTGGATATGAGACATTCAGTCAAAGGAGGTTATTTTGGAGCTTTAAGATTTGACTGCCCCACTAGATTTCAGACTTGCATGTGGCCTGTGGCCCCTTCGTTTTGCTCAATTTCTCCCATTTGGAAGGGCTGTGTTTATCCAATGCCTGTACCCCCATTTTATCTAGGAAGTAACTAGCTTGCTTTTGATTTTACTGGCTCAGAGGTGGAAGGGACTTGCCTTGTCTTATATGAGACTTTGGACTGTGGACTTTTGAGTTAATGCTGAAATGAGTTTAGCCTTTGGAAGGCTTTTGGGAAGGCATGATTGGTTATGAAATGTGAGGGCATGAGATTTGGGAGGCGCCAGGGATAGGGTGATAGGATTTGGCTGTGTTCCCAGCCAAATCTCATCTTAAATTGTAGCTCCAATGATTCCCATGTGTTGTGGGAGGGACCCAGTGGAAGACAGTTGAATCATGGATGCAGTTTCCCTCATATTGTTCTTGTGGTAGTGAATAAGTCTCATGAAATCTGATGGTTTTATACGTCATTTCCCTTTTCACTTGACTCTCATTCTCTCTCTCCTGCTATCATGTAAAATGTGTCTTCCACCATGATTGTGAGGCCTCCCCAGCCACATGGAACTGATGTGGCTCTTAACCTCTTTTCCTTTATATTATTAAACCTCTTTTCCTTTATAAATTACGCAGTCTCAGTTATGTCTTTATCAGCAGTGTGAAAACAGAGTAATACAGTGCTTACGGGTGTAAACTTCCCTCTGAGTACTGCTTTTGGTGTATCCAATAGATTTTGGTATGTTGTGTTTCCATTATCATTTGTTTCAAAAAATTTTTCAATTTCCTTCTTTTTTCTTCATTGACCCACTGGTCATTAAGGAGCATATTGTTTAATTTCCATGTGTTTGTATAGTTTCCAAAATTCCTCTTGTTATTGATTTCTAGTTTTATTCCACTGTGGTCAGAGAAAATACTTCATATAATTTCTATTTTTTGAAAGTTTCAGGAGTTGTTTTGTGACCTAACATATGGTCTATCCTTGAGAATGATCCACATACTGAGGAGAAGAATGTCTATTCTGTAGCCATTGCATGATATCTGTTAGGCCCATTTGGTCTGTGGTGCAGATTAAGTCTGACGTTTCTTGTTGATTTTTTGTCTGGATGATCTGTCCAAGGCTATAAGTGGAGTGTTGAGGTCTCTAGCTATTATTTTATTGGGGTCTCTCTCTCTTTTTAGCTCTAATAATATTTGCTTTATATATTAGCAAATATATAAAGCAAACTTTATATATATATCTCCAGTGTTGGCTGCATATGTATTTACAAGTGTTATATCCCCTGGCTGAACTGACCCCTTTATCATTATGTAGTGACCCTCTTTATCTCTTTTTACAGTTTTTGTCTTGAAGTCTATTTTGTCTAAGTATAGCTACTCCTGCTCTTATTTGGTTTCCATTTGCATGGACAATTTTTTTTTATCCCTTTATTAGTCTATGTGTGTCTTTATGGAGTGAAGTATTTGTTATAGGTGACTGATACTGGGTGTTTTTTTGTTAATCCATTCAGCCACTCCATATCTTTTGATTGGAGAACTTAGTCCATTTACATTCGATGTTATTATTGATAAGTAAGGACTTACTCCTGCCATTTTGTTATTTATTTTCTGGTTGTTTTGTGGTCTTATCTTTTTTTTTTCCCTTCCTTCTTGTCTTCCTTTTCATGAAGGTAATTTTCACTGGTGACATGTTTTAATTTCTTGCTTCTTAGGTTTTGTGTATCTGTGCATGTTTTCTGATTTAAGGTTACCATGAGGACTGCAGATAATATCTTATACTCCCATTAATTTAAACTGATGGCAATTCAACACTGATTGCACAAACAAACAAACAAGCAAAGAAAACTAATGAAGACTCTACATTTTAACTTCATCCTCCCACTTTTTAATGTTTTGTTGTTTGTATTTATATCTTATTGTACTGTCTACGAATGTCTTGAAAGTTGTAGTAATTTTTTCTGATTGGTTCATCTTTTAGTCTGTCTACTTAAGATATAAGAAATTTATATACCACAATTACAGTACTATAGTATTCTGGGTTTTGTTGTGTACTTACTATACCAGGGAGTTTTGTACCCTCAGATGATGTTTTTATTGCTCATTAACATTGTTTTCTTTCAGATTGAAATATTTCCTTTAGCATTGTTTGTAGGACAGGTCTGGTGTTGATGAAATCTCTCAACTTTTGTTTATCTGGGAAAGCATTTTTCCTTCATGCAACATTATTTTTACTTTTAAATTTTTTTCTCTGCATAGAAGGGGTTGGCCATATGAATAATTTTAGTTCTGCATTTCCTAGTAATTCTGAGATAAAGGGACATAGTTGAACTTTAAATGTTTTAAATTAAAAAGTGGTCCAATAACAAGACTAAATTACTAAATAGAAAGCTATGTTGGTCTTCTGTGAATGGCAAGAGTCCAGGTCTTGGTAGGGAATGTGTGATTCTAAAAAGAGGTAATGATTTTGAGCAGAAAGGCAAAGGAAGTTTGATACAACTCTTTCAAATGATTTCAGGTTCTGGAAAAGGAAAAATGGGCAATTAGTTATGCTTTGTGTTAAAGTTAGTATTCACCATGCTGTTTTGTTTTGCTTTTATAAAGTTTCCTTGAATCACCAACCTGGCTTTCCAAACTTTTTTTTTTTTTAACTTTCTGCCCTCAGTTATCCAAGAGGAAAACATTGATGGATAAAGTATATTCTTTATCTTGGTATCTCTTCAAGAACACAGAAAATTATCTCTTACCTTCCTTATTCCACTTCCAAATCTTATCATTGAAATTTATGGCAGTTGTGAAGAGGAAAAAGGAAAAGCCAAATGGGCCATAATGATGACTTGGGGCAGACTTGGGAATGTGGATGTGCCCCTGGGAGTTTTATCAGGCACCACAATTTTGACTAAGTTGGATCTAGCTCCAATAGAAAACTAGAAACAATAAAATATGACCCCCACATATCTTTAAAGAGATGCAAACAATCTTTGCTCCAAACGGTAATTCAATCTCAGGCAGGTAGCATTTGCTTTGCTACATCTTATGAGCTTGGTAGGGTGATTAGGCATTTTAATTCCTTTTCTGCTGGACGTTTAAATTCATTGCCTGTTCACTAACATTTCCTTTTAGCTTACTGCTGGCCTGCTTGGGGTTCAAGATCAGAATTGTAATTTGAGGATTATGAGAATAAGGCTGATCAATGTTACTTTTCAGATGCTTTTCTGGTTATCTTTCTTGAGCTTTTCTCAGACAGGGCCAAGGAAGGGAGTGAGATATTTTGCTGGTTAGGTGAAACAAAGAAAGGAGGGAAAGTGAGATGAATGGAAGAATACATCTAGATGTAGTCTGTCCCTTTCACTGCTACTGTTTTCCCTTTCAAAGAAAGATTGTGTAAATCAAGCTTCCTTTTGCCAATAAAATTATGATACTTTGCCACATGCTGCGCATCATGCTTTATCATGATAAAGAAACAGGTAGTTTTAAATGAAAGCATTTGATGATTTTTCAGGCCTTTGGCAGTTGATCAGCCCCATTGTGAAAGGACAGTAATATCGCTGCTATGCTGAGGCTGCTTAAAGAATATGAAATGTGGATCATGGCTCTGAGGTAGTTGACTGTAAATCAGATTTGATTTCCCCTCTGAGAGCACAAAATGAACCTTGTCGTTATCAGGAAGAGAAATGAAATCTTAAATATTTCTGGATGTTTTGTCATCTCTGCCTGTTGGCGTGATTTAACATAAAATTTCCCCAAAGTAGGAAGTGCAGGTATTATTTCATTTCATTTCAAAGATAAACTTCAGAGTTTTTCCCTATAAATTACTTGAAAAGCCCCCAATTTGCAATTGTGGAGGTACCTTAAGATCAATTGCATTTTAAAATAAAATAGTATTAGTAAAAAATGTGCTTTGTGTTTTGTCCCCTGCCAATAGCCTGGCAGTCCCTAAACACAGTGATATCCTAGTGTTTATGGGAAAATATCAGAAGGGCCAAGAGAAGTTGCTTATAAATGGTTTGAGTTAACTGTGCTGCCAAAACAGTTTGTTTATTGAACTTTTGACTGCACATTTCTTATATGACCTGTGGTTATCTATTTTCAAGTTTTAAACTCCTGTTTGGTTTTTTACCTTTCCCCCTTATTCTACTTAGTTAATGGTAACAAGACTTTGCAGACAATTGCAAAATTTCTATTACCCCAATATCTAAAATGCAATTTTAAAGAAAAAATACTTTTTTCTTTTTATTATTAGCATATGAATAATGCATGTTCACTGCAGAAAAAAATAAAGATATCAACAACAACAAACATCGCCCATGACCCAGAGAGAACCACTGTTAACATTCTTGTTTATGTTCCTATGAACTTAATGCATGAATATATTTTATTTAACATTGGATCATTCATTCTCAATTATGGGGAATTAGAGAATGAAGCCTTGCAAATTTCTGTGTTTTTTTGGTCTCAGGGTTAAAATCTGAATATTCAAATGAGTTTATTTGCAAGCTCTGTTCAGTATTTTATTGCAGGGGGGAATATCTTTTTTTTTCTTTTTCATTTCCACTAAAGAAAGAATAAGAGATATAAACTGCCAAGTGCAACCTAAGGTATTTGGGTTATGTCTGAGTAAAATTTGCCTGATATTATTATTAGTTACTGGAACAAATATGTTATTGATCTTTAATACTTCAGCACTTACAGCATCAAGCCAGGCAGCAATTATCCTACTTGTTGACTGGCTGACTGACTTGACTAAATGATAAGCAGCAGAGGCTCTTCCTAAATCCCTAATTAGTGTGAGGACAGTTTAAAGCGAACAGACAAAATTCTCAATGAATTACAGCCCACAACAATGTTGTAGATAAAGAATTAAAAAATTATAGATAGCAGAATAGTAAATTCTGAGCAAGGCTAAAATTAATTAATGCTTTATTTCTGCTCCATATTTTTCTATCTTCCATATCCTCTGTTTGGAAAGAAGCAGATGTTGAAATCCTTATAGAAAGTTTGAGTTCAGGCTAACTGAGATATCCCAGAGTGTCACAGGTATTAATATTTTCCCCTCATAATAATGTAGTAAATCAGATTCTATTATTATGTCCACATGACAGATAGAGTAACAGAGTGAGCTTTGTTCATTCAATAGTTAGCATGTACTATGTTTAGGAACTGCACTGCATACTGGGATATGGCAGTGATTTCATGGAGGAAAATCCTAGCCTTCTTGGAGTTTGTATTCTAGTAGGGGAGATAGACAACCAATGGAACGAATAGATATATTGACTGTAAGAATGTAGTGAGTATTATGGTGAAAAATAAAGAGGAAAGGGCTATAGAGAGTGTTCTGATACAAGATTTGACAGGCCTCAAACCTAGGTATTCTGTCTTCAAACCCTGTGCTACTCTGGTGACAGTAAGATACAAAGAACATGAGATTTTCATCTGAAGATACTGCCTGAGATGGATTCATAGGAAAGAATAATTTCTGTGGTTCATGAATTACTCTTAAGATAAGCAATAAATCTGAATAACTGTCCCGGAAAGAAGAAGGGTTGGAGTATCATCACAACTAAGGAAGCCAGAGGAGTTGTTTTCAAATAAATAAAAGCAAGCACTGCTGTTTGGCCCCTGTTGAAAGGCCAGAGTTGGAATCAGTCAGCTTTGGATTCCTGTTTACTTCTAGCATTGTGTCAACAAGCCTGTGGAGTACTCAAAACACCAAAGATCAGCAGATGTTTTTGACATATTTATTTTGTCAAAAAGTCAACATGTATTCTTTTTCATCTTGTGAATGTGTCCTCACCTTCTGCACTCTGCCCTAGTTTTTCCTCATAACAACCCTTCCTCAAATCCTCCCTTCTAATTTAGCCAAGCTTGGAAGAAATTTTCTTCTGGAGAATGTGTCTTAGGTAGAGTACACTAAACACTGAATGGATCACAATAAAACTGCTAATTCTTTGTCTATGTGAGTTACTGCAATTTTCAGAGAAAAAGCATTTTTATTGGGGTGAAGAAGGAATGTTACTAGAATACAGAACCAGAAGATGATCTTGTCTGAAGTAGTTTGTCTCTAAGTGTTTCAGTCAGTGTTCAGCCCAAGAAGCAGAACTAGTAGAATGAATACATAGACAGATAGATGGATGATAGATAGGTAGTAGATAGCTAGAAAGCTAGATGAGGTGGAGGAAAAGGGAGGGAGAAAGAGAGATTTATTACAAGGAATAGGCTTACTGGACTGTGGGAGCTGGTTAAGTGAGTCTGAAATCCACTGGGCAGGCAATAAGGAAAGGAAGCTCGTGGGTAAGCTCCAACATATGGGCATGAGTGGGAGCTACTCTCCATAGGCAGAATTTCTTCTCTCTCAGTGCAACATCAGCCTTGCTTTTAAGTTTTTCTAGCTCATTCAGTCATGACCATTTAGATTACCTGGATAATCTACCATACTCAAAGTCAACTGGTTAGGAGTTATTGATTGAATAACTGGACAGTGTAGCCTAGATAAGTTGACACATCAAAAACAAAACAAAAACAGTTAAGTCACCTTGTAAATCTGATTTTTGAGAATCTTAATTGGGATATGTATTGCAAAGCCCTGAAATAAGTAACTTTCCCTTTAAGGCTTCTAACTTAAAAAAAAAATTTTTTTTGTTTCAATGTGAAAAGTATGCTTTTGTCTTTTCAGCTGTCAATACTTGTCAAGACCATAAGAAATGTATTTTTAAATGTGATGATTAATGAGTCAGTGCAGTGTTTCTGCTATGTCTTTCAAATTCATTTCATATTAAAAATAAAGCAAGATGAAACAGATTATCTGTTAGTCAAATGCAGAGTTTTTGCCCACTGAAGAACAAACTACATTCCTTCCCTCTTTTTTGCAAGCAAATTCCAATTTGTTTATTTTTGGTGGCAGGGGTTAGATATTGTATCCAGCCCCAGTGGACATGATCAGTCAAAACCAGTCATGGAGATCTTTTTGCTAGTAACTGGGCCAGGAATGGTCATGTGACCCAGTTTTGGCCAAGGGAACGTAAATGGAGATCTAATGGAAGCTTTTCAGGATTTAGCATCCTTATAAGAGAGAGGCACAAAAGAAGGAAGCTCTTTTGCTCCTGCCCTCTTCCTGCTTGGGAAGACTTTGGAATGATATTGTAATGCTTGAAGTTCTGGAGACAACACGTGATCATAAAAGGATACATTATTGGCACTTTGTGGATAGCAGAGCAAAAAGAAAGAGGCATGTTCTGATGATACCGTGGAGCTACTGAACTAACCTGCATATTCCACCATCAGACTTTACAAGTATGGACCACATTGTAGTGCCAGAAAATAAGGAAATGCTCAAAAAACCCTGCAACTGTAGAGGTATGTCAAAGAGACACAGAAGCCAACTGAAAAAGCTGTCAATAGCTAAAACTAAAAAAAAAAAATTGGAGCAATAAAACAAATGAGGCAATATTGGGTTATAATCCTAAATATTCATAAATATCCATGAGCCCATACTGATCTAAATGACTAAATAAATAAACAAATGGGGGAAGACAAACAAATTTCTTCTGCAGAAGAATTTCAAAGAGTTTATGTAGCTGCTCCAGCCCCAAGGGAGCGGAGGATAACTCCTACTTCTTAAGTATGGACGGTGCACAAGTAGCCTCTCTCCAAAGAGTAGAGTATGGAAAGAGGTTGAAGAGAGTAACTTCTCAGTGGAAAAGCCCAATGTATTAGTTTTCTTTTGGTGCTGTAACAAGTGATCACAAAGTTAGTGATGTAAAACAATAAAACTTTATTACCTTACAGTTTTGGGGTTAGAAGTCTAACACTGGACTAACATCAAGGTCTTAGCAGGGATGTGGACAGGGCTGCATTCTTTTTGGGGGGCTTCAGGAAAGAATCAGTTTCCTTGCCTTCTCCAGCTTCTAGAGGCTGCCCACATTCCTTGGCTCATGGTCCCCTTTCTTTATCTTTAAAGCCATAAAACAACAGGTCCAGTTCTTCTCACATCACATCACTTGGACCTACTTCCTTCATCTGCTTTCTTCTTTTCCTCTGACTCTCTCTTCTTCCTTTTGATTGCATTGGGCCTACCCAGGTAATTTGGGATAACCTTCCTATCAGAAGGTCCATTGATTGCCATGCTTAAGTCCATTAGTAATCTTAATTTCCTTTTGTCATGTAACCTGACATATTCACAGATTCCAGGGATTAGGGCATAGAGACATTTGCCGGGGGCGGGGGCTAGTATTCTGTCTACTACCTCTGGCTAATGTTGCCTTAGCCAGGTGGTCAGGGCTCACAGCAACAGTGGTAAGTCATGCTGATAAATCATGTACACTTGTTTGGTGATGAGAGTGTTACATTACCTCTGTGATGCTCCCCCCTCCAACCCAACCATACCCAAGTCTAATCATGAGAAAAATATTAATACCAGGCACATCCCCATTGAGAGACATTCAATAAAATACTTGAACAATACTACTCCAAACTATCAAGGGTCATTATGGTAGGAATGTGAATAGCCCCTAGGTGCTGGAAAAGACAAGGAAATAGACTCTTCCCTAGAGCCTCCAGAAAGGATAAAGCCTTCCTGACACATTGATTTCAGCCCAGTTAGACCTATATTAGGCTTATAGCCTACAGATCTGGGAGATAATAAATTTGGATTATTTTAAGCCACTAAGTTTGTGGTAATATTTTACTACAGCAAAAGAAAAGTAATACTGTCATCAAAAACAAGAAAAGTCTGAGAAACTGTCACAGCCAAGAGAAGTCTAAGAAGACTTGACAACTAAATGAAATGTGGTATCTTGGATGGCATCCAGGAAAAGAAAAAAGAACATTAAGTAAAAATTAAGGAAATCCATACAAATTATGGATACTAATTAATAATAATGTATAAATATTAATTAATTAATTGTGCCAAAGGTGCAGTGTTAATAATAGGGAAAGCTGTGCATGAGGTACATGGGAGCTTTCTGTACTATCTTTGCAATTTTTCTGTAAATCTAAAACTATTCTATAATGAAACATTTAACAAAGAATAAAAAGTAAATGTCTTAGTATATAAGCCACTATTAAAATGGTATTCTGATGTTGTAGGTAAAACTATCCAAATGCCAAATGGATGATCCAGGTAATACTTTATTAAGTATCTACCATGTGCAGGGGAACCGTAGCGTATATAAAAATGTGTCTTTCAGGGACCCCCCTTCTCAAGGAACCCAAGTTCTAGTTGGGATGATAACACATTTGTGAGTTGCTGTAATAGTGAGAAAACGCATAAAAGCCGTGAGGCTAAAGTTCAAAGGACATTTGGAATAGAAAAATGAACTTCCACCTGGGGACTTTGTTAAGGAAGTAGCATTTGTATTCTGCCTTGAGGTACAACCAGAGCTTGTACACGCATACTTGAAGACGAAGTAGAAGACTGACAAGTCAAAAGTTTAGAACAAAGGCCTAGGAAAAGAGGATGTTAGCAGAAGTATGTTGAATTTAAGTGTCTTGAACACCTGAATTATATCTGCCTTGTTCATCATTATATCCTCTTTGCTTCCAACAGAACATGCAGCAATTGCTCCACAAATAAATATCTGTTGATTAATGGAAGGAAAAATAGATGGAAAATAAGTTGTGAAGATCTCCAATGCTAAGTTAATGAGTTTAGCCACTTAAAGTTTTTAAGCAAAACAACATGATTTGAGCTTTTCTGTGGAAAGATTAATCTGGCAAAAAAAGCAGTTCAGATGGAAAGGGAGATGAAGGAAAATATTAAACTTGTACAAGTGAGAAATTATAATTATAGTAATCTTATTTGTTTGCTAAAATAATCACTAGGCTCTTTTTATTAAAAATTTGATTTTTGTTTATATCAAATTAAGACCTTATAAAAAATCAGTGATTTATAATGAAAAATACCAGTCTCCTGTTCAAGCAGAACAACCCCAGTATCTCCGTAACAAAGATAGCACCTTTCAACTCTTTTAACCATTTATTCTAACATTTACCTTCTTATTTTTAAGTTTCAAACATATATGACTAGTTCTTGATTTTGAAATGTTATGTACTAGTTTTTGACTCTCTACTCTGAAAAATGAGCATTTCACTTTCTCACACTAACTCAATCCCTTATACTCACTCCCATAATTCCTTTTCCCCATTTGACTAGAATAGATATAGTGATCATTTTTGCTACTCAATATTTGATGTTTACAAATTTATTATAGATAATGGCTAGACCAATGTCTAAGCCGTATGATTTACTATGATTATCACAATTTCTTTCTTATATAACTTTTCGTTTTTGTTGAAGGTAATAATTGCTTTGTTTTTTGTTTACTTAGTTTCTATAGCTCTTTCAATGTGGTTAAGCACACTGTGAAGTCTAAGGCACCAATCTGGAGCAAATATTTTCTGAGATTGTTCTTAGGATAATATATTACTATAAGATGTATTATCTTTGAAATTCTAACTGCCTTTTAAAGAAATGGACACTCCTGTTTCTTTGATTTCACGTTTTCCTCTTTACTCTTTGGTTTTCTTGAAGTGTGTTCTCCAAGGAACTTACTCTGATATTTGGAAGGTAATAGTCTTAAAAGATTGTATGTCTATATACTATTTTTCAAATTAATATATGAGATGGATATAGAAGACTAGTTCGAAATTAGTTTTTCCTGAGAATTTTGAAGACTTGCCAGTTATCTTCTAGTGCCTAGTGGTATGCCTTTTTGATTTCTGATTTTTTTCCATGCAGCATGTTTGTTACCCTTGGGAGTTTTTGAGGTTTAAAAACAATCCATGATGTTCTGAAACTTTACTAATGTATGCCTTGGTGCAGGTACTTGATATGGTTTGGGTCTGTGTCTCCACCACATCCCATGTTCAATTGCAGTCCCCAGTGTTGGAGGTGAGGCCTGTTGGGAGGCAATTTTATCATGGGGGTGCATTCTTCTTGAATGGTTTAACACCATCCCTTTGGTGCTGTTCTCGTGGTAGTAAGTTATTGTGAGATCTGGTTGTTTAAGAGTGTGTAGCTTCTCCCCTGCCCTCTTTTGCTCTTGTCTCAGCCATATAAGACGTGCCTGCTTCTGCTTCACCTTTGGCCATGGTTGTAAGTTTCCTGAGACCTCCCCAAGAAGCAGATCCGGCAATGCTTCCTGTACCCCCTGCAGAACCATGAGCCAATTAAACCTCTTTTCTTTATAAGTTACCCAGTCTCAGCAGTTTCTGTATAGAAGTATGAGAACAGACTAATATGGTACTTCTTCCTTATTTTCCATGTAGTTACCTTTTTGTTCTGTTTTTCTGACAGTTGTTTCCTCCAGGTTTAATTTCCAGTACTTCAAATGAATACAAGTATTATATACTCTTAATCCTCTTATGTTATTTATTTTCTGAAGATTTTTAAAAATAAAATTTCTGTTCTCATTTCACGGATGTAATTGTTCCTTTCTGAGAATATTAATTACAGCTTTGGGGAAATTTTTTACTCAGAGTTCTTCATCTCATTTATTTTATTTAGTCTTTCATGTTCTCAAAGGTCTAATGATCCTTGACTTCTATTCAGTGTGACTTAAGGTTGATTCATTCTGATTTATGCTTGGCTGAGACATCTCTATAGGGCGAATAAACAGCATTCCCAGTGTTTTGCACAGGAACCCTCAAATGTCAACGGTATATGTCTTTTATTTTAGGCCAACTCAGGGAAAATTCCTCTAATCTGCAATGTTCTGCCCAGAGAGCATAAATCCAGCTGCTCTTTTCTATGAACCAAATATGAACCAGAGATTATGATGTCTCAGATTCAATTCCACCAAGAATAAGCCTCACCCCCTGTTGGGATGGTGAACAGTAGAGGAGAAATCTTGGACTAGAAATTGCTCATTGCATAGTTCCATAATCTCTTATCTGAAACTCTTTGAGCCAGACATGTTTGAAGATTCAGATTTTTTTAGATTTTAGAAAGTAATATGGTGCATAATTGATATAAAGTTGGTCTTTGAACAATACATGAGTTAGGGGTGCTGAAACGTAAGCACTAGAAAATCCACCACATAACTCTGACTCCCCCAAAACCCTGTTGTTGACCAGAAGCCTTACTGATAACATAGTCAATTAATGCATATTTTGCATTTTATTATAGTATTCTTATAAGAAAGTAAGCTACAGAAGAGAAAATGTTAAGAAAATCATAAGGAAGAGAAAATATATTTATAGTACTTTACTGGATTTGTCGAGACTATAAGTTTACATTGCCTGTTTAGAAGATTAATCATCTGTCTGAAATGGGGTGGCGGGGATGACAACTGAAGGTGCAAACCTCAATCCATGGTACATATCAAGCAATTCAACTTTTTCTTGTAATGTCATGCCTATCTGCTTCTTGGGAGCACCTCCAGCATCACTAGAGGCACTTTGAATGGGTCTCATGGTGTAATTCAAGGTTTATGGTATTGCACTAAACACAATAAGAAATACTCAAGAACCACGAGAGATTACCTTTTACTGTGATAAGCAATTTACTGGAGAGATGAGATGAACTGCTCGTGCAGAGATGATTAGCATCACATGGCATTTTAAGCAGATACTTGCAACACTTGAGCTCACTGCAATAGCAACAGGAGGTGACTATGAAATTATTACAGCAGTACAGCATTACTACAGTTAATTTTATTCAGTTATGTTTTAATACTGCAACTTTATGTTTGTTTACATTTCACCTGACTGCAAATGGAACCCTGTACAGTCTGTAAGCATGTGTGCAAGTTTTGATAAATTTTAACTCTGTATAATAGATTTGTGTATACTTTATGGTAGTAAATCACAAAATAGACTCATATCTACATATGTTTTATGCATTCATGAGATATATAACATTTTATTAATTTTTTATATTCTAGGTTATGGAGGTTCATCTGTGAGTATTTTCAGATTGTCACATCTACAATCACATCTCAGTTAATTAAGAGGAGCGAGTTGCAGGGAAAAGGTAAAGGACAATGATTTCTTTCTTTTTTTTATTATACTTTAAGTTCTAGGGTACATGTGCACAATGTGCAGGTTTGTTACATATGTATACATGTGCCATGTTGGTGTGCTGCACCCATTAACTCATCATTTACATTAGTTATATCTCCTAATGCTATCCCTCTCCCATCCCCCCACCCCACAACAGGCCCCAGTGTGTGATGTTCCCCACCCTGTGTCCAAGTGTTCTCATTGTTCAGTTCCCACCTATGAGTGAGAACATGTGGTGTTTGGTTTTCTGTCCTTGGGACAGTTTGCTCAGAATGATGGTTTCCAGCTTCATCCATGTCCCTACAAAGACATGAACTCATCCTTTTCTTATTGCTGCATAGTATTCCATGGTGTATATGTGCCACATTTTCTTAATCCAGTCTATCATTGATGGACATTTGAATTGGTTCCAAGTCTTTGCTATTGTGAATAGTGCCACAATAAACATACATGTGCAAGTGTCTTTGTAGCAGCATGATTTATAATCCTTTGGGTATATACCCAGTAATGGGATGGCTGGGTCAAATGGTATTTCTAGTTCTAGATCCCTGAGGAATCGCCACACTGAGTTCCACAATGGTTGAACTAGTTTACAGTCCCACCAACAGTGTAAAAGTGTTCCTATTTCTCCACATCCTCTCAGCACCTGTTGTTTCCTGACTTTTTAATGACTGCCATTCTAACTGGTGTGAGATGGTATCTCATTGTGGTTTTGATTTGCATTTATCTGATGGCCAGTGATGATGAGCGTGTTTTCATGTGTCTTTTGGCTGCATAAATGTCTTCTTTTGAGAAGCGTCTGTTCATATCCATCACCCACTTTTTGATGGGGTTGTTTGATTTTTTCTTGTAAATTTGTTTAAGTTTTTTGTAGATTGTGGATATTAGCCCTTTGTCAGATGGGTAGATTGCAAAACTTTTCTCCCATTCTGTAGGTTGCCTATTCACTCTGATGGTGGTTTCTTCTGCTGTGCAGAAGCTCTTTAGTTTAAGTAGATACCATTTGTCAATTTTGGCTTTTGTTGCCATTGCTTTTGGTGTTTTAGACATGAAGTCCTTGCCCATGCCTATGTCCTGAATGGTATTTGCCTAGGTTTTCTTCTAGGGTTTTTATGGTTTTACATCTAACATTTAAATCTTTAATCCATCTTGAATTAATTTTTGTATAAGGTGTAAGGAAGGGATCCAGTTTCAGCTTTCTATATATGGCTAGCCAGTTTTCCCAGCGCCATTTATTAAATAGGGAATCCTTTCCCCATTGCTTGTTTTTCTCAGGTTTGTCAAAGATCAGATGGTTGTAGATGTGTGGTATCATTTCTGAGGCCTCTGTTCTGTTCCATTGGTCTATATCTCTGTTTTGGTACCAGTACCATGCTGTTTTGGTTACTGTAGCCTTGTAGTATAGTTTGAAGTCAGGTAGCATGATGCCTCCAGCTTTGTTCTTTTGGCGTAGGATTGGCTTGGCAATGTGGACTCTTTTTGGTTCCATATGAACTTTAAAGTAGTTTTTTCCAATTCTGTGAAGAAAGTCATTGGTAACTTGATGGGGATGGCACTGAATCTATAAATTATCTTGGACAGTATGGCCACTTTCACGATATTGATTCTTCCTATCCATAAGCATGGAATGTTCTTCCATTTGTTTGTGTCTTCTTTTATTTCATTGAGCAGTGGTTTGTAGCTCTCCTTGAAGAGGTCCTTCACATCCCTTGTAAGTTGGATTCCTAGGTATTTTTTTTCTCTTTGAAGCAATTGTGAATGGGAGTTCGCTCATGATTTGGCTCTCTGTTTGTCTGTTATTGGTGTATAAGAATGCTTGTGATTTTTGTACATTGACTTTGTATCCTGAGACTTTGCTGAAGTTGCTTATCAGCTTAAGGAGATTTTGGGCTGAGATGATGGGGTTTTCTAAATATACAATCATGTCATCTGCAAACAGGGACAATTTGACATCCTCTTTTCCTAATTGAATACCCTTTATTTCTTTCTCCTGCCTGATTGCCTTGACCAGAACTTCTAACACTATGTTGAATAGGAGTGGTGAGAGAAAGCATCCTTGTCTTGTGCCAGTTTTCAAAGGGAATGCTTCCAGTTTTTGCCCATTCAGTATGATATTGGCTGTGGGTTTGTCATAAATAGCTCTTATTATTTTGAGATACGTCCCATCAACACTTAGTTTACTGAGAGTTTTTAGCATGAAGGGGTGTTGAATTTTGTCAAAGACTTTTCTGCATCTATTGAAATAATCCTATGGTTTTTGTCTTTGGTTCTGTTTATATGATGGACTATGTTTATTGATTTGTGTATGTTGAACCAGCCTTGCATCCCAGGGATGAAGTCAACTTGATTGTGGTGGATAAGCTTTTTGAGGTACTGCTGGATTCGGTTTGCCAGTATTTTATTGAGGATTTTTGCATTGATGTTCATCAGGGATATTAGTCTAAAATTCTCTTTTTTTGTTGTGTCTCTGCCAGGCTTTAGTATGAGGATGATGCTGGCCTCATAAAATGATTTAGGGCAGATTCCCCCTTTTTCTGTTGGTCGGAATAATTTCAGAAGGAATGTTACCAGCTTCTCTTTGTACCACTGGTAGAATTCATCTGTGAATCCGTCTGTCCTTAGACTTTTTTTGGTTAGTAGGCTATTAATTATTGCCTCAATTTCAGAGCCTGTTATTAGTCTATTCAGGCATTCAACTTCTTCCTGGTTTACTCTTGGGAGGGTGTATGTGTCCAGGAATTTATCCATTTTTCTAGATTTTCTAGTTTATTTGCGTAGAGGTGTTTATAGTATTCTCTGATGGTAGTTTCTGGTGGATCGGTGGTGATATCCCCTTTACCATTTTTTATTGCGTCTATTTGATTCTTCTCTTTTCTTCTTTATTAGTCTTGCTAGTGGTCTATCAATTTTGTTGATATTTTCAAAAACTAGCTCCTGGATTCATTGGTTTTTTTGAAGGGTTTTTTGTGTCTCTATCTCCTTCAGTTCTGCTTTGATCTTAGTTATTTCTTGCCTTCTGCTAGCTTTCAAATATGTTTGCTCTTTCTTCTCTAGTTCTTTTAATTGTGATGTTAGGGTGTCAATTTTAGATCTTTCCTGCTTTCTTTTGTGGGCATTTTTTTGCTATGAATTTCCCTCTACACACTGCTATAAATATGTCCCAGAAATTCTGGTATGTTGTGTCTTTGTTCTCACTGGTTTCAAAGAACATCTTTATTTCTGCCTTCATTTCTTTATGTACCCAGTAGTCATTCAGGAGCAGGTTGTTCAGTTTCCATGTAGTTGAGCAGTTTTGAGTGAGTTTCTTAATCCTGAGTTCTAGTTTGATTGCACTGTGGTCTGAGAGACAGTTTGTTATAATTTCTATTCTTTCACATTTGCTGAGGAGTGCTTTACTTCCAACTATGTGGTCAATTTTGGAATAAGTGTAATGTGATGCTGAGAAGAATGTACATTCTGTTGACTTGGGGTGGAGAGTTCTGAAGATGTCTATTAGGTCTGCTTGGATCAGAGCTGAGTTTAATTCCTGGTGATTCTTGTTAACTTTCTGTCTCATTGATCCGTCTAATGTTAACAGTAGGGTGTTAAAGTCTCCCATTATTATTGTATGGGAGTCTAAGTCTCTTTGTAGGCCTCTAAGGACTTGCTTCATGAATCCGGGTGCTCCTGTATTGGGTGCATATATATTTAGGATAGTTAGCTCTTCTTGTTGAATTGATCCCTTTACCATTATGTAATGGCCTTCTTTGTCTCTTTTGATCTTTGTTGGTTTAAACTCTGTTTTTTCAGAGACTAGGATTGCAACCTCTGCCTTTTTTTGTTTTCCATTTGCTTGGTAGATCTTCCTCCATTCCTTTATTTTGAGCCTGTGTGTGTCTCTGCATGTGAGATGGGTCTCCTGAATACAGCACACTGATGGGTCTTGACTCTTTATCCAGTTTGCCAGTCTGTGTCTTTTAATTGGAGCATTTAGTCCATTTACATTTAAGGTTAATATTTTTATGTATGAATTTGATCCTGTCATTATGATATTAGCTGGTTATTTTGCTCATTAGTTGATGCAGTTTCTTCCTAGCATCAGTGGTCTTTACAATTTGGCATGTTTTTGCAGCAGCTGGTACCGGTTGTTCCTTTCCATGTTTAGTGCTTCCTTCAGGAGCTCTTTTAGGGCAGGCCTGGTGGTGACAAAATCTCTCAGCATTTACTTGTCTGTAAAGGATTTTATTTCTCCTTCACTTATGAAGCTTAGTTTGGCTGGATATGAAATTCTGGGTTGAAAATTCTTTACTTTAAGAATGTTGAATATTGGCCCCCACTCTCTTCTGGCTTGTAGAGTTTCTGCCAAGAGATCAGCTGTTAGTCTGATGGGCTTCCTTTTTTGGGTAACCTGACTTTTCTCTCTGGCTGCCCTTTACATTTTTTCCTTCATTTCAACTTTGGTGAATCTGACAATTATGTGTCCTGGAGTTGCTCTTCTTGAGGAGTATCTTTGTGGCATTCTCTGTATTTCCTGAATTTGAATGTTGGCCTGCCTTGCTAGGTTGAGGGAGTTCTCCTGGATAATATCCTGCAGAGTGTTTTCCAACTTGGTCCCATTCTCCCCATCGCTTTCAGGTACAACAATCAGATGTAGATTTGGTCTTTTCACATAGTCCCATATTTCTTGGAGGCTTTGTTTGTTTCTTTTTACTCTTTTTTCTCTAAACTTCTCACTTCATTTCATTCATTTGATCTTCAATCACTGATACCATTTCTTCCACTTGATCAAACTAGCTACTGAAGCTTGTACATGCATCATGTAGTTCTCGTGCCATGGTTTTCAGCTCCATCAGGTCATTTAAGGTCTTCTCTGCACTGTTTGTTCTAGTTAGCCATTCGTCTAATCTTTTTTCAAGGTTTTTAGCTTCTTTGCGATGGGTTCAAACATCTTCCTTTAGCTCGGAGAAGTCTGTTATTACCAATTGTCTGAAGCCTTCTTCTCTCAACTTGTCAAAGTCATTCTCCATCCAGCTTTGTTCCGTTGCTGGTGAGGAGCTGTGTTCCTTTGGAGGAGAAGAGGCGCTCTGATTTTTAGAATTTTCAGCTTTTCTTCTCTGGTTTCTCCCTGTCTTTGTGGTTTTATCTACTTTTGGTCTTTGATGATGGTGATGTACAGATGGGGTTTTTGTGTGGATGTCCTTTCTGTTTGTTAGTTTTCTTTCTAAGAGTCGGGACCCTCAGCTGCAGGTCTGCTGGAGTTTGCTGGAGGTCCACTCCAGACCCTGTTTGTCTGGGTATCACCAGCGGAGGCTGCAGAACAGCAAATATTGCAGAATGGCAAATGTTGCTGCCTGATCCTTCCTCTGGAAGCTTCGTCTCAGAGGAGCACCCAGCCGTATGAGGTGTCACTTGGTCCCTACTGGGAGGTGCCTCCCAGACAGGCTACTCGGGGGTAGGGACCCACTTGAGGAGGCAGTCTGTCCGTTCTCATTTCTCAAACTCTGTGGTGGGAGAACCATTACTCTCTTCAAAGTTGTCAGGGACATTTAAGTCTGCAGAAGTTTCTGCTGCCTTTTGTTCAGCTACGCCCTGCCTCCAGAGATGGAGGGTACAGAGGCAGACAGGTCTCATTGAGCTGCAGTGGGCTCCACCCAGTTCAAGCTTCCTGGCCACTTTGTTTACCTACTCAAGCCTCAGCAATGGTGGATGCCCCTCCCCAGCCTCGCTGCTGCCTTGCAGTTCGATCTCAGACTCCTATGCTAGCAGTGAGCAAGGCTCCGTGGGCATGGGACCCTCCGAGCCAGGCACAGGATATAATCTCCTGGTGTGCCGTTTGCTAAGACCATTGGAAAAGTGCAGTATTAGGGTGGGAGTGTCCCGATTTTCCAGGTCCTGTCTGTCACGGCTTCCCTTGGCTAGGAAGGGGAATTCCCCGACCCCTTGTGCTTCCTAGGTGAGGCAATGCCCAGCCCTGCTTCGGCTCACACTCCACGGGCTGCACCCACTATCCGACAAGCCCCAGTGAGATGAACCCAGTACCTCAGTTGGAAATGCAGAAATCACCTGTCTTTTGCATCACTCATGCTGGGAGCTGTAGACTGGAGCTGTTCCTATTTGGCCATCTTGGAAATGATCGCCTCATAGAGACAAATATGATTTCTTAAGCTTTTTACCATCTGAAGCCTTTAAGAAATAGAATATCCATTTTGGAGGTACCTGTAGACTTATTAACATAACCTGGCTGTAGTGGGATGACTGTTGCTCTTCAAAAGCCCCCCAAGCCCCATATGTTCACCTCATATGGCTGGGTGTCCCTCTGAGATGAAGCTTCCAGAGGAAGGATCAGGCAGCAACATTTGCCATTCTGCAGTATTTGCTATTCTGCAGCCTCCGCTGGTGACACCCAGGCAAACAGGGTCTGGAGTGGACCTCCAGCATCCTAATACCCAAACTATATGGCAAAATATGTAATGATTTTAAAGGTTTTGTTTTGTTTTTTTGAGATGGAGTCTTGCTCTGTTGCCCAGACTGGAGTATGGTAGTGTGATCTTGGCTCACTGCAGCCTCCGCCTCCAGGGTTCAAACAATTATCCTGCCTCAGCCTCCTGAGTAGCTAGGATTACAGGTGCCCACCACCAGGCCCTGCTAATTTTTGTATATTTTTTAGTAGAGAGAGAGTTTCATTTTGTTGGCCAGCCTGGACTTGAACTCCTGACCTCAAGTGATCTGCCAAACTTGGTCTCCCAAAGTGCTGGGATTATAGGCTTGAGCCACTGCACCCAGCCAAGTTAGGGGTCTTGAGAGGAGGATTTACCATGGATTATCCTATGTGGCCTGTATACGAGGAAGTTTGGAGTTAGACTGCAGAGAGAAGGTGGTGTGAAGACAGAGTGGAGAGATGAGACAACACACCAAGGAATTGCCTACAGTCACCAGAAGCTGAAAAGGCAAGAAATGCATGATTCCCTAGAGCCTCCAGAAGGAGTGCAGCCCTGCCCACACCTTGATTCTAGACTTCTGGCCTACCGAACCAGAAGAGAATAAATTTCTCTTGTTTTAAGCCACTCAATTTGTGGTAATGTCTTAAAGCAGTCCCAGGAAACAAATACATGAGCCATGCAATGTTGTTTTGTCTTCCATGAGTGAACACAAACTCTCTTTGTGTGAGACAAACCTGTGAATTATTACTATTTTTAAAATTTATTTATTTATTTATTTATTTATTTATTTATTTATTTTTGAGATGGAGTCTCGCTTTGTCGCCCAGGCTGGGGTGCAGTGGCACGATCTTGGCTCACTGCAACCTCTACCTTCAGGATTCTCCTGCTTCAGCCTCCCGAGTAGCTGAGACTACAGGTGCACGCCACCATGCCCAACTAATTTTTGTATTTTTAGTACAGACAAGGTTTCACCATGTTGGCCAGGATGATCTTGATCTCCTGACCTCGTGATCCACCTGCCTCGGCCTCCCAAAGTGCTGGGATTACAGGTGTCAGCCACCGCACCTGGTCATTTATTTTTATTTATTTTACTTTAACTTCTGGGATACATGTGCAGAATGTGCGGGTTTGTTACATAGATATGTATGTGCCATAATGGTTTGCTGCACCTATCAACCCATCATCTAGGTTTTAAGCCCCTCATGCATTAGGTATTTGTCCTAATGCTCTCCCTCCCCTTGGCCCCCAGCCTCCAACAGACCCCGACGTGTGATGTTCCCCTCCCTGTGTCCATGTGTTCTTATTGTTCAGCTCCCACTTATGAGTGAGAACATGCAGTGTTTGGTTTTCTGTTCCTGTGCTAGTTTGCTGAGAATGATGGTTTCCAGCTTCATCTATGTCCATGCAAAGGCCACAAACTCATTCTTTTTTATAGCTGCACAGTATTCCATGGTGTATATGTGCCACATTTTCTTTATCCAGTCTATCATCGATGAGCATTTGGGTTGGTTCAAATCTTTGCTATTGTAAATAGTGCTACAATAAACATACATGTGCACGTGTCTTTATAGTAGAATGATTTATAATCCTTTGGGTATATAGCCAGTAATGGGATTGCTGGTCAAATGGTAGTTCTGGTTCTAGATCCTTGAGGAATCGCTACACTGTCTTCCACAATGGTTGAACTAATCTACACTCCCACCAACAGTGTAAAAGTGTTCCTGTTTCTCCACAGCCTTGCCAACATCTGTTGTTTCCTGACTTTTTAATAATCGCCATTCTAACTGGCGTGTGATGGTATCTCACTGTGGTTTTGCTTTATATTTATCTAATGACCAGTGATGATAAGCTTTTTTCATATGTTTCTTACCACATAAATGTCTTCTTATGAAAAGTGTCTGTTCATATCCTTTGCCTACTTTTTGATGGGGTTTTTTTTTTTTCTTATAATTTGTTTAAGTTTCTTATAGATTCTGGATATTAAATCTTTGTTAGATGGATAGATTGCAAAAAATTTCTCCCCTTCTGTAGGTTGCCTGTTCACTCTGATGATAGTTTCACAATTGCTACAAAGACAATAAAATTCTTAGAAATACAACTTACAAGGGGTGTGAAGGACCTCTTCAAGGAGAACTACAAACCACTGCTCAAGGAAATAAGAGAGGACACAAACAAATGGAAAAACATCCCATGCTCATGGATAGGAAGAGTCAATATCATGAAAATGGCCATACTGCCCGAAGTAATTTATAGATTCCATGATATTCCCATCAAGTTACTTTTGACTTTCTTTGCAAAATTAGAAAAAACAACTTTAAATTTCATATGGAACCAAAAGAGAGCCTGTATAGTCAAGACAATCCTTAGCAAAAACAACAAAGCTGGAGGCATCATGCTACCTGACTTCAGACTATACTACAAGCCTACAGTAACCAAAACAGCATGGTACTAGTACCAAAACAGATATATAGACCAATGGAACAGAACAGAGGCCTCAGAAATAATGTCACACATCTACAACCATCTGATCTTTGACAAACCTGACAAAAACAAGCAATGGGGAAAGGATTCCCTATTTAATACATGGTGCTGGGAAAACTGGCTAGCCATATGCAGAAAACTGATACTGGACCCCTTCCTTACACCTTATACAAAAATTAACTCAAGATGGATTAAAGACTTAAATGTAAAACCTAAAACCATAAGAACCCTAGAAGAAAACCTAGGCAATACCATTCAGGACATAGCCATGGGCAAAGACTTCATGACTAAAACACCAAAAGTAATTGCAACAAAACCAAAATTGACAAATGGGATCTAATTAAACTAAAGAGCTTCCACACAGCAAAAGAAACTATCATCAGACTGTGAATTAGTTTATATATAATTTAGAGAAATTAGTTATTCTTTGTGGGCCTTAATTTTAAATCTTGAAAATTGGGGATGGTGTTCAATGATTTCAAATGCATTTAAAACGTCATAACACTTTATGCAAATATTAATATAGTGGTCAGGAAACTGATCTCTCTCTACATATGTATATATCTATACATCATTCATATAATGAATATGTGAATAAATCCCAAGTGGAACTAGTAACATTATTGCTACCTTGGGGTGAATGTAAAAAGAAAGCATTTTTCTTGCATTTTCTTTTGTAATAGGTATTTAGATGTGTTTACATATGAAAGCAAAAATATATTTTCTGTGGGCAACTTGCTTGATTTGTTAGGAATACTTAATCTGAGTTTAATTTTTTGTACAGAAGTTTTGGTATACCTACACTTGTCTACTTTGCAGACATTTATATTAATATTATAAAGAGATTACATAAAAATCATATTAATACTTCTTTTAATCTTCATTTTTGTTGCCTAGATGGTTGTCTATATTCTCTATAAGTCTTTCTTAATTTAAAATTTAATGGTTGGCTGATTCAATCACAGAAATTTTTAAATGTTCATGAGAAACACATTTATCCTTATTGCCGTAGTTCAAGGACCTTTCTTCTTCTTGAATAATATGTTATCACAACACTCTTGGGCCTTATTTCTTTTTATGCTCCCAAGGATTTTTTATTTTCTTCTTCTTTTTAAAAATCATTTAAACAATACTTTCTCATCCTAAGACAACAGAGCCTACCCACTATTTTCTCCAACTTTCTTTCTAATGTAGTGTTCAAATGCCAATTTAGGTATGACTAATGCTTGTAAAGCACTCAGTGCGTTACATATACTTTTCCAAGTTCATCACTTTTATTAAATACTTGTGAGGGAGGTACATTATCATCATCTCCTCTCCACTTCATAGATAAGAGTGAAGCTCCAAGGGGTTAAATAATGTACATAGAGTCACATAATATTGAATAGGCAAGCTAGGATTCCAAGCCCAGCAGTGCACCTCCAAAACCATGCTCTGAACCACTAACCCACAGTGGTTCTTACTGTCTGAGGGACTGTCTACACTTAATGGATATTGACCTGCTATGCTAATGGAACTGAACATCAAGACCTGAAAATCTGGGCAGGGCTCTCCTGCATAAGAGGTTTTTTGGAAGTTTTCTCCTTGGTCATTGAGTAACTGTGCTTTATGTGTATGTGTGTACTAAAAATAGAGAAATGTTAATCCTGTGAGCTCTGCTTAGTTTTCTCACATTATAGAAATCTGCAAATAAATCAAGCACCAACAGATCTGAGTTTTCCAAGATATTAAGTCATAAGAATAACCACATTTTTATCTTGCCTCTCCACTCATCCTTCACTTAGGCTTTGGAGTACCTTATTGAATGCTCCCAAGCGTTCATGGAAGTTCAGGTTAAGAACAGGCCAGTTTTTTCATCTTTCCAGTTTTCACCTCAACTACAGGAGGTGCCATTCCCATGACAGAGGTGAGCTACCCTGCATGTGACGTTTCCAGGGAGAAAGGTTTTAAAGAAAAGCAAATGTTCAGCTAATGCCAGTAAGTGTTCTGCAAATAGGGATTGTCAAGCTTCAGATCAAGATTGTTTTGTTCTGGACAATTGAGCCTTTGCAGTCTGTGTCCTGAGTGAAGCTGGAAGCATGGTAGCTCTTCTCTTCAATGACCTCCCCCCATGTGCTTCCCAGCGCTGCTTACCTGGACATGAAGTGATCAAAATCAGAAGCTGCCTCTGCCTTCCAAGAGAGGAGAAACTGGGCAAAGGACAGGGAATTAACGCAGGCAAAGTGAGATCCTACATCTTTGTGGGACTTTTTTTTTTTTACTGGGGCTGAAAGAAAGGAAGATGAAGAAAATTGTGCTCTGAAAATCATATCACAGAATCTTTTGCACATTTGCTCTGCTTTTGAATCAGCTAGTGGAATGGAAGAAATGGGATCCTGGGCACAATTATAGTTATCTAGGATTTAATAGTACAGGTATTTTTCCCATGTTGGTCAGAAATTTATTCTCATCATTAATTCAGCTTTTATTTTTGACAAGTGCCCAAAGCCCCCATTATTGCTTTAGCAGTCAGTCACTTGACATCTATTGAGTACCTACTATGAACACACCCTTGAAGGAGACTAATGAAGTTTTCTAGTGTTTATGTTGCTCCCAAACTATAGGCTAATGTGCATGTTCACGTTCTTAAATATGTCTAAAGCCCTAACACCTGTCTTTCCTTGGGGTGTTCACTCACATCTATGTAATAAGTGAAATAAAAGGTACATAAAAGTGAAGCTATGTTAGGATCAATCTTGTGACACTGTGTATGATGTTACCATAAGTATGTGCTTTATACCTCATTATTCACAGTTTGTAGAGACTAGGAAATACCTATGCTAAGGAAGACAGACATTAAACAATTAAGGGACATTAAAAAATCCAAATTAATAAACACTTCTCTGGCACCCACTGTCTGCCAAATATCATGCTAGATTCTGGGCATGCAAAAGTGAATATGTCCCTCCCTCACAGAGTTCATCATCTACCAAAGAAGCTCCCATGCTAGTTTTGTATGAACTAATTCTAGTATCTTCGTAAAAGTGTCTTTATTATTTTTTATTTCAATAGCTTTTGGGGTACATGTGGTTTTTTGTAACATGGATGAATTATATAGTGGTGAATTCTGAGATTTTAGTGTTCCCATCACCTGAGTAGTATACATTGTACTTAACGTGTAGTGTTTTTATCCCTAGCCCCCCTCCCACCTTCCTCCTTCTGTGTCTCTAAAGTCCATTATATCACTCTGTATGTCTTTGTGTACTCATAGCTTAGCTCCCACTTATGAGTGAGAACATATGATTTTTGGTTTTCCACTCCCGTGTTACTTCATTTAGAATAATGGTCTCCAGCTCCATCCAAGTTGCTGCAAAAGACATTATGTTGTTCCTTTTAATGGCTGAGTAGTGTTCCATGGTGTATATATACCACATTTTCTTTATCCACTCATTATAACTGTTTTTATTAAAGCAATTGTGCCACATGCAGGGTTAGGGATATTACTATATAACAATAAGGGGTAAAAATTAAAATATTGGGATCCAAAAGGCACCAAGGGCACTCTACCTCCCTGTGACATCTGCCATCCTGCTAACGTGCATTGATGTGCATGTGGCTGGCTTGTGAGTCATTTTCTCTTACTTCCTCACAGATTTCCTTTCAAGCCATGTTCTTAGAGAGGCTGCTCTTCCAGCCACATCCTGCCCTTGAATGAAGTCTTTGTAATGAGCTGAGTTCCCTCCTTTTACCTGTAAAACAATCTCAAGGTCCATTCATGAAGAACAGAGTCCTCATTGTTCCAAGTCCCACAAATGATATGATGTTTTTCAAATGGCCAATGAAAAGCTGGAAACTTCTTAGGAGCCCTTGGTAGCCCTGTGGCCTTTCCTTTAGCTAGATTGTCGTGAGGTAGAGAGGATCTGGGTTGTATCTACTAACTGAACTTACGCTAAGGCTACTTCAGAGGTATACCTGGGTGTGGTCCACAGTTAACTACTTGGAATTGCAACTCTTATTCATTAAGGCAAGAACCAGAAATCAAACTCTCTTGATGACACTTGGTGGAAAGTCAATTCACCCAGGAAAACTCAGGGACAAACCAACTACTCTCAGATTAAGGAAGTGGAGAAGAAACTACAAAGCTTCCATACAGCATAGGCTATGGAAGTTTACAAGTATCTCATATTGCACTAGAGTCTGTAAGATGATTGGAACAACCCTCCATACATAGGCATAAAACAACATTCTTTTGAATAACAAAATACTTTGGTTTCAATATTTGATAGAGGCAGTTAATGTGAACAGGAAGATGATGTGTTTCAGGATGTTTACTTATTGCAAACACACATTTAAATCAATATTCCCACCCAGGATTCACTGTGTATATGGGTTCAGGTGCATTTTGCTTATGGTGTTGGAAAATTAATCAAAAATTACATTGTCAAAAAGTGGTGAAATTCCACACATTTGGACTATCCATTTCAAGGCCTGCTTCTAACACAGAATAAGCACTTGTGAGCTATTTTAGTGTGGTAGAAATAGAATTATAATCCAGAATTCTGCACTTTTATTCTGAAAGAAAAATATCCTAAGCTCTGCTAGTTGAAAATAACTTGTATAGTTCCATGTGTCAGATCTTCTTCAATTACACAGCTGCAGATTATACCTTAGTTCTCCAGAGATGCTATACAGGTTTTGCTGTACAAACAGACTTGCCACGGAGACTGCAATTACCCTGCCTTTTGAGATTTATAGCATATTACTCAATTTTAAGAAATATGAGCAATTTTCAAATATTTTAAATATTTACTATTTCACATGTAATTAATAACTACAGTACCTCAGCCTTAATTAAATTACAGCTTCTAGTATCATTTTATATTGAAGGCTTTGGTATCTTTATGGATTAATGGCATAAGCTAGGGTACAAAATTCTTGAATTTTATAGTAGTAAATTACAGCTAGCTTGCTTTGTGCCTGGAGATGTGTTTCAGTTTTCTTTACTTATATAATTCATGTATTTCTTCTTGACCCACTTTATATTCTTGTCCTTTTAGGTTGCAGGGTTATAATTAAGGATTACTTGGAGGCCAGATTCTTCGTTCTTTTGCCTGTCTGTCTAGCTGTTACTTTGTTTGAAGAATACAATGTTCTCATCATTCCTAGTCTTACCAAGTATATGATTCAGTCCTTGTCTTTGGAAGCCCCATTGCTGTTTTCTGTTAACCTCTAGGATCATTTGGCAGTGGCGCAGGGAATATAAAGCGCTCTTCCAATTGCGACCCATCTTCTAGCAGGGAGACTCACAATCTAAACTCCATGACAGACTATTTGCGACCTTAAAACAGAATCAAAATAGCCTTTGTTTACCTGTATTTGGAAATATATTTTGGACTGTACATATAATATTCTCATTGCCCCAAACACACAATTTGGACAGAGTCTTGCATTCCTCTTCCAGAATTTTAAAGTTACATAAAGTTGTAGTGGCTGCATATTCATTTTGAAGTCTGCCAGTCAAAAATCATTCACATCTGCATTTCATGAGTGTTGGGCCAAGCTAGGATGGAGAGATATTATCTTCATCATTTCAAGTTCTGAATTTTATATGCAGGTTACAGATAAAATCATAAGGACAAATAATCCATCATTATCACTTACAGTCCACAGCATTTTCTGTTGCATGGACTAAAGTTTCAGGTTATGTACTTACTATAAATAAGAAGAGGATAAGAGCTAACATTTACACGGCATTTCCCAAACATTAATTAATTCAGCAGCAAAATAAATATTATATCTTATGACAGAAAGCTGCCCAAATTTTATAACTAAATTATTTATTACTTGGGAAATGTTTTAGTTGTACGGCGATCAGATAAGCAGAAAAAAAGGGACTGCAACACAAGGTGTTCTTATTGTTCATGTTTGCACTGAGATAATTTGATGGGCCTAACTCTTCATAGGGAATACACCTGGTATTTTAACTTACTCCAGTGATAGTTACACAGCAGTAGGCACACAATGACTAGCTTATAATACTGTTTAAATAAGTTGCAAATAACAAGTCAAGAAAACTATAAATAAAGCATTAGTTAGACGTAAACAAATTAGAAATGTGGATGAATCTGAGAGTAGGGATTTGCTGAGAAAGGATAAATGATAAGTGCATTTGTTTCTCAGGGCAGCTGTACCAAATTCCCACAAACTCAGTGGACTCAAACAACACAGATTTATCATCTTACGGTTCTGGAGGTCAGAAGTCTGCAGTGGGTCTCACTGGGGCAAAATCAAGGTATTGGCTTGACTATATTCTTTTCTGGAGGTTCTAGGGAAAAATGTGATTTTTTTTTTTCCAGCTTTGAAGCCTGCCTATGTTCTTCCATTTCTGGCTCCCTTCCATTTTCAAATTCAGCAAAGGCTGTTCAAGTCTCACATTGTATCACCATAAGACTGACTCTTCGGCCTCCCTCTTTCAAGTTTGAGGGCCTTTTTATTACATTGGGCCCACCTGGATAAATCCAGGATGCAACACCTATTTTAAGGTTAGCTGGTTAGCAACCTAATTTCACATGCAACCTTAATTCCCTTTGCTAGGTACCCTAACATATTTAGTTTCCAGGATTAGAACATAGACATCTTTGTGGGACCCTTATTCTGCTTATCACAGGAAGGTAATATGATACAGTGATGTGATATAGCAGAGCGCCCACCTCGTAAAGTCAGGACTGGCTCTAACTTGATAAGTATAAGGACCACCTTGATCCAAGCCACAGCTCATGCCTCTGGAGTTTCTACTATAATATAGCTAGAAAGAATTACCCAAGTCAGAAACCTGAACATCATCCTCAAAGCCTCTCTTTCCCATCACCTACATCTGATTTTGTTATCAAGATCTGTTAATTTTGCCTCTTAAATATCTCCGGAAATTCTTCCCTTTGTTGCATTTCTTATCTTATCTTCTTAGCTCAGGTTCTCGTCAACTTTCACCAGAACAATTGCATTTATCTCCCAGCAGGTGTTTCTGTTTAAAGTCTGAAGTTAGCCCATCTCTATTTCCCACATAAGTATCAGGGTGGGCTTTCTAAAACACAAGGCTGTTTATGTCATTTTCCTTTAATAATCACGTAACGGCTGCCCATCCTTCATAGGAGAGATTCTCATCTTGAGAGAATCACAATCTTTCTAAAAAGGCATTTTGAGCTACTGAAATGTAAATTTTCACTCACCTAGCCCAAGTTTCTAAGATGTTGCTTTAGGGATCATACCCCTTCCCCCTCATTGATCAACCATTTGAATACCATTGTGTAAGTATCTGGTACACAAATAAGCACAACTATTAGATACAGAGTGATTTTTTTTTCTCTCCATGGTCCCTTAATGCTTTGTTCTTTGGAGCTAGTTTTTACTCTGCTCTTGGTGAAAACTCCACCATACCACTGACCTTTGTAATTAATCTTAGGTAATACAAAGTCATAGGATCATCAAATATATATAGCTGGGGAGAATTACACAAGGAGAAACCCAAGCATAATATTCAAAACCCTGTCTTCCTCACTACCTACATAAAATATGTTCATCAAAAGCCTTCAGTTATGCCTCTTAGACATCTCTTGGATTTGTCTAGTTTCATATTACAGGTAAAATGTCCAACTGCACTCAGATTACAGCTATTCTTCTTTTCCTAACTAAGGCCGACTGGTGGAAAGCTTGCAGTTGGGGAAGTGGATGTGGTCAGACTTTTCATTTTGGACAAGCTCTTCTCTCAAGTTGAAAAGTGTGGTTTCTAATTGTTTTAAATGTAGTGGAGGAAGTGATATGTGGGCTGGAAATATCCTACTTGACTGGTATATTCAAAAGTTGATTTCATACTCTCAGGACATGGCTGAAGTTAAAAGCCTTCTTCTTCTTGGTTGCTGAAATTGTGGTTCTCTTTAGAAGTCTCAACACTGGGACTTCTAAAGAGTACATGTAGATGTAGAGCACTCATCTACATTTCCCTTGATGCAGGTGATATACTTTTCTCTGACTCTAGGAATGCTGTATTTTAAGCATTGTCATGCTGAGGCCTGTTTGCCCCTATGGGTGACCCTGTAATAAAGGAGTTCACATGTAGCCCAAATCTAGTTACAGCAAACACTCTTGCATGCTTTGTGTCAACCAAAGTTGGGAGTCAGGCAACTGAAATATGCTGCCTCCCCTTCCTTCCTCCTGCTTGGAACAGCTGGCCAGCCCCACTCTGCTTTTTGAATTTTCCCTGTGGGAATCAGACTTCAATCCACTGTGTCACTCCAATAGCAAGGACACCTACCAAGCTCTCGGTTGAAGCTCTCTCATTAGGGTTGAGGTGAGAGGTGAACAGATCCTTTCCCTTGGAGCTGGTGTTTCTCACAGCAGATTAACCCATGAGTAGCTCTCTCTATGGTCCCCACTAATTCTCTCCACAACTGCTGTCTAAACTCTTATGTTCTTCACATGCATGAGAGGTTTAAGTTTCTAATAAGTACTCTTTTTACTTTCACTTGGTGTGATGGTTAATTTTATGAGTTAACTTGTCTGGGCTACAGGTGCCCAGATATTTGGTCAAACATTCTAGGTGTTTCCGTGCAGGTGTTCTGGAATGAAATCAGCACTAAAAACAATAGGCGGAGGAAAGCAGACTGCCCTCCCTAATGTGGATGGGTTCATCCAGTCAGTGGAAGGTCTGAATAGAACAAAAACACCAACCCTCCCCTGTGTAAGACAGAATTCCTCCTGCCTTGCTTCCTTTGAAACTGGGACATCAGCTTTTTCTTGCCTTTAGACTCAAACTGAAACATTAGTTCTTCTTGGATGATGAGCCTGCCGGCTCTTGGACAGGCGCTCCACCTTCAGCTCTCCTGCAACTCCAGCTTGCTGGCTCTGTCTCTATCCACACACACATCCTATTGGTTCTGTTTTTCTGAAGAACCCTGACTTGGTGATCTATTTTGCAACTCATTTTGGTTTCTAATACTTGTTGCCATATATTCATAGCCAAATTTCCACTTAAACATCGTGCTACACATCTCACATGTAATGAAAAATGTATCTGATTGGAGTGTATTATGCATGTGGACAGTATAGATGAAGAAAAAAGATAAAAAACCCTTTCTAAATCTACACTGTCAAATACAGTAGTCATGAGTCATGTTGGCTGTCTACATTTAAATTTAAAACAATTTAAATAAAATTTTTAAAAAATTGGGTTACTCTGTGGCACAAGACACATTTCAAATTCTCAATAGTTGCATGTGGCTAGTGGCTACCATACTGCACAGCACAGACATGTTGTCGGTGGGCCAGTTCAGGTTCCTGATTTCATCACACAAAGGAATTTGACAGTGAGTCCAAATAAAAGTAGACAAAGGAAGTCAGGTGCAGTGACTCACACCTGTAATCCCAGCACTTTGGGAGGCCGAGGCGGGTGGATCACCTGAGGCCAGGAGTTCGAGACCAGCCTGACCAACATGGAGATAACCCATCTCTACTAAAAATATGAAAATTAGCTGGGCGTGGTTTGCATGCCTGTAATCTCAGCTACTCAGGAGGCTGAGGCAGGAGAATCACTTGAACCCAGGAGGCAGAGGTTGTGTTAAGCAGAGATCGCACCATTGCACTCCAGCCTGGGCAAAAAGAGTAGAACTCTGTCTCAAAAAAGTAAAAAATAAAAAAAAATAAAGGAGTTTATTGGAAAGTAAAAGTGCACTCTGACAGCTGATCAAAGTAGGCTGCTCAAAAGTAAGACAGCACCGACTGATGCTGGGGAAACTCCCTTTATGAGAGTCTTACATGATTTTCATGAAGGGATGGGAATGGGCATTGTTGCTATGCATGTTGTCTGTGGTCTTCTGGACACATATGCACTATTGCTGCCATCCTAGTACATATATTGCATGCCTCCTTAGCATCTTAATTCTCTACATAGCAATGTTTTTAACTATTATAATGAGCATAGGTCAGCCCAAAGACACTGATCATGGGATTCTGTGCTTGTAAAAATTTGGGGACTTTCTCCCCTTCTCTTTTACCAGCTTGTGGCAGGATGTTCTAACCATGAGCCCAAGATGTGGTTTGTGCACTGTTGGGTGGTTTGTTCCTCTTTAAGAGAGCTATGACCACCTTATCTAACCCACCTCAGATGCAGAAGATTTCCCTCATTGCAGAATGTTCTATTTGGCAGCGTTACACTAGATATGTCCAAGTGCATTAGAGAGTACACCAGGCCCTTCCTTCTTCTGACCAAATCATCATTATTCTCTAGCTTACATCTTCATCTAGGCATACAGAAGAATTTGCCACTTTTTAAACTTCACCCAGGTTGCTTCCTGTCTCTGAAATGCTCTTTCTTCGTTTTTCTTCTTCTTGCTCAACTTCTTATTTCACTCAAGTGTCCTTTATACTGTGGAAATTTCCTTATTTCCAGGAAGAATGAGATAGTTACCTTTGCTCTTCTAATGCCCTGTCTATTCTTCTATGGTTGTGCTTATTTATTATTACATTAAATTTTTATTGTTCATGTCTTTTCCTGGGTGTTCACTGGGTTCTGAGCTTCTTTAAGACAGGGACTGTAGCTGACCTGTACAGCTCCTGCCACAATATCTGGCCTGAAGAAGACACTCAGCATATTCTTAAATGACTTAGCCAGTGGCAAAGACCCCCATTGGATTAAAAACCACCATGGGATGCATCTACTTCTGGATCAACCAGGAATCTGTTTCTAATATAATTTCCCCTAAAGTCCATGATTATTCTATTATATTCTCCTATATTATTTAATTCATGATATAGCGTTAGGGGTTGAATTGTGTACTCTCAAAATTCATATGTTAAAGCTCTAACTTCCAGTACCTCAGACTGACTGTATTTGGAGAGTCTTTAAAAAGATGATTAAGTTAAAATGGGGCCATTAGGGTGGATCCCAAATCCAATCTAACTGGTGTACTTGCAAAAAAGGGACATCTGGATACATAGAGAGATGCCAGGGATACATGTGCAGAGGAAAAAACCACGTGACAACACTGCAAGAGGTGGCCAAGGAGAGAGGCCACAGAAGAAGCCACCCTGCTGCTACCTGGTCGCAGCCCTCCAGCCTCCAGGACTGTGAGAAAATACATTTCTGCTGTATAAACCACCCAGCTTTTGATATTTTGTTATGGTATTCCTACAAAACTATATGCATAGGAATATATCTAATACAGCCAAGTAATTTTTCAAAATATTAGTATGTTAAGATAACATATTTTAAAAATAGAATAATTTTATAAAATTTTAGTACTCAAGAAAATTATATAACAAAACTATTCTGGTATTTTTTGTGATCTGATGTCATATGTTACAAAGAACATCAACTCTTCCTGGGTCTTGGGCCTCCTGACTTTTGGATAGGAACTATATAACTCACATGTACACATTTCTATATTCAACACTGTAACTAGTATCTATTGCACATGTAAACAATGCATTAAGTGAATTGGTGGCATTAAGTGAATGTTGTACTGAGTATACACATTTTTCCTTCCTTTTTAACAGAGCTGGAGAAAAGTGAAAAATGCTGGGTTCCTGTGATACAATTACCTAAATAGCCCCGGTATTTGTATATACCCAATGTCCAAGCTCCCCAGATTGCCTCAAGATAAGCTAAATTTTAGAAAATTTTTTTGGTTAACTATTTCTTCTGTTTATTGGCAACGTGTATTTTATTTGTGCTAATTAACTGCCTAGTGTACTTTGTCCATCTTTCTTTTTTTAATTTTTAATTTTATTTTACTTTAAGTTCCAGGATACATATTTATTTAACCAAAAAAAAAAAAAAAAAGCAAATCCAAAAGACATATTTTTACTTCTGAAAACCTATAGGTATAACTGATTTTTACCTATGCTAGTCATTCTGATGATTTCTGTAACTTCTAGTGAGAAAGTGTTGGGATCTTTTCTAAAATTGTGATCCTCATTTTCTACCACCTGATGCAGAAATAACCACTGTTAGGAAGAGTTCTTTGGCTATCTAATTCAGTTGCATATAGAGGGGCTTCTAAAAGTCCCAGAAATCAGTCACAATAGTTTTCTATCTTGGGAAAAGCTCACATTTGCTTTATAGTAACATGCAGAGGCTATCATATTGAGACACAAACCTGAATTCTCTATTTCTCGGCTTTCGATATAAAGAGCTATATTGAGTTCATTCACCCTGTGGGCTTGCCATTCTATGAGTCTACATGATTGAATTTTCTGTTCCATTGATCTGGTGTGGAAAGATGCTGGTAGGAGTCTGGCATAATCAGCGAAAGACTGTCCTAAAATTTATATTTTATTACCTTCTTTTTCTATGTCTGGTAACCACCAAATAGCCACCCTAAAGACCGCTTGCTTTCTATACATTTCTATTCACAGTGGAGGAATATATGGACTGAGCGAGGTGTAAGTTTACAAACATATATATATGCTTGTGTGTGTGTGTGTGTGTGTGTATAATTGCATGTGTATTTATTTTTAGAGGCATATATCATAAAACACATAACTTACAATTTTTATACTACAGACTCAAACTCATGTAAAGAAGGAGTTGCTTTACATTTGAGTTCATTATCTTATTCCATCCTCACAGAGACTTTATGAAGTAGATACTAGTAATATCTAAGTAATATTCTGGATCCAAGGTCACTATAAAATCAGGCTGACTGCAATTAAAACAATTCTCTATGGCTTAGCCCGACAAAGGTTAATACTCACTCGCAAATACTAATGCAGAATTTCTAGTTGGACAGCTTGGCTCCGAGGGGCTAGATCTGGGCCCTTTCCATTAAGTGACTTTACCCTTTCTAAAACTTTCACTTCCAGATGCACAGACTAAAAAGAGTAGGTTTGGAAAATTTCTTGGAATATTTTAGGAGCATGGTGTGAAAGAGGCTTCTATCACTTCTGGCTGCATTCCAGGGCTTGCTGTCAGTCATATGGCCAACTCAGCTGCAAGGGAGCCTGGGAAGTAGAGAGACACACACTGTTATATGCACACTCTAATAGTTCCTGGGCCCCTCACGCAGTCAGTAAGTAGAAAAACCCCAGAAACTATAAAACCTACATTAGAAAACATGTCTGGCAAATTACTTTGAAATACTGTAGGTGCTTTAGTACAATTCAAGAATATTTCCAAACTTCTTCCTGGAACTTTCTGTTTATCAATTTGTAGATCTTAAGGTATTTCATATAAATATAAATTATATATATATATATATATATATATATATATATTTTTTTGAGATGGAATTTCACTCTTTTCGCCCAGGCCGGAGTGCAATGGCGTGATCTCGGCTCACTGCAACCTCCGCCTCCTGGGTTCAAGCGATTCTCCTGCCTCAGACTCCCTAGTAGCTGGGATTACAGGTGCGTGCCACCAGTCCTGGCTAATTTTTGTATTTTCAGTAGAGACGGGGTTTCACCACATTGGCCAGGCTGGTCTCAAACTCTTGACCTCAGGTGATCCACCCGCCTTGGCCTCCCAAAGTGCTGGGATTACAAGCGTGAGCCACTGTGCCCGGCCGGTATTTCATAATTTTGCTGAGACAGCAATAATCAAAAAACAAATGTAACCTTGGCTGGCAAAATCTTCAAGGGTCCCCACTCTTGAAATTGAGAACAACCTTTAATCATGAAGTCAATAGTTAATTGTGCTTTTATAAGATGAAGGTTAACTGATGAGGATAATGAGCTATGAATGTATTTATTGGTGCTCAAAGCAATGTTGGTATCACCATGAAATTTTTTGGTAAGAAGTTCATGGAAGTTGTTTATTTGCTATACTAATGCAGGGACTAACAACTGTAATACTCCTGCTGAGTATATCACTGACTAGACCACAAATACCTGACACTAGATTTCATGCTTTATTTATTTATGTATTTTTGATAGGGTCTGTTGCCCAGGCTGGAGTGCAGTGGCACAATCATAGGTCACTGCAACCTCAAACTCTTGGGCTCAAATCGTCTTTCCTCCCTCACCTCAGCCTCCCTAGTGGCTAGGACTACAGGTGTCTGCCGCCATGCCCAACTAAGTTTTTGTGTTTTTTGTAGAGACAGGGTCTCACTATGTTGCCCAGGCTGGTCTCAAACTCCTGGCCTCAAGCAATCAACTCCCAAAGGGTTGCGATTATAAGTGTGAGCCACTGGGCCTGGTCTAGGTTTCATATTTTAAATATTGCCTTTATTTTCCTAGTGAATACCATACACTTTCAATTATTGCACTTGTTACTGGTAATTTACAGAGGACCATCACATTTCACATTACCAGTAACTTGAAAAATTATCAGATTTATAGCAAGTAAAGCATATCATATCTGTCCCAATTGGTGGTAGAAGTGACTGGGTTTTTGTTGTTGTTGTTGTTGTTTGGTTTTATTTTTGTGGGAGGTTTTCCGGTGAAAACTAGAAATCCTGCTAGACAAATTCTGAAAGAGCTGCTTTTGACTGTGGTATTAATCTTGGCATTATTGTTTTTGCTGTGTAATCTTGGGCGAATTATTCTAACTCTGCAAGCCTCAATTTCTTCATCTATAAATTGAGGATGAAAATATTGACCTTTTCTGGAAAGGTTCCTGTAAGATAATACAGTTAAAGGACTTAGTATGGTTAACTGACATATTTTTCCTCCAAATGTTAACTCTAATAGTAATAAAAACAATCATTGTAAGTGTTATTACTATTATCTTGGTCCCAATTTATTTTTCTTTAAAATGGAGACAATAATATCTGCACTGCCATGAGAAGTAAATGAGCTATATAAAAAATGTGAGATACGCAATAGTCAACCAATTGAAATTGTTTCACTATCCCTTTCTAGCCAAAACAGAACCCAAATTTCTCTCTACATTCGGTTACAGGACCTTTGACACTGATCTGGTAAGTCCTTTAGGCTCATTAACAATTCTTTAGATTCTGAATGTTAAAGACTATTTTTGTAAATTTTCAGTGTTGAATGAGAGATACTTGGTGTTTAGTATTTCTTTGATCAATTTCCACAACTTTCTCCATTTGTGAGTTATTGAGTTGGTTGTATCTGTTATAAACCACTCAAGTTGTGAATAAATGGATTATCCAGAAGGCAATATAGACTCTTCATGTGTTTACATGGAGTTAGGTTTAGCTGACCCTAAAGCTATGACTTCTCTAATTCTAGAGGTAGATTTGCTTCTTGTTTTTTATTGCTTGTACATAGAAGATCTATTGTCTGTTATGAGAGCCATATATACAAATAGGTTCTGATTTATTGAGAATCTTAGATTTTCTCTGTACTGTATTCAGATTTAGCATTCATGTTATGCTGCCCTGGGTAATAGCCATTGCCATGGCACAGGGATATAATTAATAAACATTCAATCATTTGACAACAGTATTAGACACCCAAGTCAGCAGACTATCAATTACAGCAAGTCACAGGACTACAGGCATTGACAGTTATCAATTTTAAATCTTCAAAAAGAAGATTTAACTAATGATTTGAAGTAAAGAAAATAAGTAATGCCTTGGGGAAAATGTCTTCAGACCTTCTGAATTTAAATATAGTTAATGCAATAGTAAACTGATTTTCCCTTCAGAATTGGTGGTGTTTTCTACTGAACTGTTGGTTTTGCAGCACTAGATTAAATTGAAATCCTCAACCGTACTGAAGAAAGAAGTAGAGCATCTGAGTAAGTTCAGCTGCATCTCTGCTTTATTCTTGGAGTAGAGACTGCTCTTGAAAGCAATTCCTGCTGCCTTGACAATTTCCCTTTCTCTTTTGGATTATGGAAATCACTACTACAGTAGACTTGTTATTCTTGTTCTGCATTGCAGTCTTTCTCCCCATCTGTGTTTCTTTCTTAATTAGAATTATCTGCCATCTCTCACTACTAAAAGTTAGGTAAAAGTCATGATTCTCCAGGCTTCTAAGCAGCAACATGATCAGTAAGACCAGCTTCTGGCAGGAAAATGAAATTATTTTTAATGTTAAACAAGGTAACTGCAGGATTCCACCTGCAGCCCAAGTATCACTGGGAACTGATAAAAGATGAAGTCAAGATATTTCCCTCTGATCAAATGGATTGCCTTTCAACATAGCTTTTTAAAAAGAATCTCATCCCAAAAGCCACACAGCTGTAAGCCCAAGATGTAGTAAGAAATGAGCCGCTTATAGGAATTGGAGATTAGCAGAGCCTCATTAGGGATCCAGGCAGGGTAAGCCACAGAGAGGCAGCTGTATTTTTCTGTGGATGGGCCTGAACCCTGGAACAGATGCATTTTGGGGATATGCAATTTTATTTTGGGCCACATTTGCCTAAGGAATAAAATGTTCCAAGAGACTCCAAATACCATTTCAGGGAATTTTAATGTACTAACCTAAATTAGCTAACTTATTGGGAAAGAGGCTCTGTTCATATTTACTGAGATGTCCAGCCTCAACTCTCAGAAGTGTCTGGAGGAGATGTGTATTACTGTAGTGAACTGGGAAGTTGTGGGAGGCTGGATGAATGGGGGCAATCTGGGGAAGATTACATCATGATTCATATCTCTCAGGTGAGGCTGATGCTTACTCTCCTTAAATTGCTACAGTGCAGGAATCAGCATGGTTGTGCCCTTGTAAAGTGAATGAAGACATGCAGAACTATTAATTTTCGAAGGGCTTTCATTTTCTCAACGTAAAGACTAGCTTCCTAGGCCAAAATTATGGTCTCTTAACCACATGAGGACCTGTGCTTTCCTTAGTAAAGGCAGTATTTAAGGAATGTTGACGAAGGTTCATGTCATGTGCTTTTGTGTGTTTATTTTGCAAAACATCAATTTAAATATATAGAGCAGTAATATCTGTCCTAAGCAGTATGCACATAGCCCTCATGAAAGTCATTTTGCTACCCTACAAGAACATTCCTTCTATGGATCAATAATACACTTGGAGAGATGATTTTGATTCAAGTCGTTTTCTTGCCTTTGGTTCCTCCTTTTCCAATGTGGTTCAAAGGTACTGCAGCAATGTTGTTGATTACGCACACACACACACACACACACCACACACATCGACACTCACACCCACACACACTCAGAGTCAGTGAGAAAGTCTATGGGTAATCTTGACCTGCAGTGCACTTCTTTCTTTCCCTGTAAAAGTTGCCAGGTGATCATACACAGCAGGAAAACATCAGAATGTGTAAATCGTAGAGAAAATCCACAGGGTAATCATTAACCTCAGGCAAGCAGCAGGCCTGTCCCTCACATTCTCACATGCAATGCTGATGGAACAGGTGGTGTAAGGCAGTTACTGCCATGGTGGAAAGTGGGGAGCACATCTTAGGAGAAACTGTGGTCTGTAATTATTTGGGGGCTGACAGTTGCTGAACAACTTCTCTAACGATACCTGACGCACGTCTTAATGCTTTACTCAGGCAGAAAGTAAACTACTTTACAACCAGAGTAGGCACCGTAACTCACTGCCAGCTTCCTATTTCATAATTCCTGGCGTCAGGTATGGGTGGAACATGCCAGGACTCTGTATTTATGGTTAACTCTTTAAAAAGTATTTAAATTCTTGAAATAAGTCTTCATGTATAGGTATAATCACTACTTTTTGGATTATGGTAGTTAGGGAGGAGAAGTGACGGGGAGACTTCTAGCCTTAGAAGAATTTGGAGTCCCTCAGAAAAGTACCCTATAAATTCAAAGGATAATCATCTGGGTCATTTTTGTCATTATTTCCATCTAAACAAGTTTCTAGATGTATGGTTGGACATAAAAATAATCTTGTGGAATGTAGTTCTTGGAGCCATGAGAAATATGGGCAGACCCTGGGAAGAAATAGCATCCTATTGGTGATGTCTTCAGGGCTTGCTGACTCAGAAATCTTCAAAATGCAGAGCACAGGAAAGCTGTGCAAGATCCAAGAACCCTCTTCACTTTGCACAACTGCTTCCTCATATATTTGTGCCATCTGGTTGAAAGTGATTACTGTGACTACCGAGGAAAATAATACCCCAAATTATCCACTCAGCTTCAGTTGGCAGAACAGAGAAACAAAGCATAAAGAAAATTTGCATTATTTCATTGAGATTACATGTATCAATGCAAGGTGATATGGTTTGGCTGTGTCCCCACATGTTGTGGGAGTGACCTGCTGGAAGGTAATTGAATCATGGGGGCAGGTCTTTCCCAGGCTGTTCTTGTGATAGTGAATAAGTCTTACAAGAGCTGATGGTTTTAAAAGGGGGAATTTCCCTGCACAAACTCTCTTCTCTTGTCTGCCGCCATGTAAGACATGCCTTTCACCTTCCGCCATGACTGACAGGCCTCCCCAGCCATGTGGAACTGAAAAGTCCATTACCACCTCTTTTTCTTCCCAGTCTCAGGTATGTATCAGCAGCATGAAAACTGATGAATACAGTAAATTGGTACCAGTAGAGTGGGGCACTGCTGTGTGAAGCCCTTGGTGCCCTGCATCCCAGCTGCTCTAGCTGTGACTAAAAAGGGCCAAGGTATAGCTCAAGCTGTTGCTTCAGAGGGTGGAAACCCCAAGCCTTGGCAGCTTCTATTGGTGTTGAGCCTGCGGGTGCACAGAAGTGAAGAATTAAGGTTTGGGAACCTCCGCCTAGATATCAGATGTACAGAAATGCCTGGATGCCCAGGCAGAAGTTTGCTGCAGGGGCAGGCCCTCATGGAGAGCCTCTGCTAGGGCAGCACAGAAGGGAAATGTGGGTTCAGAGTCCCCACACAGAATCCCTACCGGGGCACTGCCTAGTGGAGCTGTGAGAAGAGGGCCACCATTCTCCAGACCCCAGAATGGTAGATCCACCAACAGCTTGCACTGTGTGCCTGGAAAAGCCATAGACACTCAATGCCAGCCTGTGAAAAAAGCCAGGAGGGGGGCTATGCCCTGCAAAGCTATAGAGGTGGAGCTGCCCAAGGCCGTGGGAGCCCACCTCTTGCATTAGTGTGACCTGGATGTGAGACATGGAATCAAAGGAGATCATTTTGGAGCTTTAAGATGTGATTACCCCACTGGATTTTGGACTTGCATGGGGCCTGTAGCCGCTTTGTTTTGGCCAATTTCTCCCATTTGGAATGGCTGTATTTACCCAATGCCTGTACCCCCATTGTATCTAGGAAGTAACTAACTTGCATTTGGTTTTACAGGCTTGTAGGCGCAAGGGACTTGCCTTGTCTTGGATGAGACTTTGGACTGTAGACTTTTGAGTTAATGCTGAAATGAGTTAAGACTTTGGGGAACTGTTGGGAAGGCATGATTGGTTTTGAAATGTGAGGACATGAGATTTGGGTGGGGCCAGGGACAGGATGATATGGTTTGGCTGTGTCCCCACCAAATCTTATCTTGAATTCCCATGTGTTGTGGGAGTAATGCAGTGGGAGGTAATTGAATTATGGGGGCAGGGCTTTCCCGTGCTCTTCTTCTGATAGTAAATAAGTCTCAGGAGATCTGGTGGTTTTACAAAGGGGAGTTTCCCTGCACAAGCTCTCTTCTCTTTTCTGCTGCCATGTGAGATGTGCATTTCACCTTCTGCCATGATTGTGAGGCCTCCCCATCCATGTGGAACTGTGAGCCCATTAAACCTCTTTTCCTTCCCAGTCTTGGGTATGTCTTTATCAGCAGCATGAAAACTGAGTAATACAGAAGGAGAACATCTCATTCAGAAGACTACCTTGATAAACCTTAAGGATGAGGAGGATAAACTGTGGTCAGTGTGTTTTAGTAGCCAAAGTTCTTGGATAAATTGTATTCTCAGGATGGCAGGAGCTGTTTGAGGCTCTTTTTGTTTGCTGAACATGACTGGAATGTGTTTGAATATAAAAAATGTGCAATAGGTGCTGAGGTAGTGAAATGACTCCTCATGTAGAGGAAAGAATGAGAAATTTCTGAGGAAAACCTGGGGAGAGGAGAAAAGGATCCAAAGTCAAGATATTGCAGTAAGAAAGTGAAAAGTCAAAAGAAAAAAAAATCTTCCATGGAGGTTTAGCTGAAGAGGGGTTTCAGAGGCAAGAATATATGAGAAATTTTAAATTATTTGATTTAGGGTGCAAAATGTTAACCTTCTTCTCCATTTTCTTTATGCAAATGTTAGAAAATCTGTTAGAGGCATTTAAACCAGAGCAACTCCATCTTGAATAGGGGCTACGTAAAATAAGGCTAAGACCCCCTCGGCTGCATTCCCAGATAGATAAGGCATTCTTAGCCACAGGATGAGATAGGAGGTCAGCACAAGATACAGATCATGAAGACCTTGCTGATAAAACAGGTTGCAGTAAAGACGTTGGCCAAAACCTACTGAAACCAAGATGGCGACTTGAGTGACCTCTGGTCATCCTCACTGTTATACTTTGACCTGCGACATGACGGTTTAGAAATGCCATGACAATGTCAGGAATTTACTTACATGGTCTAAAAAGGGAGGCATGAATAATTCACCCCCTGTTTACCATATAATCAAGAAATAACCATAAAAATCAGCAACCAGCTGCCCTCATGGCTGCTCTGCTTCTGGAGTAGCCATTATTTCATTCCTTTACTCTCTTAATAAACTTGCTTTCACTTTACTCTGTGGACTCACCCCAAATTCTTTCTTGAGCAAGATCCCAGAACTCTCTCTTGGTGTCTGGATCAGGACCCCTTTCTGGTGACAAATCTACATTTCACACTTATGGGGTATGTGTGTATTCCATAGGACCACTCAGAGAAGTAACAAGTTCTGCACCCAAGTTTTCTCAGAGAGCAAAAAATGCATTTACTGATCACCTCAGTATCAGGAAGATTAGGAAAAAGCTAACCTAATTCTTTCAGTTACTGGAGAGAAATCAAACCAAAGCAAGTTATGGGGGGCAGGGAGGATACTAACTCTGGCCTGAGAAAGAAAATGCCTAAGTGCAATTAAAATGAAAGACCCCGAAGGAAACGAAAATGATAATAAAATTATTTTAATTATCATTATTGTAATTATTTTTAAATAGAGTTGAAGATTTCCACATTGCTTAATTGTTCCAATGTTGTTACTATTTTCTTTTCTAAGCCTCTACTGATTATCTTAATACTTATTACATCTGAACTCAGAACTCTCCTTTTATCCCTCTAGAGATTTCATTTTAGAGTTGAAATAACAATCTTGGTGCTATCATGATTTGCCAACTCAAACAAAATGAGAAGAGATCAAATACATAATAGCCAAGTAGGATATGTGGAGATGTTTATTGAGTTGCATCACATTCTGGTTTTCTGTTGATGTTCTTCCTTTTGTTTGTTTTTGAAGACTAGGAGACCACTCGGCTCATCTGACAGAGGCAGCCTGTGGATCAGCAAATCCTAGGAGCTAAAAGGAACTTAGAGATTATCACCTTCTCAATCTATGCTGGAGACTTATCTGTTCTCTCACAGTCTAAAATAGAGATTTAGCCCCGACTTGAATTATCTAGGGGTTCACAAGGCTGATAAGGCTGATAGTTAAATTTTCTGAACCTCTGAATTATTGAAACATTTTTAGGTAAGCCAAAGGATGTTCACTAAAATTATTTTCTGTTGTCTCCGGAGGCCCAAAGTTGGAGAACAAAACATTCTAAATCATGGAGCTAGACTTGCAAAGGGGGTGATCCTAAATTAGACCTGCCTGTACTAGTTATCACTCATTCACAGGCGTCTATAAAAGGCCAGGGTTGAAAGCCTTCCAGAAAGACATTTCTTTGGGGAACATTTTCTGTGTCACTGGGATAAGGGGAGAAGAAGGTACTTTCCACCGCACTCTAAGTGAGAAACCTTCAAGGAAGAATCAGGCTAAAACCCTGAAATAACGTTTTGGTCAAGCTCTTGATGTGTGAAGATGTGATACTTGAGTTACTCTTGGTCTAATGGGAGAGGCTGTGGCTGGAGCTGTGCTTTGCTGGTGTCAAAAGGAAGAAAAATGACTTTGAGAGTGAGCTATAGAACGAGCTGCACTTGCTCCAGCTGTAGGCAAATGCATGTCCTTACTATTATCTAGATTTAAATCGCACCAAAAGGAATTGGCTGTAGGTCAGCTTGAAAAGGATTCCACCCAAAAGGACTGCCTGAAGGGACAAGGAGAGCACAGCAGAGGGACCCAGCAGAAGCCCAGATTAGTCCTAAGCAGCCGGCTGGAGGAGCAGCCTTGCCCAGGTTGACCGGCAGTGGAGGAATACCCAGTAGAAGAGTTTCTAGGAATCTGCAGAAACACTGTTGAGAAACACTGTCAGCAAAAAAGCCCTGAAAGTAACTCAACCAACCGCATACAACTGAGCCGCTTCTGCCTAATCTTCTCTCACTACCTGGGTCTGACCTGGGAGCCATCACAGAGTAGCTAGGGAGTGAGGGGAAGAAGTGGAGCTGGGAAGAGAGAGGAGGCCAATCTCTCATGCACTTCATATTTCCAGCCAGATACAGGGGAAGGGAGAAGCTTCAAATAGGATAAGATTCAAAGCTTTTTATATTATTGGGTGGGGCTTTGAAAAGTACTGAAATGAGACTGTTCTTGTGACTAAATGTGGGCAGAGAGGCTTGTCCTAGATGCCAATAAATGATGAGGAAAGAGAAACACCCTAGGGGTGTATATGAAAGGTCAGAGGGCAAAACCTTGCTTGCTTGCTTATTCTTTATCTCTCTTTCCCTCCCTTCCTTCCTTCCTCCCTCCCTCCCTTCTTTCTTTCCTCCCTCCCTCCCTTCATTCCTTTCCTTTCCCTTTCCCTTTTTCTTTTTCTCTTTTTCTTTCTTTCTTTCTTTCTTTCTTTCTTTCTTTCTTTCTTTCTTTCTTTCTTTCTTTCTCTTTCTCTCTTTCTCTCTTTCTCTCTCTCTCTTTCTCTTTCTCTCTTTCTTTCCCCTTCCTTCCTCTTTCTCTCTTTCTTTCTTCCTTTTTTCTTTCTCTCTCTCTCTCTTATTCACTCACTCTCTTGCTCTTCCTTTTTGTATCCTACTGAGTCCAACTGATTCAATAAATTAGTTATAGTTAAACTGATAGCAATTGATTTTCTTTTTCTTCAGCTTTGGTTTTATTCCTGTCTCTGAAGACACACATAAATCATTTATTCATTTACTAAATTCAACACCTTCAAAGATTTGAAAATAGCATTAATGGGGCCCCTGAAATTCTTGATATTCAAGGTCCAAAATCCTCTGATTCCTTAGCCATTTTTCATTTAACTGTATTTTCATCCTACATCTGGTCACCCTTTTCCCCTGTCATTCTAGGTTTATATCACTCCTCTTAAAACTGAAGCTTTTCTTACGAATGCACTCTGAGCATAGTGAGGCTGTTCCTGCCATAGATCCTGTCAGGCCACACTGCATAGTGATCATAAAATTCTATAATGCATCAGGACCAACCAGGAATAGTTAACTTAATAGTTATGAGAACGTAAAAATTAAAAGTATAATTTTCAAATAAATTGGTGCTAAAGATTCAAATTTGAATCAGACGGTGCCAATATGGTATGATTTGATTGTTAACATTATGCAAAAAGTGTTTTTTATACTGGCACCTAAAATGCTAGTGAATTATTTTGTTTTCCACTGACCAGATGTAGAATATTGCAAAAGTCCCTTAAGATTACAATGCACTTTTTTTCCAATGGGGAACTAGATGAGAACGAATTAAATTCCTCATTTATTGAGTGAGTACTATATATAAGGCACTACTGTACCATACAATCAGCTCAATTTGTTCTTGAAACTAGTCCACAAGTGAGAGGGAAGCTAGACAAATGTCCAGCTAACACTGGTACAGAACAAATTGAAATAAGATAAAAGAATTCAAGCACCATGAAGGTATATATTGGCTCTTAAAAAATATTTGTTGAAAAATTGGATGAATAAGCTACCACACACAATGAAACCCAAGGAAGAAGAATTTGCGTCACTTCCTGTTTTATAACTCAGTGATTTTTGTACTGGTCCCCCTTTTAAAGAGTTTCTTCCCTTTGTCTGGTATTATTTAGAAATTTAAATATTCCTAAGATGTAACTTATTAGACACATAACACATTTTTTTTGTAAATGAATTATCGTGGCAGTCACAGAGAGCTGAAGAATACAAAGCATCTTGCTGTCAGGGAAGAACAGACAAGAAAAGGGAGAAAATAAGGTTTAGAAAAGGTGACTGTCCCAGACAGGAGTGAAAACTGTATTCCCTTCTCAAATATCCTAAGGTTATTCATTCAGTCCCACATACCTGAACCCTGAATTGCTTGGAGTGTTTGTTCCTCAAGCACTGTATTTGTTTTGAAATTTCATTCTAAGTCACGGAAAGTTTGGGATAATGAAGCTGGAGCTGAGATCAAAGTTTGAAAATTTTTATTCATAAAATGGAAACTAAAGAGAGCCTGTTGGTAGCAGATTCTATGTGAGAATGGAAGGTCTCTAAGAGCCAGACATTTGACTGGGGTGAAATAAAGGAGAATGTCACAGCTGGGTTTTCACCAAAACCCTTTGTAATTCTAACCACATAGGTGTAACAGGAAGCCACTGATGCTGGTCTGAATTGCACAGAAGTACTAAGTAGGGAATAATGTGAGCTGATATGGTTGAATAAAGCACACATTAGGGAATCAGTTTAAGTCTAGCATGTAACTGGAGGGGTTGAGATTGAGGAGGAGTGCTATTGTACATGTATGTAAAATATTTTTAATAGTACGAAATAGCATTTTGACTCAATGGTTTGGACATATGCAATTATATAAGCTCAAATAAAGTTATAGTAGTATATTCGCAGGAAAAAGAAAAGGTGTTATCTGATGAAATTTAAAAAGGATAGAGTAACTATTATTCCTCTCTCTTAAGAAGAGTTCATATAACTCTTGGCATGTGATGGATGGAAATTATGATCAATGGGGCCATGAGCTATGCAGTGGGTGGTAGTGCATGTTATAGGGATGTGATCATGAACATTCCACATCTCAAGAATGATTGCAAATTGTTCTCATTTAATCTTAGCTTTTATGTGTGCAGCTAATTATTTTCCTGTAAGAAATAGGTGCTAAGAAAGTTAGTTGCCTGCATGAGTCATGTGCAGTAAAACCACTTTCTCCTTTTTACCTTTTATCATTTTAAATGTATTCAACATTTCTTAACACAATTATTGCATTCTTTATTGCCCCTATTCTTTAAGTTTTTTAGCCTTCCATGTTTGCTATTTTATGCTTGTTTTTGGCCATTTTATTCTCATCTGAATTCACCTGCAAACCAATTTGGTGAAGGATATCAAATTGGTCTGGTGCGGTGGCTCACACCTGTAATCCCAGCACTTTGGGAGGCTGAGGCTGGTGGATCACAAGGTCAGGAGATCGAGACCATCCTGGCTAACATGGTGAAACCCTGTCTCTACTAAAAATACAAAAAATTAGCCGTGCATGGTGGCGGGCACCTGTAGTCCCAGCTACTCGGGAGGCTGAGGCAGGAGAATGGTGTGAACCTGGGAGGCGGAGCTTGCAGTGAGCCGAGATCGCGCCACTGCACTCGAGACTGGGCGACAGAGCAAGACTCCATCTCAAAAAAGAAGAGAAAGAAATCAAATAACCACTTTTATTATTTATCTCCAAAAATTATCTGGAGAGATAGCTATTTATACTACAGCCTAATTTTAGTTTTCTGAATGACTTATTGATTTCAGTTATTATGCTTTTGGGTTTATTACTCATGGTCACACTATATATTAATGAGCCAATAATAGCATATGACTTGTAATAAAGCTCATCTGGCTTCCCTCACCAAGAAAACAACAGAGAAGATAGAAATTCTCTGCGCAACATATGCTTCTTATTTTAACCCTTAAGAATAAAATTTCTGACTATAGATGTGGTTGGTATGCATTTGCTTTAATAGAACTATTGTTATTCTACTCTCACAATTATGTATGTAAATAAATATGGAGCTATTTCAGCTTCAGTCTTGACTGAGGCCCTAATCTAATAGATGCTAACAATACCCGTGTTCCGAAAGGAGATGCTGTTAATTGCATTTTAATAAAACTGATTAAAAATGTGATGAAAAAATACTTATTGCATTTAAAAAGCCTAATAGTTAGTCTGTAGTCACTCAAGAAGACTCCAGAAATTAACAATTGGAAACATACAATTCCAATCTTGGAAAATGATCACAAAAAGAGCCTTAAGCCAGAAAGTGAAAATCCCTCAAGTTTAATGACATTGTAGATCTTCTAGAAGTATTCTTTTCCTTTCTTGGGTGAAAGGTGATTATTTGAATTTCTAATAAAAAGTCACCGAAGTCAGAGAGGAATAATGCCTCATATATCAGCTTGAGGGTCCAGTGGCAGTAGAGCACAGGGCTGCCATTGTGTTGGTTGGCATATGTGACAGATGAAATTTTGAGAGTCAAGTTAAGAGACAAAGACACATAGGAAGAAAATGGACACGTGATGGCAGAAGCAGAGGTTGGCATGATGCACCTGTAAGGCAAGGAATGCCGACAAGCACCAGAAGCTAGGGGAGGCAAAGATTCTCCCCTACAGGGTTCAGAGGGAGCATGGCCCTGACATCCTCTTGATTTTGGATTACCAAACTCCAGAGCCATGAGACAATAAATAACTTTCCGTTGTTTGAAGCCACCCAGTTTGTGCTACTTTGTTACAGCAGCCCTAGGAAAGTAATACAGAATGTATTTAGGCTCCAAGTGATACAAAATGTAGGCAGTTTTCTTTGGTCAGATTGTGAGACATATGAGAGAAAGAAAGAGTGCTCAAGGGTCATTTCAGATCTCCTTCAAATGGACTACTTGGCGGTGCAAGGAAAACTCAACAAAAAGATGTTGAAAGTATACAGCTAGATACCCAAGAAGAGAAGAGTTCTGACTAATGCTCTAGGGAGTGCTTCCATTGAGGGCTGCTAGTTAAAGATTTTCATGATTTTCTCAGAACTTCAAGTATGATAAAATAATTAAAAAAACGATTTTCATGATTTTCTATGATGAGGGTTTCCCAAGAACCCATGAATATTTTCATAAGAGGAAGGATCTGCTTTAAACCTCAACACAACCATATCAGGGCCTAAGTAAAAACTCTCCTGCCTTTTTATCTACTTTGCCTCCTCTGTATAGATCCTGGAGAGATAATAAATCCACAGTAGCAAGCTGAAGGAGGAGATGCTGAAGCACAAAGAGGATAAAAGGGAAGAAGGCAATCGTTCCTTCTCTCTTCCCACACTGTAGGTGGTCAGTGTTAATCAGGAGCGAAGCTTTAACACTGAATTATATCCAGGGTTGGTATTACATTGGGCAGAACATACTCAGTGTTCCAGAACAGCTTGGGACAATAAAGACTTCTTACTTTTTTGAGTTTGACCAGAAAAATCATGGGACCTTCCCTAGATTCCATATAAACTGGGGATGTGGGAGGCAGTGAAGGGTGGAATAATCACCTGTGAATGATATGTAAAGGCAGATTTGATAAATGAATAAAATTATTTTCCATTCCACCTTATGAGTCTTGTTCATTCAAAATATTAGAAACACTAAACATTTTATACAAAAAGCTCCTTTTAGGCATTATTTTATTCTATTCTCATGAGAGGCCTATGAAGTGCACAGATACTGTTGATGAATAGAAACAGGTGTGGACAGACTTGCACACACTTTGACATGGGGATATTATTCCTCTCTGATTTCAGTCATAGTGATTAGAGGTATTTTCTCCTCACCATTAGTAAACACATTATCTTTGAAAATGTTAGATTTTTTATTAGAAATTCAAATAATCACCTTTCATCCAAGAAAGGAAAAAAACACCTCTAGAAGATCTACAATGTCATTAAACTTGAGGGATTCTCACTTTTCTGGTTTAAGGTTCTTTTTGTGATCATTTTCTAAGATTGGAATTGTATGTTTCTGATTAATTTTTGGAGTCCTCTTGAGCAAATACAAACTACCAACTACCACATGCTTTTTAAATGCAATAAGTATTTTTTCATCACAGTTTTAATCAGCATTATTGAAATGCAATTGACAGCACATATTGAAAACTTACAATTTGATAAATCTTGACATAGACAGTCATCTTTGAAACCATCATCACAATAATAAACATAGCCATTAATTTCCAAAAATTTTCTCATGCCCCTTTGTAATCTCCTCCCCACCCCCACTTAGCACTTCTCTCTGTGAGAAGGTTTTTTAAATTTCAGCTTTCATTTCTTTAGTATATATGAGGCTATATACTAAAGTATATGAGACTATGCAAGCTATTTCTTCTTCAGTAAGTGTTGTTTGTTTTTCAAGGAAATTGTCCATTTTGTCTGTCATCAAATTTATTACTATAAAGTTATTAAAAATATCCCTTTATAATTCTTTTAATATCTGTACAATCTGTAATGATAGCACCTCTCTCATTTCAGATATTAGTAATTTCTATGTTTTCTCTTTTTTTCTGATCAGTATGGTTAGCAGTTTATTGATTTTATTGATCAGTAATAACCGCATTTTGGTTTTCATAATTTATGTTCTTCATTGTTTCTTTGTTTACTATTTTCTTAATTTTCACTCTGATCTTTGTTATTTCCCTTTCTATACTTAAAGACTTAATTTTCTTTCCTTTTTTTTAAGGTGAAACCTAAGACCTTTCTTCTTTTCTAATGTAGGCGTATTCATGCTATAACTTTCTCTCATACATTACTTTGGCCATATTCGACAATTTTTGATATGTGTATTTTCATTTTCATTTATTACAAAATACTTCCTAATTTTACTTTGATTTCTTCTTTGACCAATAGGTTATTTAGTAGATGGTTATTCAGTTTCCAAATATTTGGGGATTTTCTAGGGATCTTTCTGTTTTTGATTTTGAATTTAATTTTATTGTGGCCAGAAACAATACGTTGTATGATTTGAACCTTTTTTAGTTCTGTCAGTCTGTTCTCTTCCTACACGATGGCCTGGAAATTCACTTTAGGAAGTGAGCTGGAGCATGGGAGGCATTGTTTCCCACATTTTAGTGATCACTGTCCTTTGTTGCCTGATGGCCAGTGTCTTAAGCACTGTTGTTTTCTATATTTGGTTCAGATTTTCAGTTGTTTCAGGTAGGAAGGTAAATCTGGTCCCTGCTACTCTATCTTGTTTAGAAGCACAAGTTTGTATTTAGGTTAAATATTGTTTTTATGTGCTTTCAGTGAAGCTACTATATAGGAATTCTTGATTCAGCTCTGTGTTTGTAAACAAAACAGTGGCAAAGTAACAGGAAGAATCCATAGAAAGTGGGCAAAGTATATGCTTGGTTATTGTCTGCCAGGAGGAGTCTGGAGTTTGGGGAAAAAAAAAACATAGTGAGATTTACCAGGTGTACAAAATCAGACCACAAAATGGTTAATAATAATAATTAGACTTCTAAGGACACCATGAATACAAGACTGTAGTTGATTATAGAAATACAGTGATATAATAGGCAAGCTCAAATGGAGACAAAGGAAGACTAGGATTCTAGTTTTTGCATGGACACTGTAAGATATTGGCAAGTGACCTAGCCCATCTAAGTATTATTAATACAAATAACATGGTGAATTGGAATTAGATTTCTGGACAGCATTCACAGAAATTCTGATCGAACAGATTTGAAGTGGGGCCTTCAAATCTCTGTTTTTGTTAAGTTTTATACAGGTTATATTGATGCAAAACTAGTTTGGGAGTCTGCTGATAAGATGAGCTCTTACATGGCTTTTCAGCCCTAGCCTTACCCATATTTAACTTTTAGTAACAATAATACTAGCTATCGTTTGTTGGACACTGCAGATGTACCGTCTTGGGTGCCTTACATCCATGTCCTCTAGTCCCCTAGTCTTACACAGCAGATCTTATTATCCTCATTTTCTGAAAGAAGATTGATATTTCTTTCTTAAGATGGCCTAGGAAAGTGCCCAATGCCACATATGGAGTCTGCCTAAAAACATAAATTTTATTTGTGACCTGGCACCAAAACTGTGCTTTTTCTATTTAATCATGTTACCTATCAAAAGACTAGCCTGTATATCCTTAATGTTTTAATATTATTGGTTCATGTCAGTCCAGTTTGTCAAAGGTAAAATATTATTTTATAAGAAAAGGTCTTAAATATTCTAGAGAAGCATAAACAGTAGTGTTCTACAGATAATGGAAAATAATTTTAAAATACTAGTACTTTATTGAACACTTATTTACACTAGGCTAAAGGCTGTATTATATTATTTATTTCAGTGATTTTTATGTGTTTCTTAGGGACAATTTGTCCATTGTCTATATATTATAAATCAAATTAATGTTTTGACTTAAGCCCTTTATAATACCTTTAAAATATGATACTTCATGTCCATAGGTAATTTATATGTGCTTACTATTTTCATGTATATCTTCCCTTTTAGCCTCTTCCACTTATCATCTCTTTATTTTTGTTTCTATTAGTTTCTTTCATTCAATTGTCATTTTTTCCCTTTTTATAATTCAAGGCAGTGCTTAGGAGAAGTCCCCTCTATGTGTTTATTTCTTGTTTTCAATTTTAAAACACATGATACTGTTATTTCATATCAGAAATGGGTAGAGACATTCATACCATCCAGGTGTGAAGAAATTGAGAGAAAGTTATATGGATCAGGCATAAAGATATTGCTGTGAACCCTGTGATTCAGGTGAAATAGAAAATATTTATATTTCAGAAGTTTTACCAAGATTCGAAGGAAGAATAAAATTAACAAAAATGAAAACTTTTTATGTCCTGGCCAGATCTTTCATAAATATATGTAATATTTATTTGTAAAGTACTTTGAGTATTTGGGGCAATGTTTGGATTGAGGTCACCGATTTAAATTCTGTCCATTCCCTCTCTTTCCTACCAATTGCCTTTGTCTCCCCTCTCCCTCTATTTAATTGGAGATTTTCCCAAACTTGAGCTGATCTGAATGGAGTTACAAAGTGAAATTAACTAATTCCCTTGAAAGAAGTAAGGGTAGCAATACTTTAGAAAGCTTATTAATTCCTCTTTTCACTCTGCCTCCCTGCTCTGCTCTCAGACCTCACTTGGAACCCCTGGAGAAGGAAAATTAACAGGCCCCCTGAAGCTGAACCACTACAACCTTTCAAGGGAATTGGCTAATTTCACTTTGCTGCTCCATTTGGAGCAGCTGGGGGTACTGGTCTTGAGGGAAATAATAGGACCTAGTGCTTGACATCCTTTACATTTTTAAATAAAATTCTACTAAGTTTTCTCATCAAACTAAAAAATGGTGTTCACCATATGCCTACATCACTGGTTTATATACTGAAACAAGCTACTCATACATCTTCCTCTATTTTCATTTCTTAATCCCGTTGGAACCTTCCAAATTCTTTTTGATCCCTGATACTAAATAACTTCTTTCCTAAATGTCCAGTGATTGTGTTTATCAGTAAGCAACAAATAGTTAAGTCATTTCTTTTTCTAGTGGAGTTCTGACTAGAATGCCCTCTGTCCCCACTTCCTTTTCAGAATCCAAGATACTTTCTTTGGTCCTTGTTTAGGATATTCAGTCCTGGTCTTTTAAAGCAGAAGTATTCGACATCATGCCTATTTCTATGCTTCACCCAGAGAGCATCGCAGAAAGAAATCAGATGGCCCCTAGTAGCTCTGGCAATCCTCTCATTCCTAAATTCTCTTAATGCTTCTGTAACATGACCACACTTTCAGATTCACAACCCATTCTTTTTCTAGGTTAACAAATTCATAGGACATTAACAGTTTCACACTGTACTCTGGGGGCATTTTAGTATTAATCTCTTTACATTCTGAGCCTTACCCATTTGAGTCTTCTCAGTTCCTCTCAAAGATATTTTAATGATGGAGCTTCATCTTTTGCCTTATGGTGACTAAATTTCTTCAGTTCCCATTTGTGTAGAAGTTTCATAAAAATCCTGCTCATAGTCTGAAATGAATTGCTTTTTGTAGAATGGCCCTTCAAGTAGTTCCAGACTAATGAGAGCAAACAAGATGGACTTGCACAAGTTAACATTCAAAAATATATAATGTTTAAAGTAACTATCATATCACCCACAGGCACTCTGGACAACCAGAGGTAGATGCTTCTTTTTTATATTAATCACATATATTTCTGTGGATCATCAATTGCTGTTGCATGCTTTTGTGTTGTGAATGTATTAAAAAGTATTCTTTTTGAAAATAATGGAAAACTCCAGTTTTGACATCAGAGCCTCTGACAAGTGAATCTGTTCTCATTATCTCAACATCTATCTTGGCTTGTAAAAATCCTGCAGCTTTATGATGCATCACGGTATCCTTCACTACCTCCTCTTGTTCTTAAACATAAAGCTGCCACTTATGCTAGAACAAGCTTGATAAGATTGTCTTATAGATCCAATCCATTTAAAGGGAACATTGCTGCCAACACTAACATCCTTTTGCCACAGCTCTTCTCTGCCTGAGTTAGAATATTATGCTCAAGAGTTAGAAGGATGAAGTGCAGATATACTATATGCACAAAATTACCACTCACTCCTAAAGGGTTAGAGCCTTAAATATCAAGATATTCATTCTAATATGGACAGAGGAAAAGTGCCGTTTTTGCACTTTCTTAAATGAGGCCATAGACTTCAACCATCTACTATACTATCCTTAGTAAGTGGACAATAAGAAGAATAATAAACCGTGGTTCATTTTAGATGTTAACCCACATCCAAATACCTGAGTGACCTTCTCTCTAAGCTGTTTTAAATAAATGGTGTATAAAATACACACCAAGAGAGTCATAAATGGCCAAGGTGATATTTGAGGCCTTATGGGAGGTACTCATTTCAAAAATTCCATGCTCTGTCACCTCTAATGATCTTTGGCTCTTCATTTAGCTGAGAGTTGGCTTTTTAATGAACAAATGCCCTAAGCAGTCTAGATGGCATTCTTATTATGGTCATATATTTTGGAAGTGTGATGGGGAAGAAATTGATATAAGAAGAAGGTGTAAGAGAAGGAAAAGAATACCCGAGAAATGGAGGGCATACGTGTCCCCATCAAAGTGATAATAAATGTGGTGGGGTCGCAATGCCTGTGGTGGTGAATGCCAGTTGATGAATGAAGCCTCATATTTTGTACCCCCAAAATTTAAGGATTCTGGATGTATCCAAGTGTTTGTTGTATATAAGTCTGATAGGCACACAGTCTAGCCCATAATCAGTGTGCATGTATTTTTTTTCATATTATAGAAATTTGGATGTTCCCTGGGGTTATAAAACAATTCTGGGGTCTTCTGAGGTATTCCAGGAAGTGTGGGACCAAGTAGACTGCTCCTAAACCTCTTGGAATGTCTTGAATTCTTGTAGTTAAGAAAGGAAGAGGAAAAACTGTATAAATAATTTGCCAGATTTCCACTAGTTATCTTGGTCTGAGAATTGTCCCCTTGGAGGTAGTCCTGGTGGAGTTTAGAGCACCCTTTTTTTTTTTCCAACCTCAACAGTCTCAGAAGCTTCTGGACCATAATGGAATCCTGTTAAGAGTTAAATATAAGTATCTCAGCAGTGTCATGGGCTTCTAAATCAGGCAACAAGAGGATATTCAAGTATCATTACCTCTAACTCAATTAGCCTGGGTCATGAAGCTCAGGGACATTTGATTATCTTCAGTGATTGATTGTGGCTCCTAAATGGCTCTATTCCATATGGAAGCATCTTTTCCTTACATTTGAAACAAAATATTTGAAACTAAGGTTTATATTAGCTCCTGTAAGCACACTTGCAAAATTATATTTGATAAATCTTTGGGTTTTGAAGCCACATACCATTTTAAAGCATATTGTGTCAAATGACATGGTTCCAGTTATACCTCGAGGAATTATTGGCTTGTTGTCATCAAACAAAGATATTTGCTTTTGTACTATATAGGGACTCTGGACTAATCAAGAAGCACAAATGACATGTAATAATTGCTTTAATATAATTCTATGTGACTTACTTGTCACTCATGTATAGAGTAGACTTGCATGTATATTTTCAGCATATTAAACTTGCTTCCAGTATCTTTTAGATTTTTTTTAATTGCAGAATGTTTTTATTAATTTAGATGACTGGGAGCCAAAGAAAGGTAGCTTCTGGAAATTCCTTTCCATGTATAAGTCTCCAGATTCAAATAGTATTTATTAAGTTAATGTTATATATCAACTTCAGAACCCTGCCATTTCATTTATTTACAGTGAGACATGAGTAGATAGAAATAGCCATATACTTTGTTTTTCATTCTGATATGTGTTTAAAACCTGTGATGTCAGAAACATGAAATCAGTTTCTGACAAGGGTATTGACCAGGGTATCTGTAATTCACAAGTAATGAGAAGGGAAGAGTTAATGGGATTTTTTAATATGCTGAATAGGGCTTTTCTGCTGAATAGCACTACATTGTCTGAGAGCAACAGCTCTTGAATATTAAAAGAGAACCGTTTTGTCTTGTCCTGTTGCCATGGAAGGAGAGAAGGTGATTTTAGAAAAACAAACAGGAAAAGTCTCGAAGAAATTAGATAGATTTGAAAACAATTTGCCTGGTGGTATTCCTTTTGCCCAAACTGTATATATGTGTAAGAGGAGGGCAGGGCAAATAATCCATCCTTCCCTTGTTTTGAAGACAGAGTAAAGCTCTATTGCTGTCCTTGAGACAGTGCAGGATGGGGGTGCTAAGGCAGGATGAAACTAGTATGTAGCTAGTATACACATTGGGACTGTCCTTTCAATGGGCATTCGTAGCTGCACTTACTGCACCACCTTAGAGGCAGCACAAGCTACTTTTCGCTTTTACTTGGCCATATTTTTGTCATGGGAAAGAAAATTTAAAAAATTGCTTTATCTCCATGGATTGAAAATCTTTCTTTATGTTATGCTCCATTAAAAAATGAAAACAAGTTCAAAGTCTCAGTGCTTTACAACAATAACAGTTTATTTCCTACTCTGTCAATGTAGGTTCTAGGAGAGCTGTGGGTCTGCCTCACATATCTTCCTTATTTGGTGATTGAGACTGAAGGAAAGAGCCTTACCTTAGTTTTGTGGCAAAAGGAAAGAATAGTGACAGAGCCATGGGATGGCTCTTGAAGCATCTACCCAGAGGTAGCAGATATCACTTTTACTCACATTGCATTGGCCATGGTAATTTACATGGCCAAGTGTGATGTAAATGACCTCCTCAGACCATGGAGTATGCCTTTCCCAAAGAGAAGCATTTCAAGTCACATGGCAACAGATAGAGGCATATAATCTTCTTTTAGGAAGGAAAATGAAAATACATAATTGAGATAAATAATGCCATCCTCATCACCCTTGATCGGTTTTGAAGGCTTATGGAAATAAAATGTGATACATTGGAGGCTGTAGATCTTGCTTCTTAAGTGTATAAGGAGATAGGCTAGCAGTGATTCCCACGATTTAGAGTTCCTGAGGATCACCTAAATAAGTTGTTAAAAATGTAGGTTCTCTCAGCCCAATGCTCATCATTCATCATTCAAAGAATAGACAAAGAAATTATTTTATACACACACACACACACACACACACACACACACCATGGGATTCTATTCAGTCATAAAAATGAATGAAATAATGGCATTTGAAGCAACCTGGTTGGAACTGAAGACAATTATTCTAAGTGAAGTAACTCAGGAAAGGAAAACCAAACATCATATGTTCTCACAAGTGGGAGCTATGAGGATGCAAAGGCATAAGAATGATACAATGGACTTTGGGGACTCGGGGGAAAGGGTGGGAGTGGGTGAGAGATAAAAGACTATACATTGGGTACAGGGTACACTGCTTGGGTGATGGTTGTACCATAATCTTAGAAATCACCACTAAAGAACCTAGTCATGTAACCAAATACCACGTGTTCCCAAAACCCCATTGGAAAAAAAAAAAGAAATAAACGAAAGGAGGAACAATTAAAAACAAAACAGTCCTGTTCTAGAAAAAGGAATACAAAGCATAACTAAACTAGGCATGAACTTTTGGGTGGTAAAGTTACAAAGAAAATAAAGACTTGATTACCGTAAAGATCAGGACTGTGATTACTTTTGAAAAGAGGGAAGGGACTGTGATTAGGATAGATGGATGGAAAAATTATATTTTTTAAACCTAGCTATGGTTATAAGGGTATTTGGTTTATTTTATATAGTCTTCTATATCTGTTAGATTTTACAATAAAAAGTTTTTTTTAAACACTGAGAAAAAAAGAGCAGGTTCTCTGATACAAGACAAGGATGCTCTCACTCACCACTTCTATTCAACATCGTGTTGGAAGTCTAAGCTAGAGCAATCAGGCAAGAGAAAGAAATAAAGCACATCCAAATAGGAAGAGAGGAAGTCAAACTATCCCTGTTAGTAGATGACATGATGCTATATCTAGAAAACTCCATAGTCTTCAGCTGATAAACAATTTCACCAAAGTTTCATGACACAAAATCAATGTAGTAAAATCACTAGCATTCTTATACACCAACAACAGCCAAACTGAGAACTAATTCAGGAAGGCAATTCCATTCACAACTGACAACTGCCATAAAAAAAATAAAATAAAATACCTAGGACTACAGATAACCATGGAGATAAAAGATCTCTACAATAAGAATTACAAAACACTGTCAAATAAATCAGAGGAGACACAAACAAATGGAAAAACATCCCATGCTCATGGATAGGAAGAATCAATATCCTTAAAATG